>NC_000007.14:48725090-49028120 GCF_000001405.40 Homo sapiens | reverse complement strand
TTTTATAATGTTGCCAGATTTTATTTCAAATGGTTAATGTTTTTCCTAAAGAGAGCAGGCTGATTTATGGGGGAATTTAAAAAATGTTTAAACATTTCTGTATAGTTAGAGTACTTTAATAAATGAAGGCATTTCTTGGTAAACCATGAAAAAAAAAAACAAACAAAGCCATATGGCTTAGCTTTTTAGGACAAAATTGAACATAGTAAGCTAGAGACTATCATATAAATTTAGGATAATATGTATTTGGATATGTGGATGGAAATATCCTTAATCCAGAGAGGAATGATGGGGAAGAGGCTATTTCCTGATTATATTCTTTTTCTTGAAAACTAAATTAAATAATTTATATTTATTCTTTCATTTTTGTCTCACTATGACCCTGTGATGTAAGAATCACAATATGCATTCTATAGATAGTGAACTCGTGTTTGAAGAAGGTGAGCTAAATTGGCAAGCCATTGTTCACACGGGGAAGAGTGGAGCTGTAGACACGACAGTTTCTGGTACTGAATCCAGTTTCATTATACCCTAGAGTCTCATCAGGCCTAGCCCAAGGGTGAAACCTCTACAGCTTAGAACTTGAGTCAGGTTCAATCAAATGACTATGTGAACTAGCATGAAAAGCCAAAATAGTCTGAGAGCAAACTTTGGGAATTGGGAGATTAGTGTTTTAGTCCTCAGGGTTTTCTTAATTAGTTTTGTAACCTTGAGCCACACATGTAACAACCAGGTTCTTAGCTTCCTCACCTGTGAAATTAGGTGTTTGACCTAAATATTCTCTGAGTTGGATATCTTCTAACTCTAAAATTATAATTCTGTGGATATAAAGCAAAATCTTTATGCAGCTTCTAGGTAATATAGGTAGAAAACTTATAAAAATTGTCAGAATTCATCAGAAGTTGTTCGAATGTGTTTAACATATAACTTTCCATATTGATAAGGAAGTAAAGGTGAGTCATGAATGATAAGCATGCAGAACGAAATCTGAAGAAACACTAAAAATCAAATCAAATTAAATTGAAGTGGTGAAATAAGAAAAGTGCCTCTGAGCTCTAGCCATGAGTAAGGGAAATGTCGAAAAAAGACCCTAAGACAAGAGAAAATGCTTTGGGAATATTTTACAAACTAGATTTTATTGTTCCCCTTCTCTGACAACTTTGAACTATTTCGTACTACCACACGCACCTAAAAAAATCAATGAGAATTAAAATGTTTCTTCAAGATCCCCAAGGAATACATTATTTTTTTCTTCTGACTCTGTGTTTTTATATGATTGAGAGACATTCTTTTGTTCTTCCCCAGGCTGCACTCCTCAATGGAAGGGGCATGTAAACAAACTAGAGAAGGCGAGAATTAAATATACTTTCAAATGAATTCCTGAGGCTAGGCTGAGAGGGCAGTGAGGCTCCCATGTGGCTGTCTTTGATTTGTCTTTTTCCTTATGTGAGTTCCAGAATTCTTTCACTTCTAGTTGGCATCTGTGAACCTAATATTACGCATATATTTTAAAGGGGGAAGTAAACTTGTTATAGGACCATGAGGTTTGTGCCCATTGCCTGGTGACAGAGAAAAGCACCAAAAGAGTAGGAGTTTCAGCAGAGCAAGTTTAATAACAGATTGGCAGCCAAATGAGGAGGTGGGAGGGAATGTCAAATCTGCTCCCTGAGGAGTTTTGGAGTGAGCTTTTTAAGGAAATTTTGGCAGGTCGGGGGGCTGAGGAGCTGATGAAGTGAAAGGTGAAGTCATCAGAAAGGGATGACAAAAACACATTTCAGCACTTGGTCGGCTCCTCAGAGAGGTCTTCAGACTGCCTGACATCAGTGGACCCACTGAAATGCAGAATCTGGAAAATACCTCAAATGGAAGACTTGAGGCTTCTTAATGTCAAAGATGTTATCTATAGATCCTAGGGCCTTGTGACAGGTGCCACATGACTTCTAAGCAGTAAGCAGCTATAAGGAATTGGGCTATAGGCAACTGCTGAATGCTTAGCTATTCAATACTTATGCTTTTGGTGAAAAGCGAGCAATTTAGTTTTATTTAATTCTATGAGGATGGTTTCAGACTTTTCCATACTTATTCTTATAAAGATAAACAAACATGATACATGTAACTAATAAACTGATTTATGTTTCACCAAAATAAGGGGAGAAATAAAAAAACACTGATTAATCAATAGGTTGTAATCTACTGTGCATCTGGGATCATAAAATTTAACACAGAGAAGGATAAGCAGCTTTTCTTGTCATCATATTGTCCCCTTCTAGCCAGGAATATATATATACATACACAATATATGTATATATAATATCTAAGATATATATACACATATATACATAAACAATTAACCTGGACAAAATGCAATGAGAGTTGCTCAAGGGAGAATGACTCTCAGAGGTCTAGGGCAGTGTAAAGGTATGTGTCTTAGCCAGCAGTGATAAAGTGAGCTACATTCTTTCATGTTCTAGAGTGGGAGAGCTTTCCAAGGCATATGCAAAGATGCTGATGAGGAAATATTTTTTCAGAACAATAAACAGCACACAGAAAATTGGAGAAAGGCCGGTTTTGATGACAAGAAGTTAGGGCTGTTCAGTAAGCCAAACCTTAACTATGCAAAGTGTTGTTTTTCTTTTTATTTATTTATTTTATTTTATTTTATTTTTTATTATACTTTAAGTTTTAGGGTACATGTGCACAACGTGCAAGTTTGTTACATATGTATACATGTGCCATGTTGGTGTGCTGCACCCATTAACTTGTCATTTAACATTAGGTATATCTCCTAATGCTATCCCTCCCCCCTCCCCCCACCCCACAACAGGCCCTGGTGTGTGATGTTCCCCTTCCTGTGTCCGTGTGTTCTCATTGTTCAGTTCTCACCTATGAGTGAGAACATGCAGTGTTTGGTTTTTTGTCCTTGTGATAGTTTGCTGAGAATGATGGTTTCCAGCTTCATCCATGTCCCTACAAAGGACACAAACTCATCATTTTTTATGGCTGCATAGTATTCCATGGTGTATATATTCCACATTTTCTTAATCCAGTCTATCATTATTGGACATGTGGGTTGGTTCCAAGTCTTTGCTATTGTGAATAGTGCTGCAATAAACATATGTGTACATGTGTCTTTAAAGCAGCATGATTTATAATCCTTTGGGTATATACCCGGTAATGGGATGGCTGGGTCAAATGGTATTTCTAGTTCTAGATCCCTGAGGAATCACCACACTGTCTTCCACAATGGTTGAACTAGTTTACAGTCACACCAACAGTGTAAAAGTGTTCCTATTTCTCCACATCCTCTCCAGCACCTGTTGTTTCCTGAATTTTTAATGAAGCCATTGTTCTTTTTAGTCTAGTAGGCTCCTTTGACATTGCCTGTAAAGTTGTCTTCAAAAGCAAATTAAATTGCAGCTATTCAACTCCTGGAAAATTCAAATGGCTCTTCAAAGCTCTCAAGAGAAGTCCAAACTACTTGATTTGTTTTGCAACAAGTAGGAGACTACTAGATTGAAAAGAACAATGGCTTTGGAAACTAGGGGGGAAAAAAAGGCTCCATTCAAATCTTGATTCCTCTAATTTTCTGTGATACCCTAAGCACATGGCTTAATTTCTTTGAGAATTTATTTTCTAAATCAGTGCCTTAATTTCCCATTTTTTAAAATGTGGAAACATACACACACACACACACACACAAAATAATGTAGAATGCCTTTGCATGGCATAAATTAGATGACAAATATATACATTGTTTTTTCTTTGAAAATATTACAAGTAGTTCAAGCAGTAGACAGCAGAAAATTGGTTGAGCAGAGGCATTTCATGAGCAGAGCTCTTTTAGCAGCCATCAGCCAGGTGCGAGGGTGGTGTGTAGTCCTTGACCAACTGAGAGCCATTGCATTCTGTTTGGATCCCTGGCGGCAGAGTCTGCCTTTGTCCTTTGCATCCGAGATTCCCGCCAGGCCCGCTAGTGCTTGGAGCATGCACGTTCCTTGCGTGGCTGAGCATTCAGCCAGGAAAGCATGAATGTCCCCCACGGCTCTGCCTCTTCTCATTTCATCATGTTATATAATCCCTCTGTGTCCATAAACACTGTTAGAGTTTGCCCTGTGCATTTCTCTCCCTCAGGCCCCTCTGCCATCTACCAGATGACTATAGCTATTATTTAAAATCCTAATCCTTGTCAATTGCTTTCTAACACAGGAAAATGTGCTCTCTGGCTTTTTATTTGCCTGCATGTGGTCATGAAGTGGAAGAAAGCCCAGTATTTGAGGAATGTCTATTGTTATTCAAACTGAAATAAAGTCAACCCTTATGCTCAAGGTCATCACAGATTAATAGGTGCAAAAAAAATGATATATAGATAATTGTAATAGGGGACCAGATACAAATACAAAAAGCAATGTGTAACTATTGTGCATTGCAAGTTCCAAAGAGAGATGTATATTAATTCTAAAGGCATCAGGGAAGACTTTAGGAAGTAAAGGACTTTAGGAAGACTTTAGGCCCAAGTAATGGCAGTGCTTCTCAAGTGTCTGTGCTGGTGAGAGTAAGGAGGGAGCAGAGCACAGCAGAGACAAAGACCAACGTTGCCAAACAAGAGAAAAATGAGAAGCAAGAAGGTGGAGGCATGTGTAGCCAC
Source organism: Homo sapiens (assembly GCF_000001405.40). Classification (NCBI taxonomy): domain Eukaryota; kingdom Metazoa; phylum Chordata; class Mammalia; order Primates; family Hominidae; genus Homo; species Homo sapiens. Next base: position 49,023,475 of record NC_000007.14, on the reverse strand, counting down.
ACTATAATGTGTGCTTAAAATGGCTGCTGGAGGATTCCTGTAGATGAGAAGTTTGGGGGCCTGATACCAACTTAATATTTCACAGCTAAAAAGTGCCAGGGAAAGTGTTTTGGCTCTCAAGTGTTTTTTCCAATGATAACATTAAAGCTAGTCCACATTGCATCCCTACTATGTTTTACCAATTTGCATATAAACTTTATGCAGTCTTTACCAAGGCATTAGTAGATTTTTACTTCTGAGGAAAGATCTTACAGTAGATTTTACTGCTAAGGAAACAGAAGAGCAGAGGGTTAAGTGACTTGTAAAAGATCAGATAGACTATGAGTCAAAAGCAGAGCAAGTTTGAGCTCTGTTGACCTGAACAGGACTGTGCTCTCTCCCTCACTTTGTGTCCAGGGTCCCTTCCATCACAGTCAACAACCTCCTACCTCACTGTTAGTTTTACCAAGTAACTCACATGTTACTTGTGGGCTGGGTAATCTAGATCCTGCAGGAAAAACATAATCCTAGTACACTCTGTCTTATACCAGATTCAAGCCATATAAATAAAATTAAAATTGAAATTTATTTTCAGAAGTATATATATTACTTGGGCCCACCTGGCTGGCAGAGTCCTACTGTTTATGTTAATGAACACATCAGGAATGTTAAGATGGATAAAAAAGGGAATAGAGCCCTAAAGAAGTCAGTAAAGTTGATTTATTAACAAATAAAAATGCTTAATGATTAGGGCAACCTATCTAGTTAACTACCAAGTATTTGCCAATGATTTACTACTTGAACAAATCACATCTCTAGTAACACAAATAAAAGTCCAATTATAAATAATACTTGCAGTATGATGCAATATACATGAAATTAAAATTAATACTCCACTTTCCATGGATAGACCTTTGGTATTCATTTATAAGGTGAAAAATAGAGGATAGTTTTAAATCCAAGAACAACTGGTCTATTAAATATTTATGTCAAATATCTTCCATATCTGACAAAAGGAAATAAATTTTATCTTGAATGCTTTGGCATTTACTGTGGGGGAGTGGCATTTCTTGATGAATAATAAAAAGAATAGATAAAACAGAGGAAAACAAAAGTTATAGCTTCAGTAAATCATGCATATTCCATTGCTTTGGCTAAGATCAAGCAATTGACACTAGTGACAAATTTGTCTTCTAGGGAAATTAACTAATCGTATTTTATTGTGAATTCCAAGACATAATTTGGAGTTTGAATCTTAATTGTACCACTTCTTATTAGTGGTCACAACTTACCAAGACAATTATATCTTAGTTTTCTCCTAGAGAAAATCAAGAGCATAAATAACCCTGACCTCAAAAAGTTATGTGAAAAATAAATGAGCTAAAAAAGAGTAAGTTATTTTGCAAAGAGTATAAGGGGAAAAAAAGCCAACATTCTTTTTATTATTGTGATATCCAGTGTGATCTCCAGTCATTTCAGCTTTGAACATTTAAGGATCTGAACTTCCCAAATGTTGGTGGCTCATTCAAGAAGACAGAAGAGCATGTTTATTGATTAGCTACTGAAGCTGAGCCACATGCATCATCACCATTAATCTTATATATGCAGAAAGTATGCATACATAAGTCCTATAAACTGCCTTTATCCTTCTCTTTAAAAATAAAGAAACTAATGTTCAAAGAGATCAGTAGCAACCAAGTTTATGCAGGAAAAGTCAGAGCTGAGATGTGAGTCTTGATGGCTCTGATAGCAAAGGCTGCCTTAATGCTGTGACTCTGCATGTAGCCCCTCTAGTGTGGCATCTGTGAACCCCGTGCCTGATATCTGAATATGCTGGAACCTGCCTCTGGGCTACGGATCCAAAACTGATCGTCCCAACCAGCTGTTGTTCTTAGTTGGTTTGAGCTTTCAGCATATTTTTCTATAGAAATAAATATATATAATTTATTCTGTATATTGTAAAATATAATTTAAAATCATTTTAAATTACATACTACTTAGGTGATCAAATGATATAAGCCTAATGATTATAGCTTTTTTTCCTAAAGGATTTAAGTATGTGTATATATATATTTATTTATTATTAATTTTATATATACACACTTAAATATATAATAAATATTAATATGTAATATGTATAAATATATAATTAATATGCACACACACACTTAAATCCGTTAGAAAAAAAAGCTGTAATTATTAGGCACATATCATTTTATCATCTAAGTAGCATGTAATTTAAAATGATTTTAGTTGCCACTCTCTTTTTCTCACTACTGTGAAGATAACATTTGTCACTTTTTCAAATTCCTCTTGAAGAGTCCATTCATATAAAACCAGGATTGAACACGATAGTCTTTTTCAATCATTTCAACAGTCAGAGAACAAGACGTCCATCACCCACACCCACAGCTCAACATTAAAATCCATATTCTACAGTTTCATACATTTTTAAATTATTTTTGCTTAAACAGCTTCCCAGCATCTCTTTTCTCCTTCTTCTAAGATTGCAGCTATTACCTTTGAGAGCCTCTATTTTGCAGAGCAATTAACAGGAAGCCTGATTCTGGCCCTAAATTATAGTGGTAGCCACCAACGAAAGGGATCTAATTCCTAAGAAGGTCTTCCAAAGACAAGTTCAGAACCGTTTCTTATCTGCACATGCACTTTGGAGCCTCAGACCTCGTTATAAACAGCTTATCAAATTAGTTCTTTATTTATTATGTTTTCCTCAAAAGGTATTCTTGTCAATAAAATTTCCCTATTTAGTTGTCCATTTATCCTTTAGAAAATAATCTTTGAATTTGCATTTTGCCAATCCATTGTGATGGGTTAACTTCCTAAACTTATAAAGTAGCCCATCATATTCTGTAACATAATAAACAAGTTAAATTGGAATAGGAAATATGAATACCAGAGATGAAATGCTCATAAATTCAGAAAATGATAGGCAGTAATGGATTTTTCATAAAGAACCAAGGAAAGCCGTAAAGAATTTCCAAATGTCAATGTAATTTTATGGCTTCTATCCTAAAGAAAATTCAGGAGCTTGATCTTAAGCCTAGAAATATTTTTTATAAAGCTTTTAACGGACTCCTTTTTCTACTATGTTAAGTCCCACTGCGAAGCCGGCATGGAAGCAGCCATCACTGGTGCTGTGCCCCTTGATTTCTAACTTGTTTTCCTCCTCCTGCTCCCCACTCCTAATCCACTGCTTCTTGGAGATGCTTCTCCAACACAGACCTAATCATCTCACTTTTATTTTCTTCTGGACCTTCAACAACTTCTTATTTTTAATATTAATATTTAATGATTTTTAAAAGTCTGGTCTAAACCTTTGTTTCCAGTTCAGTCTAAGGCCATCATGACACTTAAATCGGACAAAATTAAGTTAGGCACTTTTTTCTTGCACTTGTAACTTTTTGCTTCTCTGCCTTTGTAAACATTCATTCAATTTCCTGAAGTGGGCTTTCTACCTTTATCTGTCTGTGGAGCCTTCTGTTGACCCAAAGACCCAGTTATCTCACGGTATTTTTTTTGTTCTATTAAACATTTGCTCATTTCTATGCTTCCCTATTCCACTAGATCCTGATTTGCCTAAAGGTAGATGCCAAGAATTTTACATTGTTTCCCACGCCCTAATAGAATAACAGGAGTATAAAAAGTAAGCAAACTGTTGATGTCAAACAAGTACATTTTTGTCATAATTCCACTGAATCTGCAACAATGCTTTTTGAGTCCCTTTTTTTTTTTTTTTTTTTTTGCTAGGCGGTGTGTTTAGACCAATTCTTGAAAGGATGTCGTGTGTAAGACATCTGATTATATGCTAGTAAATGTGAACAGCACTTAAAAGATTAGCAAAAGTTTTAGTCTGCAGAGTCAAAATGCTGAAAACATTAAACACCAAGAAAGAATATATGTATTGAGCCCCAGACTGAAGCATTTATGGAAGAGATATCATTACAAATGAACTTTAAGAGACAGACAGGATTTAAACCTCAGAATGTATGGTGAGGCCATTCTAAGAACGGAAAAAGCACAGAACAGCAGCAACATGATAAGCCAAGGAACACACCTGGAGGCTGCCAGGTGGCCTCTGGGAGGAGGAAAGATACTTCTTTCTCTACTCTGTCACGTCTATGATCCCTTTTGATTAAAATATATGAATATCATGAAGCAAAATACATCTCGGGAACCCCGAATCACTAAGCCAAAGGAAAATGTCAGGCTGGGAACGACGTTGAGCAAATCCGCCTTCCATTCTATTCCTAGGTAAGACAGCTATAAAGATTATGAAAAGCTACATACCACCCTCACAATTTACCCACCAGAAAATTTCTTGTGGACAAAGGACAGGCAGAACTCAAAGTCATCCCTCTGCTCACCTGAGACAAATGCATATGTGATCACTTGCTTTGCACTAAGCCAGACTAAGGCATAAGTGACTATTCCTGTACATTGTGCATTCAGTGAAAGGCTAATTAGAAACTCAAAAGAATGTAATCATTTGTCTCTTATCTACCTATGACCTGGAAGCCCACTCCCCACTTCAAGTTGTCTTGTCTTTCTGGACTGAACCAATGTACGTCTTACATATATTGATTCCCCTCCCACCATGTCTCCCTAAAATGTGTAAAACCAAGCTGTACCCCAGCCACCTTGGGCACATGTCAGGACGTCTTGAGATGCGTCACAGGCAAGTCCTTAACCTTGGCAAAACCAACTTTCTAAATCGATTGAGACCAGTTTCAGACGCTTTTTGGTTTACAATACACACTCGCGCACACACATGCACACGCGCACGCCTTTAACTACCCTGAAACACAAGCTTCCATCTTTGCAGAACTACTATAGAATTATAGTGCTCTAAATGCTGCCTGAGAGAGCTGTGCTGAAGTACTGAAGTACATGTGTCCATTTATTAACTAAGTTGTTTAATTTTTTTCCCTAACGAGTTGTAGGATTTCTTGACGTATTTTGGATATAAGTATTTTATAAAATGTGTGATTGAGAATATTTTCCTCCAGCCTATGACTTGCCTATTTATTATTCATTTAGCTCATTGATGAATAAATGTTATTAATCAAGTTCATTTTGTCTATTTCTATCCCATATAGATGTCCAGTTTGTACTCTGCTAAGATTATAAAAAGCTACATAAAAAGCTACCTCCAGTTTTTATTTGGACATATATATGGCTTTTACTTGGCTTGTTGTATAGATATCTTTGCTGGTGGAATTGCTATGGCACTATAGTTAAAAACCAATTTACTATACAAGTATGAGTATGTCTCTGGACCCTATTCTGTTCCATTCATCTGTATGGCTATCTTGAGTGCTGTATCTTTGTAGTAATTCTTGAAATCATGTAGTGTAAATTCTCCAATTCTGTTATTCCTTCTAAAGATTGCCTGTGTTCTAGGTCATTTACATTTCTATATACATGGTAAAATCAGAATGCCATTTGTTAGAACCAAGCTACAGGCATTTTGAATGGGACTGCACTGAATGTATACACCAATTTGGGAATATTGACATATTAACAACTTTGTGTCTGCTAATCCATGATCATAATGTATTTCTTTTTCTATTTTTAGACCATTATTTATGTATTCCAGCATTTTTTAATACTTTTCAGGGACTAGGTATTACATATATTTCATTAGATTGATTCCTATGTATTTTATATATTTAATGCTGTTGTGATAACCTTTTTTATTTCATTTCAAACTATCCTTTGCTAGTTTTTATATATAAACCCATGTCTTGCTATTTTATGAAAAGGTTTAGTTAAAATTGGTGTTAATTCATCTTTAATTATTTCATGGAATTTATTTTTGGAGCTGTCTGATCTCACATTTTTCTTTGTGGGAATTTTTAAATTACAAATTCAATTTCTATAATAGATGTAGGTATAGTCAGGTTTTCTATTTGTCTGTGTCAGTTTTGATTATTTGTGTTTTCTCATTGTTTTCACTCTTGTGCTTTCAGCTATTGTTATTTTACATTTTACTTCTAAATATGTTATAAAGCACAAAATACATGATGTTATTGATATATTATGGTGATTCCTCAAAGAGCTAAAAGCAGAACTACCCTCCCCCCTTATATATATGCTCTTAACTATCCTGAAACACACACACACACACACACACACACACACACACACACATGCCCTCAACTATCCTGAAACACAAGCTTCTGTCTTTGCAGAATTACCATAGAATGATATCGAATGATTTATATTCCTCTGGGTATGTACCCAGTAATAGGATTGCTGGGTCGAAGGATAGTTCTGCTTTTAGCTCTTTGAGGAAACACCATACTGTTTTAACTTAATATATTTAAATGCTAATTGATGCTTTAAGCCATCTGTTAGCATTTATATATTAAGTTAAAAACAAAGTGGTACACTTTCATTTTTAAACATATTTATTGTTTTGATGCTCCTCATTGCTTTCCACAGATCTAAGTTTTTAGCCTGCCAAAAACTAGTCTTTCTTGTAGTATGATTCTGCTGACAAATTCTGTTTTTCTTCAAATTTTACTTTGATTTTCGAAGGATGTATTTAGTTTTTAACTTTTACCTTAGGTTCGAGTGTACATGTGAAGGTTTGTTACATAGGTAAACTCATGTCATGGGGTTTGTTTTGCAGATTATTTCATCACCCAGGAATTAAGCCCAGTACCCAAAAGTAATTGTTTCTGCTCCTCTTCCTCCTTCCATTCTCTATTCTCAAGATACCAAATGTCTGTTGTTTCCTTCTTTGTGTTCAAAAGTTATCATTTGGCTCCGCCCTAAAAGTGAGAACATGTGGTATTTGTTTTTCTGTTCCTGCATCAGTTTGCCAAGGATAATAACCTCCAGCTCCATCCAAGTTCCTGCAAAAGACATGATCTCATTCTTTTTATGGCTGCATAGTATTCCATAGTGTGTATGTGCCACACTTTCTTTATCCAGTTGGTCATTGGTGGGCATTTAGGTTGATTCCTGTCTTTGCTATTGTGAATACTGCTGCAGTTAACATTTGTGTGCATGTGTCTTTATGGTAAATGATTTATATTCCTCTGGGTATATACTCAGTAATGAGATTTCTGGGTCAAAGGGTAGTTCTGCTTTTACCTCTTTGAGGAATCCCCATACTGTTTTCCACAAGGGTTGACCTAATTTACTCTCCCATCAGGAGTGCATAAGGGTCCCTTTTCTCTGCAACCTTGCCAGAATCAGTTATTTTTTTACTTTTTAGTCATAGTCATTCTGACTGGTGTGAAATGGTACCTCATTGTGGTTTTGACTTGCATTTCTCTAATGATCAGTGGTATGAAGCTTTTTTTCATATGTTTGTGGGCTATATGTATGTCTTCTCTTGAAAAGTGTCTGTTCATGTCCTTTGCCCACTTTTTAATGGGGTTGTTTTTCTATTGTAGGTTTGTTTAAGTTCCTTATAGATACTGGATGTTAGATCTTTGTCAGATGCATAGTTTGTAAATATTTTCTCTCATTCTGTAGGTTGTCTGTCACTCTGTTGATTGTTTCTTTTGCTGTGCAGAAACTCCTTAGTTTGATTAGATCTCATTTGCCAATTTTTGCTTTCGTTGGAATTGCTTTTGGTGTCTTTGTCATGAAATATTTCCTTGTACCTATCTGCAGAATGGTGTTGCCTAGGTTGTCTTCCAGGATTTTTATAGTTGTGGGTTTTATACTTAAGTTTTTAATCCATCTTGAGTTGACTTTTGTGTACGGTGTAAGAATGGGATCCAGCTTCCACCTTCTGCACATGGGTCACCAGTTATCCCAGCACCATTTATTGAATAGGGAGTCTTTTCCCCATTGCTTGCTTTTGTCAGCTTTGTCAAATATCCAGTTGTTGTAGGTGTCTGGCATTACTTCTGTGCTCTCTATTCTGTTCCATTGGTCTATATGTGTTGCGGGAAGTCAGGGACCCCAAAAGGAGGGACCAGCTGAAGCCATGGCAGAAGAACATAAATTGTGAAGATTTCATGGACATTTATCACTTCCCCAATCAATACTCTTGTGATTTCCTATGCCTGTCTTTACTTTTATCTCTTAATCCCATCATCTTCATAAGCTGAGGATGAATGTTGCCTCAGGACCCTGTGATGATTGCATTAACTGCACAAATTGTTTGTAGAGCATGTGTGTTTAAACAATATGAAATCTGGGCACCTTGAAAAAAGAACAGGATAACAGCGTGTTCAGGGAACAAGGGAGATAACGTTAAAGTCTGGCTGCCTGTGGGCTGGGCAGGACAGAGACACATTTCTCTTATTACCAGAAATGGGTAAGAGAAGTACTGCTGAATTCTTTCCCCAGTAAGGAATATTAATAATTAACAGCCCTGGGAAAAGAATGCATTCCCAGGGGAGAGCTCTGAAATGGCCACCCTGGGAGTGTCTGCCTTTATGCAGATGTAGATAGGAATGAAACATGCCCTAGTCTCCTGCAGCATGCCCAGGCTTGCAAGGATTAGGAAATTCCAGCCTGGCGAATTCTAGTCAGACCGGTTCTCTGCTCTTGAACCCTGATAATGCGTGCACAGGGGCACATGAAAGTTCATTAGTGATTCTAGTTTCACTCTGACCTTTTGCCTTGTGATCTTTTGTTGCCCTTGAAGCATGTGATCTCTGTGACCCACACCCTATTCGTGCACTCCCTCCCCTTTGAAAATTGCTAATAAAAACTTGCTGGTTTTACGGCTCAGGGGCCATCAAGGAACCTGCTGACATGTGATGTCTCCCCCAGGCACCCAGCTTTAAAATTTCTCTCTTTTGTACTCTTTCCCTTTATTTCTCAGACTGGCGGACACTTAGGGAAAATAGAAAAGGACTCATGTTGAATTATCGGGGTTGGGTTCCCCTGATATATATGCCTATTTTTTTTTAACCAGTGTCATGCTGTTTTGGTTACTGTAGCACTGTAATATTGTTGGATGTCTGGTAACGTGAGGCCTTCAGCTTTTGTTTGTTTGTTTGTTTTGTTTTATTTTGTTTTTTGCTTAGAATTGCCTTGGCTATTTGGGCTCTTTTGTGATTCCATATATATGTTAAAATAGTTTTTCCTAGGTCTGTGAAAATTGTCATTGGTAGTTTGATAGGAATAGCATTGAATCTGTAAATTGCTTTGGGCAGTGTGGTCATTTTTACAATATTGAGTCTTCCTATCCAAGAGCATGGGATGTTACCATTTGTTTTTGTCTTCTCTAATTTATTTAAGCAGTGTTTTGTAATTCTCATTGTAGAGATCTTTCACCTCCCTGGTTAGCTGCATTCCTATGTATTTTATTCTTTTTGAAGCAATTGTGAATGGGACTGCCTTCCTGATTTGGCTCTTGGCTTGGCTCTTCTTGGTGTATAGAAATGCTAGTGATATGTGCACATTGATTTTGTATTCTGAAACTTTGCTGAATTTGTTTATCAGCTGAAGGAGTTTTTCGGTACAGACTATGAGGTTTTCCAGATATAAAATCATCTCACATACAAACAGAAATAGTTTGACTTCCTGTTTTCCTATTTGGATGGCCTTTATTTCTTTCTCTTGCTTGACTGTTCTGGCTAGGGCTTCCAATACTATGTTGAATAGAAATGGTGAGAATGGACATCCTTATCTTGTGCCAGTTTTCAAGGGGAATGCTTCTGACATTTGCCCATTCAGTATAATGTTGGCTGTGGGTTTTTTATAGATGGCTGTTATTATTTTGAGGTATGTTCCTTCGGTACGTAGTTTATTGAGAGTTTTTAACATGAAGAGATGTTGAATTTTGCCAAAAGCCTGTTCTGTGTTTATTGAGATAATCATGTGGTTTTTGTTTTTAGTTCTGTTTATGTGATGAATCAAATGTATTGACTTGCATATGTTAAACCAACCTTGCATCCTGGGGATGAAGCCCACTTGATCATGGTGGATTAGCTTTTTGATGTGCTTCTGGATTCATTTTGCAAGTATTTTCTTGAGGATTTTTGTATCAATGTTCATCAAAGATATTGGCTGAAAGTTTTGTTTTTCTGTCGTGTCTCTGCCAGGTTTTGGTATCCAGATGATTCTGGCCTTATAGAATGAGTTGGGGAGGATTTCCTCTTCCTCAATTTTCTGAAATAGTTTCTGTAGAAATAGTACCAGCTCTTCTTTGTACATGTGGTACAATAAGGCTGTGAATCCATCAGATCCTGGGGGTTTTTTTGTTACTAGGCTATTTATTACAGATTCAATTTCAGATCTTGCTATTGGTTTGTTGAGGAAATCAATTTCTTCTTGGTTCAGTCTTGGGAGGGTGTATGTTTCCAGAAATTTATCCATCTGTTCTAGGTTCTGTACTTATTATGCATAGAGGTGTAAATAGTAGTTTCTGATGGTTATTTCTATTTCTGTGGGGTCAGTGATAACATTCCCTTCATGATTTCTACTTGAGTTTATTTGGATCTTCTCTCTTTTCTTATTTATTAGCCTAGGGAGTGGCCTATCTTGTTATTTTTTAAAAAAAAACAACTCCAACTCCTGGATTTGTTGATATTTTGAATTTTTTCTGTCTCAATTTCCTTCAGTTCAGCTCTGATTTCGATTATTTCTTGTCTTCTGCTAGCTTTAGGTTGATTTGTTTGTGCTACTTTAATTCTTTCAGTTGTGATGTTGGGTCATTAATATAAGATCTTTCTAACTTTCTGACTTGGGCATTTAGTGCTATGAATTTCCCTCTCAACAGTGCCTTAACTGTGTCCCAGAGGTTCCCCTATGTTGCATCATTGTTTTCATTAGTTTCAAAGATCTTCTTGATTTCTGACTTAATTTCATTATTTACTCAAACGTCATTCAAGAGCATGTTGTTTAATTTCCACGTAATTGCATGTTTTTGAGCAATGTTCTTAGTCTTGTCTTCTACTTGTATTGACATTGTGGTCTAAAAGTGTGTTTGGTATGATTTTGGATCTTTTGCTGTTGCTGAGGATTGTTTTATGTCCAATTATGTGGACAATTTTAGGATATGTGCCATGTGGCATCAAGAAGAATATATATTCTGTTGTTTTGGGGTGGAGAGTTCTGTAGAGGTCTATCAGATCCATTTGGTCCAATGTTGAGTTCAAGTCCTGAATATCTTTGTTAATTTTCTGCCTTGCTGATTTGTCTAATACTGTCAGTGGAATGTTGAAGTCTCCCAAATAGATTTTAGGTTGCTGGTGTTTTTGTTTTTTAGATTTTTTTTTCTCTTTGCACGTTAAATATGTTGTTTCATAGTCTTCTGTGCTCTTTTGCTTCTGATGTTAAGTTCACTGACATTCTATCCTTCCCATCCCCTACTACAGTATCTAATGTATTATGTTTTGTTTTCCCCTTCAACTCTTTTGAAAAGTTTTCATTATTTTGGTTTTCAGCTATTTGATTATGGACATTCCTTGGTTTGCTGCTCTGTATGTATTCTACCTGGGATTCAATGAGCATTTTAGATACTAGGATTAATATTTTTCATCAAGTTTTAAAAAATTGTGACCAATGTTAGTTAGCATGTATTCTACTCTATTTCTCTCTTTTCTCTCATATGTTAGGAGCCTTGGCACTGTCCCACAGGTTACTCAGACTCTATTTAATTTTTAAGGTATTTTTTCTGCATTTTAATTTGAATATGTTCAAATGATTTTTCCTCAATTTCACTGAGAACTTATGCTATTAACCTCAAAGAGTGAATGCTTCATCTCAAATATTTTATTCTTCATTTCTATAATTTTCATTTGGTTCTTGGTACAGTTTCAAGTTTACTATTAAGATCCCCATTTTTTTCCTACAAAGTTGATATTTCCTTTAAGATCCTCAACATATTTTAATGGCTACTTTAAGTTAATATTTTATTTCTACATTTTTGATATATTTCTACTGACAAATTTGTTTTTCTGGTTGTGAATTAATTTTTCCTGCATCTTCATATTTAGTAATATTTTAATTTTATGCTAAGCATTATAGATGTTATCTTACAGACTGTCTAGATTTTGTTTTGTTTCTTCAGGCAGGGAGTCGCAGATTTTCATGTGAGCTCATTCCCTTTGAATATTGCTTGTAACCTTTTACAAGATGAGCTGAGTAGTCCCTACTTTTAAGCTGCATTAGCACTATCCATAGATGTGTTATTACTGGAGTACCTTTCTTATGATTAGGTGCTTAATCTCTCTGGCTGGTTGGAGTTGAGCAACTCCCAGTCCTTTAGGAGCTCCAGGTATTTCTTGTATCATAACTCCTTAGAATTATTTTTTTCACTAACAGTTGTTCTTTGGCTAGCCAAATAGCCTTCCATCCTACAAATGAACAATTTAATATTTTACCAAATGTTCAAAAAGAGCCTCATGCAAATTTCTGGAGGTTTTCTCCACTTAGCTCCCTTCCCTCTGAACCTGCCCCCAGATTCCAACCTACAGTAGTTCATTCGTTCTGAACTCTCATCTCTCCCTCCTCAGTTCTATAGGACCAGCATGCTGTGCCCCACCCCCAACCTGCTGCTGTGATGTACAAAGAGCCAATGTTAGATATACTGAGTAGCTTACCTCACTTGTTTCCCTTCCCTCATGAATCACAATTTTGCTGACTATCCAATAAGGTAAGCATTTATGTCATGTAGTTTGTACAGTTTTACAGCTGTTTACTGCAAAAGAACTTATTCTGTGTTGGTTACTCCATCATGGCTGTGAACACTACCATTATATTTTAATTTCTGTGTCCTCCTCATTTGGTTTGAGTTCTGTGGTTGCTGTCGTTGAATATTTCTATAACTTTTCACAATTCACTATATACATGGACAATAATCTGATCAAGGATGTCATTTTTTTCTGGTTTAGATTGTCCCAGCTACCTCATAGCCAGTGTCCCTTTCTTTACTCTGCCTTTCTTCCACTTATGCTGTTTCCTGTCCAGAAGATTCAGTGCTTTGTGTAAAACACAGAAATATCTGTACTTGGAATTCCAACAAAACAAATTACTGTGCCACTTGAAAATTTTTGTGATCTGTTTCCTTTTTACTTTTGGAGTATCATATGTAATTTCTCCACCAGGCACTACTGCATCCTACACCCTCACATCCAATCTCTACAACTTCAAACACCGGAAATCTTCTTACGTTGCCTAAACGGCCCATGGTTTGCCTTTCCTTCAGGCTATTGATCCTACTATGTTTTTTAAATGTTTTTTTCCCGAAACTTTCATCCCCCATCACTATACCTGCTTAAACTATATTCAACTTCCAGGTTCAGCATAGAATAGATTGCATTCCTCAAAAATGTCTTTTTCAAATGTTCCAAATTTGGTTCAAGATCACTGCAATTAGCTTCATAGCACAGTATCTCCCATAAGCTAAATACCCTGTAGCATACAAACCAAAATACTTGCCTGTATCTCCCATTAGAAGTGAATAGAGGCAGGGGGCTTTTTACATTGTTCAGCATTGTATCTGGCACTCAGGTTAGTGTTAGTTTTGTGTGTTGGATGCTAATCTAAATGATTGAGAAAATGTAAATAAGGTCCACTCACAATTTTTGAAGTAACTTACAATAAAATTGGCAAATCAAGACTCAAAAACAGCAAATGAAACAAAAGCAACAAATTACCACAAATTTGGAGGCTTAAAATAACAACACTTATTCTTTCACAGTTTTGATGATAAAATTCTGAAATGAACATGTGGGCAGGTCTGTGCTCCCTCAGGAGGTTGGGGGAAAACACCTTCCTTGCCTCTTCCTGCTTCTGGTGACCATCAGCATTCTTGGCTTGTGGTCGCATCTCTCTATCTCTACTCTATCTTCACGTCTTCATATTGCCTTCTCTTGGGTGGAAAGGGATTCTAATTCTGTCTTCCTCTTAGAATAATATACGTAATTGCATTTAGGGTCAACCTAACATAGGATAATAATCCAGGTAATTATCCAGAATAATCTCTTCCTCTCAAACTCCTTTATTTAATCACACCATCTGCCATATGAGGTAAGATGTGCAGATTCTGATGATTGAGATGTGGATGTGTGCTTGAAGCCACCCTTCTACCCTCTAGAGCAGGTCACAGTGAGGTAGTTCCCATGAGAGAAGTACAAATCAAGAAATCCATAGTTCAGAAAAATCAAGTCCTGACATTAAAAAACAAAACAAAACAAAAACTTTGAAAATGAGTAGGAGTTTTACAAATGATGCTATGGGAAAAATAGTCCAGTTTCAAAAGTTTATAAAATTACAAAGATGGTGCAGAACAGAATCAGGATTAGCCCAAATTCTAGAGCATGAAATATACAAAAGAGATAACCGGGAGTTTTGAGACCAAAAAAGAAGTGTAGTTTAAATAATACAAATTCTTGGAAATAATTATTTATAGTTTGACTGTGATGTCTACTAAGATATTTAAAATAAGACATTTTTGACCAAAAGAATGACACAAATAAAGTATGATAGAGATTTCTCTGAGAGATGTGTGTGCAACAATTGAGATGTGGAGATCAACCTGTCCATTAATTAACCTGATATTGTGGGTTATTGTTATTTGTTAAATATCATAGCAGGAAAACTTGTTACAGGTATTAAAAATATAAAAATTATGGCAATGTAATCGAAGGCAAAATAAAATGAGCTAACAAGTTACCTGCAAGAAATAGGAATTTAAAAATATCTTTTAGTTACTATAATTGTGAATGCCATAAAATGTATAAATAATTTGAAAATCATTTAAGCATTTAGAAATATGTGCTAGGATTTTGGTTTTACATGAGCTATAAAGTTAAAGAAAAGCATATGTTTCTGTCACTATAAGATTAGATTTGATTGAGTGTATTGCTAGCATTGTTTTCTTAGAGAAAAGAAGAAATTAAATTGCTCATGGCTTTGCTCTATGTAAATTTCTATTTCTACCTATGGCAATGACATCTTGTTGCACAGAATTGTGTATCTGGTAGATACACAGTTATACTTCTAAAACTGTACATATATTCACAAGAATATTTATTTCTACATTTTCAAGGTACATTTTTAGATTTCTATTATATTTTAGGATCATTTAGTCATAACTTTTGTAATTCCATTTATCAGGGTGTTTCACTTGTGTTTTTTACATTTCCTGTTCTATTTCCCAATATGTTAATTCAAAATGGTGTCAAGAACTATGATTTCCCAAGAAACTATGTGAACTTTTAGAACCTAAGAAACAAGGAGCTAAAGGAATTTATTTTCTAAATCAACACAAGACAGCTACTGTTGATGTGTAAAATTACATTTACTTAACATTATATTTTTGCTTTTTTTTAGAGTGAACATGTGGTTCCCCATTTAAAGTGAAAGCTTTCTTTTGATGAGAAAAACCACGTGCACCTTTTAAGAGTATGATCGAGCTGGGTGGAGCCAAGATGGCCGAATAGGAACAGCTCCAGTCTACAGCTCCCAGCATGAGCGTCACAGAAGATGGGTGATTTCTGCATTTCCAACTGAGGTACTGGGTTCATCTCACTGGGGAGCATCAGACAGTCGGTGCAGGACAGTGGGTGCAGCGCACTGAGCATGAGCCGAAGCAGGGCAAGGCATCACCTCACTCAGGAAGCTCAAGGGGTCAGGGAATTCCCTTTCCTAGTCAAAGAAAGGGGTGACAGACGGCACCTGAGAAATCAGGTCACTCCTACCCTAATACTGCGCTTTTCCAATGGTCTTAGCAAACAGCACACCAAGAGATTATATCGCCCACCTGGCTAGGAGGGTCCTACGCCCACAGAGCCTCACTCATTGCTAGCACAGCAGTCTGAGATCAAACTGCAAGGTGGCAGCGAGGCTGGGGGAGGGGTGCCCACCATTGCTGAGGCTTGAGTAGAAAACCGTGGCATGAGAACTACATGACAAATGCACAAGCCTCAGTAGCTGATTTGATCAACTGGAAGAAAGGGTATATGCTCCAGTTAAAAGACACAGACTGGCAAATTGGATAAAGAGTCAAGACCCATCAGTGTGCTGTATTCAGGAAACTCATCTCCTGTGCAGAGACACACATAGGCTCAAAATAAAGGAATGGAGAAAGATCTACCAAGCAACTGGAAAACAAAAAAAGGCAGGGGTTGCAATCCTAGTCTCTGATAAAACTCACTTCAAACCAACAAAGATCAAAAGAGACAAAGAAGGCCATTACATAATAGTAAAGGGATCAATTCAATAAGAAGAGCTAATGATCCTAAATATATATGCACCCAACAGGAGCACCCAGATTCATAAAGCAAGTCCTTAGAGACCTACAAAGAGACTTAGACTCCCACACAATAATAATGAGAGACATTAACGCCCCACTGTCAACATTAGACAGAACAATGAGACAGAAAGTTAAAAAGGATATCCAGGAATTGAGCTCAGCTCTGCACCAAGCGGACCTAATACACATCTACAGAACTCTCCACCCCAAATCAACAGAATATACATTCTTTTCAGCACCACACCACACCTATTCCAAAATTGACCACATAGTTGGAAGTAAAGCACTCCTCAGCAAATGTAAAAGAACAGAAATTAAAAGAAACTGTCTCTCAGACCACAGCACAATCAAACTAGAACTCAGGATTAAGAAACTCACTCAAAACCACTCAAATACATGGAAACTGAACAACCTGCCCCTGAATGGCTACTGGGTACATAACGAAATGAAGGCAGAAATAAAAATGTTCTTTGAAACCAACGAGAACAAAGACACAACATACCAGAATCTCTGGTACACATTCAAAGCAGTGTGTAGAGGGAAATTTATAGCACTAAATGCCCACGAGAGAAAGCAGGAAATTTCTAAAATTGACACCCTAACATCACAATTAAAAGAACTAGAGAAGCAAGAGCAAACACATTCAAAAGCTAGCAGAAGGCAAGAAATAACTAAGATCAGAGCAGAACTGAAGAAAATAGAGACACAAAAAAACCCTTCAAAAAATCAATGAATCCAGGAGCTGGTTTTTTGAAAAGATCAACAAAATTGATAGACCACTAGCAAGACTAATAAAGAAGAAAAGAGAAAAGAATGAAATAGACCCAATAAAAAATGATAAAGGAGATATCACCACTGATCCCACAGAAATACAAACTACCATCAGAGAATACTATAAACACCTCTATGCAAATAAAGTAGAAAATCTAGAAGAAATGGATAAATTCCTCAACACATACACCCTCCCAAGAATAAACCAGGAAGAAGTTGAATCTCTGAATAGACCAATAACAGGCTCTGAAATTGAGGCAATAATTAATAGCTTACCAAACAAAAAAAGTCCAGGACCAGATGGATTCACAGCCGAATTCTACCAGAGGTACAAGAAGGAGCTGGTACCATTCCTTCTGAAACTATTCCAATTAATAGAAAAAGAGGGAATCCTCCCTAACTCATTTTATGAGGCCAGCATCATCCTGATACCAAAGCCTGGCAGAGATGCAACAAAAAAAGAGAATTTTAGACCAATATCCCTGATGAACATTGATGCAAAAATCCTCAATAAAATACTGGCAAACCAAATCCAGCAGCACATCAAAAAGCTTATCCACCATGATCAAGTGGGCCTCATCCCTGGAATGCAAGGCTGGTTCAACATAGGCAAATCAATAAACGTAATCTGGCACATAAACAGAACCAACGACAAAAACCACATGATTATCTCAATAGACGCAGAAAGGCCTTTGACAAAATTCAACAACCCTTCATGCTAAAAACTCTCAATAAATTAGGTATTGATGGGACGTATCTCAAAATAATAAGAGCTATCTATGACAAATCCACAGCCAATATCATACTGAATGGGCAAAAACTGGAAGCATTTCCTCTGAAAATGGGCACAAGACAGGGATGCCCTCTCTCACCAACTCCTATTCAACATAGTGTTGGAAGTTCTAGACAGGGCAATCAGGCAGGAGAAGGAAATAAAGAGTATTCAATTAGGAAAAGCGGAAGTCAAATTGTCCCTGTTTGCAGATGACATGATTGTATACCTGTAAACCCCATCATCTCAGCCCAAAATCTCCCTAAGCTGATAGGCAATTTCAGCAAAGTCTCAGGATACAAAATCAATGTACAAAAATCACAAGCATTCTTATACACCAATAACAGACAAACAGAGAGCCAAATCATGAGTGAACTCCCATTCACAATTGCTTCAAAGAAAATAAAATACCTAGGAATCCAACTTACAAGAGACGTGAAGGACCTCTTCAAGAACTACAAACCTCTGCTCAATGAAATAAAAGAGGATACAAACAAATGGAAGAACATTCCATGCTCATAGGTAGGAAGAATCAATGTCGTGAAAATGGCCATACTGCCCAAGGTAATTTATAGATTCATTGCCATCCCCATCAAGCTACCAATGACTTTCTTCACAGAATTGGAAAAAACTACTTTAAAGGTCATATGGAACCAAAAAAGAGCCCGAATTGCCAAGTCAATCCTAAGCCAAAAGAACAAAGCTGGGGGCATCACGCTACCTGACTTCAAACTATACTACGAGGCTACAGTAACCAAAACAGCATGGTACTGGTACCAAAACAGAGATATAGATCAATGGAACAGAACAGAGCCCTCAGAAATAATGCCACATATCTACAACTATCTGATCTTTGACAAACCTGACAAAAACAAGAAATGGGGAAAGAATTCCCTATTTAATAAATGGTGCTGGGAAAACTGGCTAGCCATATGTAGAAAGCTGAAACTAGATCCTTTCCTTACACCTTATACAAAAATTTATTCAAGATGGATTAAAGACTTCAATGTTAGACCTAAAACCGTAGAAACCATAGAAGAAAACCTAGGCATTACCATTCAGGACATAGCCATGCACAAGGACTTCATGTCTAAAACACTAAAAGCAATGGCAACAAAAGCCAAAATTGACAAATGGGATCTAACTAAACTAAAGATCTTCTGCACAGCAAAGGAAACTACCATCAGAGTGAATAGGCAACCTACAGAATGGGAGAAAATTTTTGCAATCTACTCATCTGACAAAGGGCTAATATCCAGAATCTACAAGGAACTCAAACAAATTTACAAGAAAAAAACAAACAACCTCATCAACAAGTGGGCGAGGGATATGAACAGACACTTCTCAAAAGGAGACATTTATGCAGCCAACAGACACATGAAAAAATGCTCATCATCACTGGCCATCACAGAAATGCAAATCAAAACCACAATGAGATACCATCTCACACCAGTTAGAATGGCGTTGATTAAAAAGTCAGGAAACAATAGGTGCTAGAGAGGATGTGGAGAAATAGGAACACTTTTACACTGTTGGTGGGACTGTAAACTAGTTCAACCATTGTGGAAGTCAGTGTGGAGATTCCCCAGGGATCTAGAACTAGAAATACCATTTGACCCAGCCATCCCATTACTGGGTATATACCCAAAGGATTATAAAACACGCTGCTATAAAGACACATGCATACGTATGTTTATTGTGGCACTATTCACAATAGCAATGACTTGGAACCAACCCAAATGTCCAACAATGATAGACTGGATTAAGAAAATATGGCATATATACACCATGGAATACTATGCAGCCATAAAAAATGATGAGTTCATGTCCTTTGTGGGGACATGGATGAAGCTGGAAACCATCATTCTCAGCAAACTATCGCAAGGACAAAAAACCAAACACTGCATGTTCTCACTCATAGGTGGGAATTGAACAATGAGAACACATGGACACAGGAAGGGGAACATCACACACCGGGGCCTATTGTGGAGTGGGGGGAGCGGGGAGGGATAGCATTAGGAGATATACCTAATGTTAAATGACGAGTTAATGGGTGCAGCACACCAATATGGCACATGTATACATATGTAACAAACCTGCACATTGTGCACATGTACCCTAAAACTTAAAGTGTAATAAAAAGAGTATGATTGAGATAACTGACTTTTATTTTTATTTTAATTTAGAAGTCATCATATACTGTTTCCTTGAACTTCCTTCAAAAGCCAATCTTCAAGAAATTAACTGATGTTTGGTGTAATAAAAAGTTCATGGCTAACTAACATTCCCAACACTCTCTATACTATATTCTTGCAAAAAAAAATCAAATTTATCCTAAAAAGCATTTAGAGCTCATTTATACTGTATCTAAAATTAAAAGGATAGAGGAACATGATAAATGCCCCCATGAGAAAAATTGACTAAAACTGCCTTCTTCAAGTTTACATCATGAGAAAGTACATATAAAAGCACAGAAAGAATATATTCCTGTTTAAAAAAAATTTAACAGAAAAATTCACTGGGGTGGGCCTATATACCTTCTTATTTCTAATAAAGATATTTATTTTGACGCAAAATGTGAAAACTGGTTGGATATTAGACATTAGTAAAGATTAATTGCAGTTTTGTCAGTTGTGATAATGGCATTATGGTTGTGTTAGAAAATGTCCTCATTTTTTGTAGATGAATGTTGAATTATTTAAGAGCGAAACATTATAATACATATAATCTACCTTAAAAATTTGTAGCAATAACAATAAATAAATCCAAAAGGATAAAAGAAATATACTAAAATTTTAACAACTATAAGTTGCAGGTTGTGAGTCAACAGAGCTTCAATTATACCCTTGTCTCTAATTTTATATGGGTTTAATGTTTATAATAAATAAATATTCTTTTAAAATACTCCTGAGTGTTAAAGCAGGGTAAATGGGTACTTAGAATTCTCCTAAGTACACAATGAAACCTATGTAAAGAATGATGCAAATCATCAATAGGTAGAATTGACTCATCCATTTCTGCCTGATCAAAATTAGCTTAGGGATTTGATTATAATTGTTAGGTTGGTACAAAAGTATTTACAGTTTTTGCTGTTGAAAGTAATGGCAAAAATGGCAATACCAAACTATAGTTTTAAAGGAGAGACAAAATTATGTCATTTAGAGGAGCTTGGAAAGACAGAGATAAGGCAAGTAAGGGAGTGTGGTTACATATTTCATAAAACTAATCTTCAGAAAAATTAAGTTGATCAAAAACATAATCAGCAAAGCTCAGGCCCAGGGTTCAAATGCAGGTTAACTGGCTCCAATGTTCCTGCTGCATCCTCTTCCGTGTTCCTGTTTCCCTGAAAACATCATCTTTGCACAGTTTATAGTACTACATACAATAGTGCAGTTAGAAATAAATAGATATACACAGGAGAAAATGTGTAGTCAACACCCCAATAGTGTCAATGGGTCATTAGGACAAGCCATCTGATCCTGGGAGGGATGGCTTGAATTGGCACCCCTCTGTCTCAACAGCGATGTTGAGCTGGTTGCTTCTTAGCTATAAAACATCCTGGGATTGTTTGGGATTTTCAGAATAAAATGAATAGGATAGATATCAGAAAAGTAATGATGGCTGCAAATAGACATAAATCAGAATTCCTCACACAAATAGAAATGAGTTGGCAGGAATTTGGAGTGAACCCCAAAGAAGGAACAAACCTGGATAAGAGTTCCCACCCTCTCAGGGTGTCATGCAGGTCAGGTTGAAGAGAGTGTGGCTATGACCAGCTGGATGGTAGAGGGTTTCACAGAAGTGGCCCAGGCCAAAATGGCAAGCAGAAAACCAGTCATTCAGTGACCAGCAAGACTCTGGGAAGCCATCTACTGTTTTGCACTGAAAAGTGAAACTTGCTGTGAAGCCTCTACCTGGGTGAGGACAGTTGCCACTGGGTGCAATGCAAGGAGCTGTCAGTCAGGCACCACAGGAGCAGGATGGGGGAAGCACACCAAAACCCGGAAGATAGCATCTTCCTGGGACAGTGTCTCTCCAGCACCCTCTACTGACAATGTTTAGCATTGTGCCAGCTGTTAAAGGAGAATTGTTCACAGGGTCCAGCTCCAAGTGTCCCAAAGCAGGGCAAAGGATTTAGAGCTGAAAGGCAAAACATGGATAACTGACACACATACCAAAATGACCTAAATGATACTGCTTCAATAAAGCAGGCCTACATTATCATATTCAGTGTTAAACACTTTATCTTTCTTCTACCTCTGTGTTTAGTTTGATATCCTTGCTGAATTATCTATCACCTCCACTGTTTTACAAATCCTTTGAGAACAAAACACGTGTTATCTTAATTTTTTGCAAATATGCAGACTTCTAACCACATGAATTGTACACAGTGAGAATTCACTAAATGTTCGTAACTGTGAGGTATAATAAGCTAATGCTATACACACTTTTTAGAGTTTCCAGTGCCTTTTTTCTTACCATATAAACAGAGGAAATTATATACTAAAGCAAATGTGATTTTTCACGTGAATGTGTTTTGGAAGATTTATTTTTTAATGTTTCAATCTCATCAATTTTAGGCAAAAACTTAAAAAAAATTCTGTTACTCTTACTATTTTTCAAAATTATCATGAACCAAAAAATAAAGGGGTATTGTCAACGTGATAGTCTACATAAAGTCATTAGAAGCTGCGTTAAACATTTCACTAGAGGTAAAACCTTAGTCGGGTTTGTATTTTTCCATAACAGTGTCCTGCTTTGCCCAGGACACCTTGCCCCTGCCTCAGTCCTGCAGCTCTGGTCCGGGGTCTTGCTCTTGGCAGTCACTCACGCCCTCCTGCTTCCTCCTGAGAGAAAGGGTGGGGCTGGGTGAGTTGGTGTGGTACCTCTGTGTTCTGTTGTATTGAAAAGGGTTTAGTGCCCTCTGAGAAAATCCTTATAAATTTATTACCACTCCGAATTTTCTTCAAATCTTTTAGTTACTTAAGACACTCACATCTCCTTTACCTTATCAACCTATATTCTTTTTGAGGGTAAGGCCTCTGGCTGGGATATTATATAATGAAAATTTGATTTGCAAAGTTTATTATAAATGCAATTAAATAGTAATTGTTATGAAAACTTTTCCCAATCCTAAAGAAGTGTGACACATGTATTCTCTGCCATGATTAAGCATAGTGTACTTGGTGAATATTTGGAAGGTCTATCAGAGGAATAGGACAAACGCTGGTTTTGAAATGAGTAGACTGTGGTTTTCAAGGCAAACCCAGTTCCTTTGAAGCTCAAATTATTCATTTCTAAATGATAATAATGATAATTTATCTGTCCACTTCATCAAGTTTGTGTGAATATTCATATATCTAAAGAATATGAAGTTTCACTAGTGCTGCATTCCACAAATCCAGGAACTTTTAAAAAATTATAAAAGCAAGATTATTCTAGCTCCAGAGCACCAATTTTACTAATAGTGGAAAACTTAATTTAGTCTAATCTGGTACACTTTGTCTTGTTCTGTAATTCTTAACTCAAATTCAAATATCATTATCTCAATCACTGTCCAATTCAAAACCTGCTTCTCACGGATTTCTTCCCCCTTCTCAAGGGTTTCCTCTTTTACCTCTTTTAGAGATGCTTTCATATTATGGGGCTTCTGAGTTTTTTGGGGAATAAAGTGGCTGTCACAAAATGAGACTCAGAGCAGCAGCACAAGTTGCATATTTGGCTGCTGTGGTCTTTACTAGATGACCAGGCTGCAGTGACAGCTACAAACAAATGAGGGACTAGAGAGGTTCCCTGGCCATCATTTGAGTCAGTCTGATATCGTGACCACTGATGTCTGAGTGTGGCTTCAGATCATGTTGTGCCCCCCACCTTGCAGGTGTAGGGGACAAGTGGGCAGCAGCTTCCAGGCACAGCTGCTGGGCAATGCCTTGGTGCCTGCTCTTCAGATGACATTTCAAGCTTCTCACCTGCAGAGGAGATTCAAGAATCTGTACCATAATTCCAGAAATGTTTCTTATATTCACTCTTCAGGAGTGGGGATTGGAAGCTAGATAAAGACACACCCTCTAAGTCTGCTGCTCCCTATTCAACACTCTTTGAGAGGCAACAAATGAACAAACGTCCATCTTCTACCACGTACCTTGTTTCAGAACTCTTTCGTGGTTTATATCTAGCTCTCCAGCATTGTTGAGTAGAACAAGATGTCCTCTAGTTTATGTGTTTTCCTGATCATTGTTGATTGGAAAATTGATAGTAGATTCTAACACAGTAAGTGGGTCCCAGGAGGGTTTGACCGGGGAGGAGGACAACGTAACTCTTCATTGGAAGCTTCATAGTATTGCCACAGAAATATTGCATTACAACTGAAAATGAGACAAGTGAATGCAGTTTGGAAAAGGCAAGATTATATAAACCTAACAAATGAAAGTGTGCATAAATAGATTGATTAACATCAAAAATATGTTGTACCAAACACATCTTCATTAACAGGGGTCAGAGATCAAAACAATGGTTCAGAATATCTACTTAGGGTCATAGAAATCTTTATACCATCCTCTAATATATATGTCTGAGAATGGAAAAACAGCTCAAACTCTTTTTTTTCTTTGCTCTCACACCACAACAATAATAAGCATCTATGTAGAAGAGTTCTCTGAACAAATGTGTAGGGATTTCTCCCCACCCACAAGAGGGCAATAATTTCTGCAGCAGACACCAGCTAGGTATCCTCCAATTCAATTCTGACATTATCTATCTGGAGATAGTAGCAGATCCCACAGGTAGAGGGCTCAGTTTGCAAGACTTCCCTCCTTCTCCACTTCTGATGCCGATCCAAAGCCCCCACGTTATTTTACCAGTTATAAATCAGGGTTCCCACAACCCCCTTGTCAGCTTCAATTAATTTGCTAGAGTAGTTCACAGAACTCAGGCATTTACATTTACCAGTGTATTACAAGAGATATTTGGAAGACACAAATAAAGAACTAGATGAAGAGATACATAGGGTGAGATCTGGAAGGTTCTAAGTGCAGGAACATCTGTCCCTGTGCAGCTAGGGAGTGCCACCCTCCTGGCATGTGAATGAGCTCTTGTGCAGCTTCCTGTCAGCCTCCATGTGTTCAGAAGCTTCCTGGACCCTGTCCTGTTGGGTTTTTGTGGAGGCTTCATTATGTAGGCATGATTGATTAACCATTGGCCTTCAGTGATCAACTTGACCTTTAGCCTCTCTGCCCTCCCCTGAAAATTTAATCCCTCTGGACACTTGGCTGATCCTCCTGGACATCCAGTGGTTTCCAAGGCTTTCCAAAAATCACCTCATTAACATAAATTTCTTTGAAAGGGCTTGTTGTAAATAACACAAGGCTGCCTCTAACCTTTATTGTTCAAGATCTACTTCAGGAACCAAGGACAAAGGCTAAATACTTGAACAAAAGTTATTCTTACTGCTTTAGTCACTTAGGAAGTAACAAGGCTCACAGGAGCTGAGAGCCAGAAGTAATGGATGAAAATTAAAATACATCTATCATAATATCATGGTGTGTATGTGATGAATAATGGGTATATTTTCTAATCCACAGATATAGTTAAGAAGAAGACTCTGAGTGTTCAGAAGTGGAGTTGAAAATGTCAGGATCCAAAAACATAGAAAGAGAAGACATAAGGACTCCAGTGAAGCAAATTTCTTAGAATAATGCAAGTAACCCCTGAGGACAAGCTTACTTCTCCAACCAGGGAGGTTATAAAGGATAATCATGGCAGAAGAAAACATTTCTCTTTAACGAATGGTTGATTTAGCAAGTTCCTTTTTGAGTTGGACTACAGCTACTCTTGGCATTTCTGGTCAAGCAGGCCATCATAAGGCTAATCAAATTTGCCTAAGTGTCTGCCAAGCAGACTGGACTTGGTCTTATTTGTTAGCGTATATTACTAGCACTTCACTGCTAAGGATGAAAGGCCTTTCTGACACCAGTAATATTTACAAACAAATGAACTGTCAGGAAATATTGGAGATTAGGCATTAAGCTACCTTCAAAATGACCTCTGATCCTCGTTAACCTAAATATGGTAATGCCTTCCATACCATGTTACTGTATGTTTTATGAAGTGAGTAAATGTCATGCATTTTCTAATTCCATGTATGTCATTCTTTATATAAAACAATATGCATATTTTTTGTTATACCCTGTCCAATCGAGACACTAATTAACACTATTATGGGTTGCAGGAATGCGTTCAAGTCTGAATATATTAGTCATTAATTTCAACAACTATGAGGAGGTAAAAATGCCATGAAAAGAAGACCTTGAGACAAATGAGAGTGCAGCATTTCAAGGGAGCAATTAATGCCCTGGAAACTTTCATTTC
The DNA here is from genome assembly GCF_000001405.40 of Homo sapiens. Classification (NCBI taxonomy): domain Eukaryota; kingdom Metazoa; phylum Chordata; class Mammalia; order Primates; family Hominidae; genus Homo; species Homo sapiens. Next base: position 48,997,388 of record NC_000007.14, on the reverse strand, counting down.
ACAATAAAATCCTCAGCAATAAAGAAATGACAGAAATTTGGCAAAATCAACATCAGATGAGTATTGGATTTAATGAAAAAATAACATGGAATCCATCACTGTCAGTAATAGTTTTATTCCAGAGAACTTTAAACAAGAAACAGAGCCTTGAAGAATGTGCCAATATGTATGTGGATCAAGTTCTTGTCAACTGTATTCATTCATCTTTTTACTTTACAGACCAAATCAAAAGTTATACAAAAATGATCTTAACTTTAGAAATATTTAATAGCTATAAAAGCTTATTTTCAAACAACTAAAATCACAATTCAGAGATTTCTTACACTTATGACTTACATAAAGGTAAATATTCTCTTAATTTTCTCATTATTTCGTGTTTTAAGTACAAGGCTTTGACATGTAGAAAGTAACTTTTTTAAAAAAGCTTTCTATAATCCTTCCACCCTAAAAATCAAGTATTTTTATGCACATGCATTCAGTATTTTCATAGTTGCAATTATAGCTAATACACATATTTTTGTTGAAGTTAAAAACCTAGCGTGTTTTGTAAACATGTTTCATGCAGCAAATTATTTTTCTACTAACTTTATTCAATAGATTAATTATGTTTTATTCAATTAGTTTCTTTTAAATTTAGCATTTACTCTGTGTCATAAGCTATGCTAAATGTCAAACTTAGTGCAACAGATAAATCATTCTACTTTTGTTATTTTGGCTTGCTTTCTACGTTTGTATTACTAATATAATATAATATATCAGTTAAATTAACATATTTGTGCTCAAAACATTTTTTGATTATTTTTCTTAGAATAAGTAGTTGAAAATGAATGATTAACAATTATATAGTCCTTACTACATTCTGATCAATTGATATCCATTCATGCCAGGATATGCTAATGTTCTCAAGTCTAACCAGAGTTGGATATTATTATTAAGCTTATAATATCTGTTAGAAGAAGGTAACATTTTCACCCAAGGTTAGATATCTCAACAAGACAATATATTGAACTCTATAAACTGCTTCCTGATATCAGATCATAAAAGTATACATTTTTGCTATAGCCAAGGGACAGAGGCTCTTTGCTGCCCCAAGTCTTTGATCCACAGTGGGAAAAAGTATAATTGAGTATGAATATTTGTGCTCATTGTTAGAAACGTGTTCCTTTCTGTTAATAAAATCCACTATCCTAGTTCATTGAAAAGGAAAGCAGAGATTAGTAGAAGAAAAAGAATAAAAGACGATGAGAGAAACGAGAGAGAAGTTGACAGAGGAAAATACAATAGAAAAATTAAAATTACTAGAAAAAAGGAATCAAGTCATTAGATTAAGAAAATGATTGTTTTGGAGGAGGTACAGAGGAGCTATATCAGCACATTAGTGGAGAGAGAGAAAATATCTCAATGTTTTTGATCCCATGTCCCTCTAGCCATGGCCTTTATGTAGATCTTGGACCTGGGAGAAGTAGAAAGAGGCTTCAGTGACCACTTGGAGCACGACTGTCCAGGTATACTGTTGTCATCTGCCTCCAGGAGAAGGTAAAAAGGTGCTAACTCTCCTGGTCTAGGGGCACACTGGAAAAGACAGAGGAAAGGTCCACTACAGTGACGCAACTGGCATTACTAGGAATTGATGGCATTATGGTATTTGGGTTTGGGAAGTAAGAAATACCAATTTTATTGATGGCCCTGAGCTCTTGAGCAAATTAATGTTTTTGACCATTTGGTTTGGGTTCTTTACTGGTAGGATAGGAGTGTTGACAGGGCTGGTGCAGGGTATGAGAAGACCTTTGGATATAAGGCTTTCCACCACAGTAGCCCTTTGAGCAACACGAGTTTGAACTTCATGGGTCCACATAGACACACATTTTCTTCTGCCTCTGCAACAGCTGAGACAGGGGGACCTACCTCTCTTCTTTTTCCTCTTCCTCAGCCTACTCAGTATGACAAGGGCAAAGATGAAGGCCTTGATGATAATCCAATTCCATTTAATAAATAGTAAATATCTTTTATCTTCCTTGTGATTTCATAATAACATTTCCTTTTTGCTAGCTTGCTTTATTGTAAGAATATAATATATAATGCATATGACATACAAAATACATATTAATCTACTGTTTATGCTATGGATAAGGCTTCTGGACAAAAGCTGGCTATTACTAGTTAAGTTTCTGGGGAGTCAAAAGTTATATGCAGGTTTTCACTTGTGCAGGAGTTGATGCCCCCGACCCCCTCATTGTTCAAGGGTCCACTGCACAGGTGTGATTCCCTCTTGCTTCTGGCTTCAAAGGATATTGGGAATGTATAGATAATGGTGTGGTAGAATCTATCTGAACTTTTACATGTTTTTCTCTTCTCTGTTGCCTATGTCAGTAGAATTTTAGCTCACAAAGCATTAGGCACACTATTAAGGATTTTATCCGGGCTCTTTATCAAATATAATTGAGCAGGTATATTCAGAGCAGACACAACTTGATAAGAATAGGGAAATCCTCTAGGGACCTGAAGAAATTATCGCTCTGCTGTCCATTTAGTATCATGATTTCATTTGCAAAGTACGTCTCTCTATTAAATTTGCAGGAGTAATATAACAGAGCAGGAAGAAATGTTTTTCAGTCAAAAGCCCAAAGGTTATGATTAAGGGCTGGGAAATAGGGAAAATCTGTGGGTTACAGGCACAGGGAAGGACACCTATGTGGTATATTTACTCCAAGTAAGAAGTTGAGCAAACATGTCTAGGTTTGATGCAGTAAGAGTAATACCCATATCTACCAGAAATTGATAAGAATGCCTATCTATGTTTGTGGTTAAACACCTTGATTGTTTAAGGATACAGTATGATATTGGTCATGTTTTCTTTTTTGAAAGCACTCTCATTGATCTGAATTAAGAAAACTTTTTGTCTTGTCTTTCTTTTGTATGATGAGACAATTTTCTTTTCCCTTCTGTCCCTTCTGTTTACAATATCTACAAGTGTCTTTGTTAGCTGGGCATTGGTTGGTAGTGGACCAAATAGCTGTTTGATGGGCTGGGCCATGGGTTTCCTTTGAGTCTTGTTTTTGTTCTAGAGCCCCTTTAAAATGTTTTGTCAGGTGTTGTAGTTCCACTAAAGAGGCCATTTTTCATTCTGATTTTTATTTTTGAATTGATTATTTTATTTTGAATTCCGTTTCAGTTTTGACTACATTGATTAAAATGAAATGAAATGGCTGCTGTTCCATCAGTACCTTTTTTCACTCCCAAAAATTGTTGGACATGTTTCTAGTCCATCCCGTAAATCTCCTACAATTTCATCCTTTTGGTTTGCATAACTGAATTATGAGTCAATCAGTTTTTACGGGAAATGTTTCAGGTAGGGCTTTTAAGAAACTTTAATATACTTTTCTGACATTTTTTTTTAACCCTCGGGTGTATTGTGGAAAGAAAGATCTCATAAGTCCCTCTCCAGGTCAGTCCCGTCAGCTTTTTCTCTCAAGGATTTAGCATCCAAGACTCAGATCAGCACTGTGTTCAGGTTGATATAGGTCAGTTAGGTCTGGATTTTATGTACACAGAGGAATTCTAAATTCTCCTGTGAATATATGCACTGTTTTTTGGGGGGGGTGGGGGAGTGGTTAGAGAAATCTTTAAGTATAACACTTCAATTAAATTCAGATGTAAGGTTTAAATTCCACAGTTGTTTGCATATTTGGCTCATGGGAAGAAGGGATTCTTAAAAGCAACTGGAATTTTAGGGTTTTAGGAGAGGTGATAGGAAAAGGAAGAGGATCTGGACAAGAAGAGGAAAGAGAGGATGTGGAAGGGGAGAAATCACATAAGAAAGAAGAAGGAGGGCTGAAAATAGAGAGATAACTGGAGGGAAAGGAGGGGGAGGATTTACTAAGGAAAGGAGCCTAGTTTTTTCCTACTTGAGATTGTCAACTTGCTCATTAGCTTTGGACAAATAATCTTTTAGTGAAGCAATTACTGATTCACAGTTTTTTTGTTCTTGTTTTTGGAAATTTCTGCATACTAATAAAAAATGCTACCTATTGGGCTTGTGAAATCTTATTTCCTGTCTTTTCTAAGGTGCCACTCAAATAAACAATTGTCCTCAAATCACATATTTCCCAGAGTGGCCACTGAATTACCAAATCGTCCTTGGTAAAATTATGCAACATAGAAAGATAGGTGCAAGCATTAGAATTGTGAAGGGAGTACCTGTAAGAAGCAGGGATATTTCCTGTAGAGGAGGAGACTTGAATGACCCAGTGAGTGCTGGTCACAGTTGGTAGGCAGCAATGCTTGTGGACCTCGTGTCTTGGTCCCCCAACCTAATGAGTGTCTGCCTCCAAAGCCAGACCTGACAATCTTCTCACCCCGGCAAGTGGAAAACCAGAGAAAATGCTCTTTCTGGATCAATGCCAAACCCACAGGATACAAAATCAAGCGTGAAGGAGAATATCATTTAGTTTTATTGGTGACCTGCAGCAGAGTTTGTCCAAGTAGACAATAGTTTCTCAGGTGAGGACTGTAAACCCACAGGTCTGTGAGGGCAGCTCAAACAAGAAGCTTATAGAGTCTACGGCTATTTTCCTTCCTATATGTCTTTTCTTATGAGAAACAGCACTTCCAGATAGCATGACATAGAACAGGAAAACAAAAGGCTGCAAAAAAGAATGAAGAGAAATGGGCTCATTCCACCAAGAATGCCAAACAAACGGGAACCAATAACAAAACCTGTTTCTAAACTAAGAATAAATAGCTGAGGAACTCAATGCAAAGGAAGTGGATTATTTCAGACCTAGTGCTGCTTTACCATGTCTTCACAGACTTGACAAGCCACCAACAGCAGGGCACAAAAGGCCTCTGTGGTACTGCACCAAGCAAAAAGCTGGTGTCTACCACAATGGGCAATGCAGATTGGGTGTCGGGGGATCCCCAAGATTAACTGTGGAAGTAAATGAAGACCACTCAAATGAGGATAAGCAAAGGCTACTCATTCAGATCTGGCTGTAGCTTTTTTCTAACCAAGGGCAGCCGTCAACTGACCAAAATGGAGGTGTTAACAGCCCACTCCCTTCCGTCTGGCTAAGACAAATGGTGACACCACTTATACTCCAGAGCTGTCCATAGGATGAGGCTAGGGCTTGACCTTTCGAAACACATTTCTTCCCCTGCCACATCAAGCTTCTCTCACTTTTCCTGAGAGCAGTCAGTCAATAAATCATTACAAGAGATTTCACATCTAAGAGCTCCACCTAAGACAGGAGGGCTCCACACTGTGTGTCTACTACTTTTTACCTCTTCACCCAGACTACGTTGAACAACCTACCACCACAAATTCTCTCTAAGGAATGTATTTGTTACCCTGTTTGAAATTTTCTTTTGTTTATAACTCCCAGGAGTGGAAGTGCTAGGTCATGGTGCTACAACTAATGTAACTAAGTACTTTCAGCTTGTCCTGAGTGGTGCCATCTCTCTACATTCCCACCTTAGGAAGTTTAAGTTCCCTTCAATTATTACTGAAAATACTTTTTAAATATTGACTCCCTATCTGCCATCAAGATTAATAATAATAATAATAAATCTCATGCCCTGGCCCTGTTTATCCAATTGTCAAGTTTCTTGTTCTTATTTAAATCAAACTGTGTGTATGTGGTTTGTGGATTTCAGTAATTAAGAGAATGTTTTTGTTCAATTACACCAACGTGTCCCACTCCTGTGTAAATTCCTCTAAGCCTTATTTTTCTTTCAACATCTTGATCTTTAACTCCCAAATGATCAAGGAAATATACCACTGATGCTCATATTTTCATTCATTCAAATGACATTTTTCTTGAATGCTCAAATTCAGTCAACATTTACTGTTTTCACACTGTACCAGGCTCCAGCAGGGAATATGAAATATAATAGATATATTTTACCTAATTGGAATATCGCTTGAGTTAGTATTTAAGCTGCTACTTGGAAGTATATCTAATGGTGGGTTCAGCTTAACAAGCGATGTGGTTAATTGTAGGAGTCAGGGTTGTGGACAGTTAACCAATCAATGGAGGAGGCTGCAGAATGGTGATTATGGTCTTATAGCCCATGACAAATGGAACAGTGCCAGCACATGGCTCATTTACTCACATTTCTGCTGCTCCTTCTGTGGCCAGAACTGGATTAAAGTTTGAGGGAGGAAAATGAACATTCTGCAATGACAAATATTCTGGGATTCTTTAGGTTCTATTCCTTCATCCTATCTAGTCCATTTTAGTATAAGTCATTAATGAATTCTAGCTCTTTGGTGAAGGAATCATAGGGGCCAATGATTCATAACTGAATCAATAAAAACAGCCCAGTCTCTAACTAAACATTTAATGATTACTCAGTGTTTTTTAGGCAACTGCACTTTTTTCCCTGTGAGCACGTTTCACACTTCCAGGACAAGATTAGATAGAGTTCTTTCCCTTATCAGTCCAGTTTCTGCCTGGGTCTTAGCCTTTTATCTCTGTTCTCTTAATTGAGCTTTGGTTATGTTCATTGCTGTTATTACTGTTGTTGTTATCATTTCCCAGCAGTCTGGTGGGTTGAGTTGACAGTCTTTAGTGCTGCCTCCAGATTTCAGCTTAGTACTTTTCAAATTTGGATTTTTGTTCTAGATATCTTTGGAATGCCATCAAAGCAGAGATTTTCTGATCTTGTCCTGATAGATTCTGAATTAGTGGGTCATAGTTGGGTTTGAGAATCTGTATATTTTAAAAGTGATTTCCACCCTAGTTATAACCCTACCCACAAGTGTGCAGGCTCATACTTGCCCTATGTCTTGAACCTAATGTGTTAGGATTATATAATTAATGAAATTTCCTCTAGCCCTACAATGGCCCCAGCCAATCCCTAACCCTCAAACATAAAGTCACTGTCTTCCACAAATTACTCTATTCTCCAAGAGAACAATGATCTGGAGCCACCGAGGTGAGCATTGTTCATGAATGGAAGCCCAGAGAGAACATTTACTCCTTGTTTCTAATGGATCCATTCCTTCTGAGAAAAGTTCAGGATGGCCAAAGCCTAAAATTAAGTTCTGTAGTACACCAGTCATTCACACTCCTTCGAGAATAGTGAGTGCCTCTTTCCTTAGCTTTAGCCCTTGTGATAGATAATTTTACTTGTCAAATTTACCAGGCTAAGGTGTGCCAGAAGAGCTAGCAAAAACTTATTTCTTATTTCTGGGTTTGTGTGGGTGTTTCCAGAAGAGATTAACATTTGAATCAACAGGCTGACTAAAGATCAGCCTTTGTCAATGGGCATCAACCAGTCGAGGGCCTGAATAGAACAAAAAGGTGGAGAAAGAGTGAATTCAGTCTCTCTGTTCTTGAGCTGTTACATCCAACTTCTCCTGCCCTCACATATGGAAGTTCCTCCTTCTCCGGGCTTCAGATTCCAGGACTTAAACCAAACAGCCCAACCCCCATCCCAACCCCTGCCAGTTCTTAGACCTTCTGATTTAGACTGGGAATTACGGCATTGACTCCCCTGGCTCTAGGCTTTTGGATTTGAACTGAATTATATCATCAGCTTTCCAGGTTCTCCAGATTAAAGATGGTAGACAGTGGTCCATCTAGGCCTCCACAATCATGTAAGTCAATTTCCATAATACATCTCTCACTCTTCTTTCTCTCTCTCTGTGTATGCCCATCACATGTACTATTGGTTCTGTTTTTCTGGGGAACCCTAACAAATGCAGCTCTGCAGCTGTGCAGTACTTATGTTTCACTATTTTCCTTCCTGCAAATTCTACTTTTATTCCTATAACCCACTTCACCCCAAAATGTGAGCTTCAAGAACCTAGTTCCAAGGCATTTGACAGCAACTTGGATATATTACCTACTTTATTCATTAACTTACAACTAATTTTCCCTAGAAACCAATCTGTGACTATCAAACCCCTAACTATCTTCTCAGACCCTATAGTTACTCATATGGGAACACAAATATGTAACTATTCTAATTTTCTACTGTCAAAGTGTCACTCAACTTGACCCTTCTGCCTTTCTCCTCTCTGGCTCTTGGTTGACATTCAGTAAGGTTGGGTGTGCATGCTTGATCCTATTCTTTAAAATGTTTGCAACATTTGACCCTGGTTTCCAACATCAGAGCATAATCCAAAATTAAGACAAAGAATTATCAATAATTTGTGCAATAATTTTGCAAATAATATTGTAATATTGCTATTACAATAATGTTTATAGCACAAATAGAAACAGCTCAATAGTTCAAGAGAAGGGTAATAGTGTAGAAAATGGTGATGTATTTTTTAATTGGGATGTTATGACAACATTAAACAAAATGCTTATTAACAGTTTTGTGATGAGTAAATGCTAATGGTATATTGTTTTAAAAAATCAAGATACAAAATTAGATATATAATATAGTCTCAAATATTTACAAGTCAATAAACAACATTATGGTGATTTTTAAACTTTTAATTTTGAACTAACTTTAATCTTAAAGGAAATCTGCAAAATAGTGTAGAGTTCTCTTAAATCTTTCATCAGACTGTGATGTTAGCATCTTACATAAGCACAGTACAATTATCAAGAACAAGTAGTTAGTATTCTGTGAATGCTGTGATTATCAGTGTTTTTCTTGCTCTTCTGCACTTTGAAAACTTATATAATGAGAATGTATTGATTTAATAATCAGAAAAATATATAAATCTGATGACGAGTGTATTAGTTCGTTTTTACACTGTTATAAAGAAATACCCAAGACTGAATAATTTCACACTGCTATAAATAAATACCCTAAACCGGTAATTTATAACAAAAATAGGTTTAATTGACTCACAGTTTCACATGGCTGGGGAGGCCTCAGGAAACTTACAATCACGGCAGAAGGGGAAGCAGGTACATCTTACATGGTGGCAGGAGAGAAAGTGTGAGAGCATAGGAAAAACTACCATTGATAAAACCATCAGATCTTGTGAGAATTCCCTCACTATCATGAACACAGCATGGGGAAAACCACCCCCATGATCCAATCAGTTCCTACCAGGTCTCTCCCTCAACACCTGGGGATTACAATTCAATATGAGATTTCGGTGAAGACACAAAGCCTAATCGTATCATTCTGACCCTGGCCATTCCCAAATCTCATCTCCTTTCACATTTCAAAACCAATCATACCTTCCCAACAGTCCTCCAAAGTCTTAAATCATTTCAGCATTAACTCCAAAGTCCATAGTCCAAACTCTCATTTGAGACAAGGCAAGTCCTTTCTGCCCATGAGCCTATAAAATCAAAAGCAAATGAGTTACTTCTTCGATATGTTCCCATTCCAAATGGGAGAAATTGGCCAAAACAAAAGGGTTACAGGCTTCTTGCAAGTTCAAAACACAGAGGGGCAGTCATTAAACCTTAAAGCTCCAAAACAATCTCCTTTGACTCCACGTCTCACATCCAGGTAACGCTCGGGCAGCTCTGCCACTGTGGCTTTGCAGGATTCAACTCTCCATACTGCTGCTTTCACAGCTGGTTGAGTGTCTGTGGCTTTTCCAGGCACATGGTGCAAGTTGTCAGTGGATCTTCCATTCTGGGGTCTGGAGGATGGTGGACCTCTTTTCACAGCTCCACTAGGCAGTGCCGCAGTGTACGTGAGAATTTAGATGAAAAGATGGAAAGAATCAGTAAGCACATGTGGACTATCAATAGAGAAATAGAAAGTATTACAAAAATAAAGTGGGAATTCTAAAACTAGACCATAATACATTTAAAACATAATTTTCTGATAATTGCAGATTACACATTACAGAATAAAAAATCAAAAAACATAAAAACAGATCAATAGAATTTACCCAAGTATAGAACATAGGGAGAAAAATATATTGAAAAAAGTAAACATAGCATCAGTAAACATCTAGACAACATCAAGTAGTATATGTAATTTGAGTGCTAAGGTATAAAAGGGAGAAGGTAGAGAAGAAAATAATGAAAAAACAATGGATGAAAATTTCCCAAAAGCATCAGTTTACAAATCTAAGATACTTAACAAACTCCAAACATGGGAAATAAAACAGAAACCACACTCAATCACTGACTGCTGAAAAGAAAGTATAAAATTAAATTTTAAAAGGCACCCAAAATGGAGAAAAGTAAGTTAAATGTGGAGAAACACAACATACTAGGCATTGAAGAAACATACTTTAAAATAATAAGAGGCATCTGTGACAAACCCCACAGCCAAGATCATACTGAATGGGCAAAAGCTGGAAGCATTATTCTTGAGAACCGGGACAAGACAAAGATGCTCACTCTCACCACCCCATTCAACATAGTACTGGAAGTCCTAGCCAGAACAATCAGGCAAGAGAAAGAAATAAAGTGCATCCAAATAGGAAGAGAGGAAGTTAAACTATCACTGTTTGGAGACAATATGATTGTATTCTTAGAAAAATCCATAGTTCCTGTCCAAAAGCTCCTAGATCTGACAAGCAACTTCAACAAAGTTTCAGTATACAAAATCAATATACAAAAATCAGTAGAATTTCTATACACCAACAACATCCAAGATGAGACGTAAATCAAGAACACAATCCCATTCATAATAGCCACAAAAGAATAAAGTACCTGGGAATACAGCTAATTAGGGAGGTAAAATATTTCTATTATGAAAATTACAAAATACTGCTCAAATAAATCAAAGATGACACAAACAAATGAAAGAACATTCCATGCTCATAGATAGGAAAAATCAACATAATTAAAATGGCCATACTGCCTTAAGCAATTTACAGATTCAATACTATTTCTATCAAACTACCAAGGACATTCTTCAAAAAACAAGAAAAAAAAATTTCTCTAAAGTGCATATGGAATAAAAAAATAGCTTGGATAGCCAAAGCAATCCAAACAAAAATGAACAAAGCTGAAGGCATCTCATTACCCAACTTCAAATTATGCTAAAAGGCTACAGTAACCAGAACAGCATGGTACTGGTACAAAAACAAACACGTATATCGATGGAACAAAATAGAGAGCCCAGAAATAAGGCCACACACCTACAATTAGCTGTTCTTCAATAAAGCTGATAAAAACAAGCAAGAAGGAAAGGATTCCGTATTCAATAAACAATACTGGGATAACTGGCTGGCAAGATGCAGAAGATTGAACCTAGACCCCTACTTTTCACCATATACCAAAAAATTAACTCAAGATCAATTACATAATTAAAGATAAACCTTAAACTATAAAAACCATGGAAGATAACCTAGGAAATACCATTCTGGACATAGGAATGACCAAAGATTTCATAACACAGACACCAAAAGCAGTGGCAGCAAAACCCTAAACTGACAAATTGGATCTAATTAAACTAAAGAGGTTCTGCACAGCAAAAAACACCATCAGCAGAGTAAAGAGATAACAACAGTATTTGCAAAATATGCACCTGAAAAAGATCTAATATCCAGAAGTTATAAGGAATTTAAATTAACAAGCAAAAAACAAACAATCCCATTAAAAACTGGTCAAAGGATATGAACAGAGACCTTTCAAAATACATACACACAGCCAACAAGCATATGAAAAAATGCTCAACATTCACTAATAATTAGAGAAATGCCAATGAAAACCACAATGAAATATTGTCTCACACCTGCCAGAATGGCTACCATTAAAAACTAAGAAAATCACAGCTGGAGAGGTTAAAGAGAAATGGGAAAACTTATACACTGCTGGCGAGAATGTAAATTAGTTCAACCACTGTGGAAAACAGTTTGAAGATTTCTCAAAGAACTTAAAACAGAATTACCATTTAACCCAGCAATTACATTGTTGGATATATACCCAAATGAATATAAATAATTCTTCCATAAAGACACATATGCACACATGTGTTCATTGCAGCGCTATTTACAATAGCAAAGACATGGAATCAACCTAGATGCCCACCAACAGTAGACAGGGTAAAGAAGATGTGGTACATATACACCATGGAATACTATGCAGCCATAAAAAATGAAGGCAATCATGTCTTTGGAGCAACATTTGCAGTAAACCATTACTAACAAAGGAACAGAAAACCAAATACCACATGTTCTCACTTATAAGTGAGAGCTAAACATTGAGTACAAATTGACACAAAGAAGAAAACAATATATACTGAGCCCGACTTGAGGGTGGAGGGGGAGAGGAGGGTGAGGATAGAAAACCTACCTTTTGGGTACCATGTTTATTCCCTGGGTAACAAAATAATCTCTATACCCAGCCTCCACAATATGTAATTTATCTATATAACAAACTTGCACATGTACCCCTGAAACTAAAATAAAAGTTTTTTAAAAAAATGTGGAGAAACAATGAAAATGACAGATCACCTCTTATAAGAAACAATGATAGGCAGAAGGCAGAAATGAATAATATAGTTAAATTTTTAAGGGAAAAAAATCAATCTATAAGTGTATAGCCAATTAGCCCATCTTAAAAATTAAGAAATATGTATGAGGACATTTTCAGACCAATGAAAGAGGAAGGAATTTCTTGCCAGCATAATTGCACTAGATAATATGTTAAAGGAAGTGCAGGATACAGGGAAATGTATAACACTAGAATCAACAAGAATTAGAGTACTGAAAATGATTTTTTAAAAAAACTGGTGAATAAAAAATATGAGTCCCAGCCTGGTAATTCACACCTGTAATCCCAGCACTTTTGAAGGCCGAGGTGGGAGAATCACTTGAGGCCAGGAATTCGAGAGCCTGGGCAACAGAGTGCGAACTCATCTTTCTTTCAAAAATTAAAAATTAGCCAGATGTGATGTGTACATGTAGTCTCAGCTACTCGGGAGGCTGAGGCAGGAGGATTTTTGGGGCCCAAGAGTTTGAGGTTACAGTGAACTATGATTATGCCATTGTACCCCAGCCTGGGTGACAGAGCGAGATTTGGTATTGATTTTTTTAAATTGTAAAGGTAATGTTATGGGGCTTATAATACATATAAGAAAAATAAAACAAAATATGGAAGTTAAATATAACTACATGTGTCAAGTTTTTCTTTGTAAAAAAACATTTTATGTGAAGTGATACAATGTTACTTGTTAGAAGACTGTAAGTTAGGAAGACATATTTTAATCCTTAAAACAACCCAGAAAATTAATTTAAATGTAACAACAATGCTAAAAATATGATAAAGAAGTTAAAAATAAATATTGGAGTATGTTTGATTAAAACAAAAATTAAATAGGAGAAACAGAAAACAAATACCAAAAGACTAAATCAAGATGTATCAATAATTACACTAAAAGTGTGAATGTAATAAACATTTCAATGAAAAAGTAGAGAATTTTAGCAATTACAAAAAGTAAGATGCCACTATTTTCTCTCTGTAAAATATATGCACTATAAAAACAAAGGTACAAAGATGTTACAGGAAGGCAGGGTAAACAGAATAGAATTATCCCAGTAGCAGATAATAATTATAGATAGATAAATGCTTCTCTGGCTCTGCTTAACAATTCTTAAAATAAAAGACACAAACGAAATATATATATATATAGATAGATAGATAGATAGATAGATAGATAGATAGATAGATAGATAGATGTAACTTCTCTGTATCTCAGGAGAAATCACAATAATGTTTATATAAAAGCAATCATCTACCAAGGAAAAAATTTACTATGACTGGCATTGGTATGAAAGAATACCAGATATTTACAGAGGCAGAAAAATAGGAATCATAATGAAGAGAAAAAACAGTTAATGAACAGTGGCTCAGAACCACAGGTGCTAGAATTAGTAAACAAAGACATTAAAACAATTACTATATGTATTTCTTATATGTTTCAATGTTAAGAAGGAACATGGACAATATGAAAAAGACCCAAATCAAAGTTCTGGAGATGAATATTACAATGACTGAGATAAAAAATACTGTGAAGAAAATAATATAAAATTTGACATTGAAGAAGAAAAGATTTGTGAACAAGAACACAGAAATTAAAGCTACTCACATTAAAACAGTTTTTTTTTAAAAAAGGGCATAAGAGTTTAGAGGACACTTCAAGCAGTATAAAATACATGCAGTTAGATTCTCAAAAGCAGAGGAGAGAAGGAAAGAAACAAAAAATAGTTTAAGAAACAATAACTGAAAAATTTACAAATTTAATGGTGTAACTCCTTAGTTCCAAAAATGTCAGCAAAACTCAAGTACAATAACTATAAAGCTACATCAGAACATAATTGCCATCTTATTGCTCAAGATCAGTGAAAAAAGAAATTAAATGACACATTACATACAGAAGAGCAAAGATAAGGAGAAAACAGATTAAATTTCTCAGAAAAAATGCAAATGAGGAGACAATGCAGCAACATTTGTTTGTTTGTTTGTTTGAGTCAGAGTCTTGCTCTGTTGCCCAGGCTGGAGTGCAGTGGCGTGATCTGGGCTCACTGCAACCTCCACCTCCTGGGTTCAAGCAATTCTCTTGCTTCAGCCTCCTGAGTAGCTGGGATTACAGGTGCACGCCACCACACCTGGCTAATTTTTTGTATTTTTAGTAGAGAGGGGGTTTCACCATATGGGTCAGGCTGGTCTCAAACTCCTGACCTTGTGATTCATCTGCCTCGGCCTCCCAAAGTGCTGGGATTACAGGAGTGAGCCACTGTGTCCAGCCAACATTGTTGAAGTCTGTAAAAAGGGAAAAACCAAAACCAGTTTACCTAGAAATCTATACCCAGAAAAAATGTTCAAAAACAAAGGGAAATTAAGTTGTTATATATGCAAAAGCTGAGAGAATTGATCAAATTTATATATACAAAAGCTGAGGGAATTCATCAAATGTTGTCTTTCAGATAGATACAAATGACATTGTGGAAATGTGTACTTATAAAAATAAGTAAAGACATCAGAAATGGTGACTACAGGGGGAATTACATAAAATTACTCTCTTCTTATGTAAATATTCAAAGATAGTTGACTACTTAAACAAAAATTAATAATATATTATTGGTTTCATAATAAATATATAAGTAAAATATGTGGTGAAAATAGCATAAAATCCAGTAGAAAAGAAATTTAGGGTTCTCGTTCTATAAATAAAGTAATATAAGATCATTTGAAGGAAGATAGTGATAACTCGAAGATGTGCAATCTAAACTCTAAAGAAACCACTGGCCAAGTGCAGTGGGTCACGCTTATAACCCCAGCACTTTGGGAGGCCAAGATGGGAGAATTACTTGAAGCCAGTAATTCAAGACCAGCCTGGGCAGCAAAGCAAGACCCCATCTCAACAAAATAAAAAGATAAATAAAATAAAACAAATTAGCTGGGCACAGTGGCACACATCTGTAGTCCCAGCTACTCAGGGGGCTGAGGCGGGGGAATCTCTTGATTCCATGAGTTTGAGGCTACAGTGAGCTATGATTGTGCCACTGCATTCCAGCCTGGGCAAGAGAATGAGATCCTGCCCTGTGCCCCCCACCCTCCCCCAAATGAAAAAAAAAGAATAAAAAAACACTACTTTTTAAAAAAGTGGTAAAGCTAGTAAGCCAAAGAAGGAGATAAAACGAAATAACAGAGTATACTCAAGTTATCCAAAATAAGGTAGATAAAGAAGGAAAAAGGGAAACATAGAAGAGATTAGACAAATAAAGGTAAAGTGAATACTAGAGTGGCTGGATTGATATCAAAGTAGATTTTAAATAAAAGTAGTACCAGGAGTAAAGAAGATCTTGTAATAGTGTTGAATGAGCCAATTAATCAAGAGGACATAAAAATCCTAAAAGTTTATGCACTTAACACTATGTCAAATATATGAAGCTAAAAGTGATACAAATGCAAGGAGAAATAGACAAATCTCCAATAATAGTCAGAAATTTCAATACCCCTCTCTCAATAAATGATAGGAAAGTGAATGCAAAATCCATACAAATATGGCACATGTGAACAGCATGGTCAATTAATATTACCTAGTTGACATTTATAGCCTACTCTACCCAACATTAGAAGAATGCACACTGTTTTCTAGTTCACATAGACCATCTACCAAAGTAGACGACATTCTGTGCCTAACACAAATATAAATTATTTTGAAAGTATCCAAGTGGAATAAATTGGAAACCCCCAATAAAAGACAAAGTCACCAAATTATTTGTAGATAAATAAAACTTCTAAAAAACACGAGTCAAAAAATAAATCAAGTGGAAATAAAAAACTATTTTGAACTAAAGGAATAAAAAGAAAGTAGTTAGTGTTTGAGTACTTAAAATTACCCTCTGCAATGCATTTTTATTCTTTTTATATAAAAGAAAAATACAGGACTCAAATCAATATCCCCCACTTCTAATTTAAAACAGTTAACGAAAAAACAAAAACAAATTAAACACAAAATAGAAGAATCAAAAGAATAAATATCAGAGAGGAAATCAATGAAATAGAAAAGAGAAAATTCAATGAAACAAAAAGCTGGTTCTTTGAGAGCATCTATAAAATTCATAAACCACTAGGCAATTTGTTCAGGAATAAAACAAGCAAGCAACAACAAAAACAAAACCAAACAAAAAACCTCAAATTACTAAGATCCAGAAAGAAAGAGGTAATATCACTACAGACTCCACAATTTTTAAACCAGTAATATGGAAATATTATGAAGCACTTTATGCCATTGGGTTGAATAACTTTTATAAAACCAACAATTCCCTGAAAGACTCATGCCTCTTCAAGAATAATAGATAGCCCAATAGGTATATATCTATTGAAATTTCATTTGTAGGTAAAACCCTTCTCACAACGAAAATTATAGGTCTATATGAATTTACTGGTGAATTACACAAAAATTTAAGAAAAAAGTCAAGTAGCATGATGCCTCCAGCTTTGTTCTTTTTACTTAGGATTGTCTTGTTTATAGGAGCTCTGGTTTTGGTTCCATATGAATCTTAAAATAGTTCATTCTAATTATGTAAAAAATGTCAATGGTAGTTTAATGGGAATAGCATTGAGTCTATAAATTACTTTGGGCCATATGGCCATTTTCACAATGTTGATTCTTTCTATCCATGAGCATGAAATGTTTTTCCATTTGTTTGTGTCCTCTCTCATTTCCTTAAGCAGTGGTTTGTAGTTCTCCTTGAAGAGGTCTTTCACTTCCCTTGATAGCTGTATTCCTAGGTATTTTATTCTTTCTGTAGCAATTGTGAATGGGAGTACATTCATTATTTGGCTCTCTGCTTGTCTGTTGTTCATGTATAGCAGACCTAGCTTTTTGCACATTTATTTTGTATCCTGAGAGTTTGCTGAAGTTGCTTACCAGCTTAAGAAGCTTTTGGGCTGAGAAGATGGGGTTATCTAGATATAGGATCATGTCATCTGCAAACAAAGATAACTTGACTTCCTCTCTCTCTATTTGAATACACTTTATTTATTTCTTTTCTCCGATTGCCCTGGCCAGAACTTCCAATACTATGTTGAATAGAAGTGGTGAGAAAGGGCATCCTTGTCTTGTGCCGATTTTCAAGCGGGATGTTCCTAGTTTTGCCCATTCAGTATGATATTGGCTGTTGGTTTGACATATATGGCTCTTATTATTTTGAGATATGTTCTATCAATACTTAGTTCATTGAATTTTTAACATGAAGTGATGTTGAATTTTATTTAAAGTCTTTTCTGCATTTGTTGTGACAATCATGTGGTTTTTGTCTTTAGTACTGTTTATGTGATGAATCACATTTATTGATTTGGTTATGTTGAACCAGCCTTGCATCCCAGAGATGAAGCTGACTTGATCATGGTAGATAAGCTTTTTGATGTGCTGCTTGATTTGGTTTGCCAGTATTTTACTGAGGATTTTTGCATCAATGTTGGTCAGGGATATTGGCCTGAAGTTTTCTTTTTTTTTTGTATCTCTGCCAGGTTTTGGTATCAGGATGATAATGGCTTCATAAAATGAGTTAGGTAAAAGTTGCTCTTTTTCAATTGTTTGGAATAGTTTCAGTAGAAATGGTACCAGCTCTTCTTTGTACCTTTAGGAATTCAGTTGTAAATCAGTCTGGTTCTGGGCTTTTTTTGTTTGGTAGACTATTACTGCCTCAATTACAGAACTGTTTGTTGGTTTATTCAGGGTTTCAATTTCTTCCTGATTCAGTCTGGGGAGGGTATATGTGTCCAGGAATTTAACCAATTCTTCCCAGTTTATGTTCACAGAGGCGTTTATAGTATTTTCTGATGGTTGTTTGTATTTCTTTGGGGTCAGTGGTGATATCACCCTTATCATTTCTGATTGTGTCTATTTGACTCTTCTCTCTTTTCTTCTTTACTAGACTAGCTAGCAGTCTGTTTTATCACTTTTTCCAAATATCAGCTCCTGGATTTGTTGATTTTTTGAAGGGTTTTTCATGTCTCCATCTCCTTCAGTTCTGCTCTGATCTTGGTTATTGTTTTCTGCTAGCTTTTGGTTTTCTTTGTTCTTGGTTCTCTAGTTCTTTTAGTGATGATATTAGGTTGTTAATTTGAGATCTTTCTATACCATAAATAGCATGCAACCATAAAAAGGAATACTATGCAACCATAAAAAGGAATGAGATCATGTCGTTTGCAGGGACATGGATGGAACTGGAATGCATTATCCTCAGCAAACTAAGACAGGAACAGAAAACCAAACACCACATGTTCTCACTTATAAGTGGGAGCTGAACAATGAGAACACATGGACACATGGTGGGGGGAACAACACGAACTGGGCCCTGTCAGGGGGTTTGGGGGGAGAAGATTATCAGGAAGGAAAGCTAATGGATGCTGGGCTTAATACCAAGGTGATGAATTGATCTGTGCTGCAAACCACCATAGCACATGTTTACCTATGTTACAAACCTGCACTTCCTGCACGTGTACCCTGGAAATTAAAAGTTGCAGGAAAAAAAAATAAGGAAAAAAATACTAATTCTACAGAAACTCTTCCATAAAATTGAAAAATATGAAATCATTTTCAACTAATTATATGATACCAGTATAACACTGATAACAAAATAAGACAAAATAAGACAGAATAATGTCTCTTACAAATACAAAAAAAACCTTCAAACATAATTATAGTAAATAAAATCTAACAAAATGTAGAAAAAGATAATATGTCATGACCCAGTAGTTTTATTTTATCCCTTACAACTTCATGTGAAACTATCATCTCAAAGTAAAATGTTTAATTAAAAAATCCCAGTGGCATTTTTTTTGTTTGTTTATGTTTTTGTTTGCTTTTAGTACTATAGAACTTGACAAGATGGATCTAAAATACATATGGAAATGCAGAGAACATAGAATAGCCAAAACAACTCTGAAAAAGAAGATATAAAGTGGGTTTCAAGATTTATGAAAAAGCTAAAATAATTAAGACAGTGCAGAATAGGGCTCAAGATAGACAAGTGTATTGATGGACCTGGACAGAAAGTCCAGACATAGTCCTATATGTCAAATATGGACATCTGATCTTTTTAGATATACAAAGTCAATTCAGTGGAAACGGATACTATTTTCTACATACAGTGCTGTAACAATTGGATATCCATTTGCAAAATACTAACTTGGATGTATGTATCACATACATAAAAATTAACTTGAAATGTGTCATAGACTTAAGTGTAAAGCCTAAAACAATAAGACTTGTAAGAAAAAATATAGAACATTTCTGTGACCCTTGTTTGAACAAAGATTTCTTAGATTAAACACCAGAAACATGACTCAAAAAATAACTGATAAATTGCACCTTATCAAAAGAACTTGTCAATAGAATGAAAATATAAGTCACAGACTGGCAGAAATGTCTAGAAAGATAAATCTTATAAAATGTTTATAAATATAATATATAAAGAACTTTTAAATCTCACTAAAAAACAAGAAAAAATAAAAAAGGGAAAAGATTTGGATGGATATTTAACCAAGAAAAACATACAGATGATAAATAATCACATACAGAGATGCCTGACATTATTAATCCTAGCATAAATACAAATTAAAATCACGCTGAGATACTGTTAAATATCTATTAAAATAGCTAAAAATGAAAAGACCAATGCACTGTCCATTGGGAATCATGTGAATTAATCTGTTGTACGCTGACACACAGTCTCAAACACTGCTAGTGGGATTGTAAAATGGCCAAAACCACTTTGGGTTTGTTTTGTTTGTTTTTTCTAAAAGAGACAATGTTCATTTGGTCATAAAGCATTGCAATGGGAATACACATGTCATAAAAAACTATGTGTATATTCAGGGAGGCAAGAGAAGACGAAGGGTTTTAAAGGAAAAAATAAAGAGGAACACGCAATTGTTTTGAAATAATTATCTGAGGCTACAGAGATTAATAATAAGAGTGACATCAGTCTGAGGTCGGCCAGGCAGTTACTGGGCAGATATCCTTGCCGAAATATCCTTTTGGGTAAGGCTGTGATGGCCTTCGTGCAAGGTGGTAGGTTTTGCAGTCTTTTGTGATGGTTTTTGTTACCAGGCATACAGAATGTGATCCCTCTCTTCATGGCCTTCCCTGGCTCTATTTGTCAAGGTTTTCTTAACATTAGTGACTTCATTTTGATTCTGACAAATTTTGCAAATTTAACTCTTAAAACTCAACATGCCATCCACTCTTTTGGTGTAGAAGAACTTCTGTCTTCAAGACCTTCATTTTTAATAACAGGACACTCTCATGTGGAATCAGTTTAGGGTTCTGACCGAAATAAACTGTCAAATTCATAAACTTTTTCCCCAGGAGACACCCCAAACAGGTTTTGCTCTAAGTCAGACTTTCACAAATCTTCTTCATATATAAATTACAGTCTGACTCTGAGGAAGGTGGTGGGGCCCAGACATCCGACCAGATTGAGGACTAGATAAAACAGCTTTCCAACAGACACAACCACCAGTGTGCCCGGTCAGTTTACCGTTGCTGTGACAATACTCACAAGTTACTACCCCTTTCTATGGCAATGACCTAATGCCTCAAGAGTTCCCACTCTTTCCCTAGAAATTTCTACAGAAACCACTTCCTAATCTGCACGTTATTAAAAGTGGGTATAAATGTGACTGCGCAAAATTTCCCTAAACTGCTACTCTCCTGCCTACAGGGTAGCCCTGCTCTGCAGGAGCAGTCACAGAGCTGTGACACTGCTGGAGCTGCAAAACTGCCACTTCAATAAAGCTGTTTTCTTCTACATCTGCCTTGCCCTTGAATTCTTTCCTGGACAAAGCCAGGAACCCTAGTAGGCAAAGCCCCACATTGGGGATCACCTATCCTGCATCAACTCCAGTGATGGTGTGCATGTCAAAATGAAAACGCTGTCCAAAAACTACCCCAGGCACCAGAGGTACAACCTCAGAAAGGACAGAACCATCCAACCACATCTGCCTGTGGGTCTCCTGCTTTCCTGGGCTCCTTGTAACTTCTCAGAATCTGCAGTGGTTCTGGAGCTGTCTGAGCAGCTGAAGGACACCTGCAGGGGAGAACAGGCTGCCCAGGAAGCACCAAGGGGAGCTCCATTTCCCTCCCTTTTCAGGCTCCTGACTGGCCTGTTTGAAGTCACTGCTTCAGGCTGTGCTTCCCACTGCAGGTTATTCACCTGATTCCCACCAATATTGATAAATTAAATGAGAAAAAGACCTTCATTCAATCCAATGGTTGAATAAAACACCAGCAGTGTCACTGACCCACCCAATCATTACTGTAGCTAAACCCTAAGCAGTGTATACATAGCTTTCCCTTGCAAGCAGCCTAACTGGCTCCAGGTTGAATACATCTGTGTCTCCCTCATATACCTCAATTCAAATTATACAATCAATTTTTAAAAAGCTCACTTAAAAATGTATTTTACATTTAAGTCACCTAATTTACTAGATTTGATACTAAATCTAATAAATTAGGGTATTATTTTTTTCTCAAAAAATAGAAGTTTGCCTTCAAGGTATAAAGACTACACCTGGAGACCTTCCAGACCTTAGGACTGGTGGTTCTTATGGAAAAGTTCCAAAGTATTTAACAGGGATAATAAATTTAAATTGAGTATTAATATTGTTTTCCAAAGTAATATTCATTGCTTGGAAGGTTGTAGACCTCAAAGTCAAGTTAAGCGCTCAGTGTATTTTTTTCACTCCTGTCATATTACTTCATGGTCATGCCTTGGATTTTAGGTCAATATTGAAGCCATTCAGCTAAACTAATTATTTCAAGCTACATTTTATTTATTCCTAACCTGCCTTTTAATCCTTATTGGGATAAAAATAGCATCACCTTCCAAGCTGCAACAAAACTGCCAAATCTTTGTTTTAAAATTTTTATATTTTTTATATTTCTTTTCTTAAATATTAGATAGCTAATTAAGTGTTCTGAGATGAAGAAGCCTTCCCTAGAAAGCAGGTTTTCTTATAACTTTGTACTAACCAGGCACTGGAGGCCCTTACGCATATCATCTTATTGTATTCTCACAACAAGGCTGTGCAGTAGGTGCACTTTTTAAATTTTGTTTTTTAATTTCAACTTTTCTTTTAGATTCAAGCAGTACATGAGCATGTTTTTTACGTGAGTATATTGCATGATATGAGGTTTAGGGTACAATTAATTCTGCCACCTAGGTTCTGAGCATAGTATCAGATTGTTTTTCAGCGTTTACCCCCTTGCCCCTTTCCCCCTCTAGTAGCTCCAGTTTCTGTTGTTCCCACTTCTATATCCATGGGTACACATTGTTTAGCTCCCACTTATAGGTAAGAACATGTAGTATTTGGTTTTCTGTTTCTGCATTAATTTGTTAAAGTAATGGCCTCCAGCTCTATTTATGTTGCTGCAAAGGACATGATCTCCTTCATTTTTATGGCTGCAAAGTATTCCATGATGTATATGCACCACATTTTCTTTATCCATTCTACCACTAATGGGCACCAAGGCTGATTCTATGTCTTTGCCATTGTGAATGACGCTGCTATGAACATACAAATGCATGAGGCTTTTTGGAAGAACAATATATTTTCCCTTTGGATATATAACCAGTAATAGGATGGCTGGGCTGAATGGAAGCTCAGTTTTAAGTTATTTGAAATATCTCCAAGCTGCTTTCCACAGTGGCTGAACTAATTTACATTCCCACTGACAGTGCATAAGTGTTGTTGTTTTTTTTTCTCCACAACCTCGCCAGCATCTGTTGTTTTTTGACTTTTTCATAGTAGCCATTCTGGCTGGTGTGAGATGGTATCTCACTGCAGTTTTGAGTTACATTTCTCTGTTGATTAGTGATGTGGAGCTTTTTTTCATATGTTCATTGGTCAGTTCTATGTCTTCTTTTGAGAAATGTTTGTTCATGTCTTTTGCCCACTTTATAATGTGGTTATTTGGTTTTTGCTTTTTGATTTAACTTCCCCTTAGATTCTGGTATTAGACCTTTGTCAGATGTATAGTTTGTTAATATTTTCTCCCATTCTGTAGGTTGACTGTTTAATCTGCTGATAGTTTCTTTTCCCATGCAGAAGCATATTAGTTTAATAGGTGCTACTTGTCAATTTTTATTTTGTTGCATTTTCTTTTGGGATCTTAGCCATAAATTCCTTCCCAAGTCCAATGTCCAGAATGGTGCTTCCTATGTTTCTTCAAGAAGTCTTAGAGTTGTCAGTCTTACATTTAATTCTTTAATTTAACTTGAGTTAATTTTTCTATATGGTGAAAGACAGGGGTCTAGTTTCATACTTTTGCATATGGTTAACCATTTATCCCAGCAGCATTTACTGAACAGGGAATCCTTTCCCCATTGTTTATTTTGGTCAACTTTGTGAAAGATGGTCGTAAGTGTATGACTTTATTTCTGGGTTCTTTGTTCTATTTCATCAGTCTACATGTCTGACTTTATGCCAGTGCCATGTTCTTTGGGTTACTGCAGCCTTATAATATAGCTCAAAGTCAAGTAATGTGATGCCTCAAACTTTGCTCTTTTTGCTTTGGATTGCTTTGGCTATACAACCTCTTTTTTGTTCCACATGAATTTAAAAATAGCTTTTCCTAATTCTGTGAAAAATAATGGTAGTTTGATGGGAATAGTGAGTGTTGAATCTACATATTGCTTTGGGCAATATGACCATTTTAACAATATTGATTTTTCCTGTCCATGAGCATGTACTGTTTTTCCATATGTTTGTGTCATCTATGATTTCTTTCAGAAGCTTTTGGTAGTTATCCTTATAGAGATCTTTCATATCCTTGGTTAGATGTATTCCTAGATATTTTATTTGTTGTGGCTATTGTAAATGCGATTGCATTCTTGATTTGGTTCTCAGCTTGGATGTTATTGGTGTATGGAAATGATACTGATCTTTGTACCTTGGTTTTCTATTCTGAAACTTTATTGAAGTCATTTATCAGTTCCAGAAGGCTTTTGGTGGAGTCTTTAGGGTTTTCTAGGTATAGATTTATATTGCCAGTGAAGAGAGATAGTGTGCCTTCTTCTTTTCCTGTTTGGATGCCTTCCATTTCTTTCTCTTCCCTGATTGTTTTGGCTAGAATTCCCAGTACTATGCTGAACAGGAGTGGTGGGAGTGGGCATCCTTCTCTTGTTCCAGTTCTCAAGTTCTCCAGTATTCAATGGCTAGTTTCTTGAGGGTTTTTATTTTAAAGAGATGTTGGATTTTATTGAAAGCTTGTTCCATGTCTATTGAGATGCTCATGTGGATTTTGTTTTTAATTTTATGTGGTGAATCACATTTATTGATTTCCATATGTTGAATCAACCTCACATCCCAAGAATGCAGCCTGCTTGATTGTGGTAAACTACCTTTTGATGTGCTGCTGGATTCAGTTTGCTAGTATTTTGCTGATGATGTTTGCATCTAGGTTTCTCAGGGATATTGGCCTGTAATTTTTCTTTTTCACTTATGTCTTGCCAGATTTTGATGTCAGTGTGATGTTGGCTTCTTATAATGAGTTAAAGAGAAGTCCTTCTTCCTGAATTGTTTTGAATAGATTCGATAGGATCAGTACCAGCTTTTTTCTGTACATCTGTTAGAATTCTACCATAAATCCATCTGGTCAGGAGTTTTTCTCATTGGCAGGTTTATTAATGATTGAATTTTGAGAGATCTTTTTGATGTGTTGCTGGATTCATTTCATTTCTATTTCTGCTGGTATTGATTTTTTTTTTTTTTTTTGAGAAAGAGTCTCGCTCTGTTGCCCAGGCTGGAGTGCAGCAATGCAGTCTCAGCTCACTGCAACCTCCACCTCCCAGGCTCAAGCAATTCCCTGTCTCAGCCTCCTGAGTAGTTGGGATTACAGGTGCCCATCATCAAGCCTGGCTAATTTTTGTATTTTTAGTTTGAAACGGGGTTTCACCATCAAGACCACTATCAGGTCTTGAACTCCTGACCTTGTGATCCACCCGCCTGGGCCTCCCAAAGTGCTGGAATTACAGGCATGAGCCACCGCACCTGTCCTTGATTTCTATTTTTATTCCACTCTACTCTGAGAGTATGGTTGGTTTGATTTTGATTTTTTAAAGTTAATTGAGACTTGCCTCAAGGCCAAGCATGTGATAAATATTGGAGTGTGTTCTTTGTGCAGATGAGAAAACTGTATATTCTACAGCTATGGGTGGAGTATTCTGTAGATTTCTGTTAGGTACAATTGGTCAAGTGTTGAATTTAATTCCAGAATTTCTTTGTTAATTTTCTGCCTCAGTGATCTGTCTAACACTGTCAGTGGGATGTTAAACTTCTCCACTATTATTGTGAGCTGTCTAATTCTATTTGTATGTCTAGAAATACTTGTTTTATGAATCTGGGTGCTCCAATGTTGGGTGCACATATATTTATGTAGTTAAGTCCTCTTGTTGAATTGAATCCTTTATCATTATGTAATGCCCTTCCTTGTCTTTTACTGCTGGTGGTTTAAATTCTCTTTTGTCAGAAGCAAGTATAACAACCCTTGCTCTTTTTGCTGTTCTGTTGCATGATGGGTCTTTCTCCCCTGCTGTACTTTGAGCCTATGCATGTCATGATGTGTGAAATGGGTCTCTTGAGGACAGCTGAACAATGAGTCTTGGTTTTTTATTTGCCTTCCACTATTTGCCTTTAAGTGGTGCATTTAGACCATTCATACTCAAGGTTAATATTGATATGTGAAGCTTCTAACCTGTCATAAAGTTGTTAGCTGGTTGCTTTTAGGTTTCTATTGTGCAGTTGATTTATAGGGTTTGTGGGCTCCGTTCTTAAGTGAGTTATTGTGTTAGCAGATATTGTCATTTCACTTCTGTGTTTAGAACTCCCTTCAGGATCTCTTTAAGGCTGTTCTGGTGGCTAAACATTTTCTTAGAGATTGTTTGACTGGAAAAAATGTTATTTTGTCTTCACTTATGAAGCTTAGTTTGGCAGGATATGAAATTCTCGGTTGGAATTTCTTTTCTTTAAGAATGCTGAAAATAGGCTGCCAATCTCTACTGGATTGTTAGGTTTGTGCTAAGAAGCCCACTGTTAGCCTGATGGGATTCCATTTTTATGTGATCTGGTCAGTTTTTCTAGTTGCCTTTAAGAATTTCTCTTTAGCAATGACTTGGACAGTCCAATGACTATATTCTTGGTGATGTTCATTTTGCATAGTATCTCACAGGTGTTCCCTGGGTTTCTTGTATCTGAATGTCTGCCTCTCTAGTGAGGTTAGGGACATTTTCTTAAATTATTCCCTCAAAAATGTTTTCCAGGTTGCTTGTCTCTTTCTGTGTCAAGAATGCCAGTAATTCATAGGTTTAGCCACTTTATATAATCCCATATTTTTGAAGACTTTATTCACTTTTATAAATTCTTTTTTCTTTATTTGTCTCTGACTGGGTTAGGTCAAAGACCAGTCTTTAAGCTCTAAAATTCTTTCTTCTGCTTGGTCCAGTCTACTGATAAAGCTTTCAATTATATTGCAAAATTCCTTAAGTAATATTTTCAATTCCAGAAGCTCCGATAGAGTTCTTTTTAACATGTTTATCTCTCTTCCTTCATTTCCTGGATTTCTTTAGAAGTGGCTTATGTTAATTTTCAACACTGTTTGGCTCTTACTGAGCCTCCTTTTGATCCATGCTTTGAATTCATTATCTATCATTTCTGAGTTTTTATTTTTGTTAGGGACCATTGGTAGAGAGCTAGTGTGATCCTTTGGTGGTATCAATACATTGAGATTTTTCATGGTGTCAGAATTCTTGCACTGTTTCCTTCTCATCTGAGACACCAGCACTTCTAATTTTTGTAAATATTTTCATGCAGATGGGATTTTTTTCTTTTTCTTTATTTCCAGGATGGCAGGCACAAGTACCAGTACAAGAGAGCATACAATGAGTGGCCACCACATGCCCAGAGGAGCTCCTAATCTAGGAGCATGGGTGCTCCAGTGCCTGGAGATCTTTCTGAGTATGGAGTATAGAGGGACCTACTGCACCACTATCTCTGCACAGGAATGGTGAGGTGGCTCATGTTAATCCAGGTGAATGGGTACCCTAAATACCTGGGGATATTCCCTGGTGTAAAACAAGGAGGTCCTCTTGCATCAAGATCCCTACACAAAAAGGGTGCAGTGGTTCAGGCTGCAGATTTGGGTGAGCAGGTGCACTGAATTCCTGGAGATCTACCTGAGTGTGAAGCATAAAGGGCCCTGCTGCACCATGATCTACGCACAAGAAGGGTGGATCAGCTCAGGCTGCTGATCCAGATGAGTAGGTGACCCAAATGCCTGCAGATATGTTTGAATGTGAAGTGGAGAGTGCTCCCCTGCACCAGGAACTCCACACAGGCAGGGTGGGGTGGCTCAGGCTGTTGGTCCAAGCAAGTCAATGTTTTGAATGCCTGGAGTTCTGCCTGGGAGTGAAGCAGAGAGTACCTCTCTGGACTGGCTTCTGAGACACAATGGAGGGTTCTAAACCTTAGACTAGGGAATCAAGAAAGGCTTCCCAGAAGAGATGACTGAGCTGAAAGTTGGTTAAAAACAATGATAGCCATGTGAAGAATTGAATTACAGCATTGGGTGTGTTCAGAAATAATGTCCTGGTTGTAAGTGTAAAAAATAAAAACACATACATCAGTTGTATATTTTCGAAGTGAGTTAGATAGGTTTGAAAGTTGTCATGCTATTACTGATGTTGCTGGATGCTACTGCCTTCTATGGCAAGCAGCTATTACTCTTCCTTCTCTAACACTCTTACCCTCAACCTCTCTGCATTCCCTGTAGAGTCTCTAAAGAACCCTTGAGAGTGAATGACTAGGACACAGGGAAGATGAATGTTTAATTTTATATGACAATGTCTAATATTTTCCAGAATGAGAGTTTTACACTCCCTCCAGCAATGTATAAGAGATCCAGATTTGGGGTTTTCATTCTTTTTAATTTTATCCATTCAAGTGTATGTTTAAGTAGTATCTCACTATGAACTTAATTTGTATTTCCTTAATAACAAATGATGCTGATCAACTTTTCATGTATTTCTTGGCATTTCATATATCTTCTAATATTAAGTGTCTAAGTATTTTGGCCAGTTTTAGTGAATTATTTTACTTCAATTATTGATTTGAAGGAGTTATTTATAAAATTTAATTTCTTTGCCACTGGACTCATCTTTTTCAGTCCCTGGTTTTCCTTTTTATTTACTTAATGATTTGTTTTAATGAGCAAGAGTTTTTAATATTGAAGAAGTTAAATTATCAACTATTTTTCTTTTATAATCAGTGCTTTTTATGCCCTCCCTAAAATATCTTTACTACCAAAATAATACAAAGATTTTCTCTTATAAGTTATTCTAAAAATTATACTTTTAGCTTTATTAGTCTTATGACACATTTATAATTACTATATGTTATATTAATGCTGTGGCTAACCACCATGCACCAGGAAGAACTTCAGAAGTTCCACTGATTGGTTAATTCCTTTCTCTATGTAGAGTTAAACATCAGCAACACAAATTCCTGATACATTAAAATTGATAGGAATATATTAAATATGGCCCATATTATGGATAACTTTTAACTGCCTCAGGATATTAAAGCAGCATTTATCATGGTGGTTCTCCCAACTGTGAAGGAAAAGTTAAATATTAAATTTGAACTCAAATGAACATGGACACAAACAATGGTCACCAAGTCCTGGAACAGGTTGCATGAGGCCCTTGAGGTATTTATCCAGCACTGTTTTGGAGAAATCTCTATTTCAATCTATTCCTATATGTTAGTTATTTAAAAACAACAGACAATCACAAAAACAAGTTGACCTGTTTGTGTTCCTTGAGCCCAGTTGCGAAGGGCCCTCGTGACTGGGCCTCATGCCAAGCAACTCATTACAAAAAGAGCTAGGGTCCCAGACCACTCTGAAGCTTTATGAAACCTCTTCTCATCTGTGCATGAATGAGTGTCCGACTCTGGAGCCCAGGCTGTTGCTTCCCAGTCTGGTGATGAATCCTTCATAGTCTGATGAGTGTAAAGATATATATATATAAATATATACAGATATACACATCTTTTCCTTTCTCCTCTTCCCTTTGCAATTTGCTTATTATATCAATTTGCTCATTATATCATTTGCTTATTATATATGCATTGCATTTATGTGGGATAAAAGTTGTTTACCCTTAAAGGTATTGTGCGTGTGTATTTTCTTCTCCCCTTGCACATCTCCCACACAGAACACCAACAAAAAGCTTTAATGAAGTTAATAACTGGTCAATAGGTAAAGTTTATTTTTTAGACTAAAATGAAGCTCTACATAATTGATTTTATAAAATACATTGATTTAAAACAAACTCATTAACAAATTTGAAGAAATATAATTATTTTGAGAAAAGATTCCCTTCAACTCAGCTCCACTGAGATGCACATGACCCTGTTTTGGGCAGAGTGTAAGACAAGCTCATAATTCTTCAAATTATCTTATTTTATTTTTGCTTTCTGTCTGTTTAGTAACTAAAGTAACAGATATTAACTATAATTTAGAAAATAATCAGAAAATCTTAACATTCATTCATTTGTCAAGAGGCCTATGTTACATAATGTATCCTACAAGTCATCCTCTTATCTCTGGGCAATATACAACTCTGAAATTCATAATGTGATTAGCAGGCAGACATGGTGGATGAGAGTGACGGGCATGTTGGGTGCATGAAGGAGTTACCATCCACTGTCATCTGCCATGATTTTATAGCAGGTAATATATGCATCCATAACATTTCTCCAGTAGAAAGGAAGCTGGTGAAAGTAAGCCATCACTTGGTTTATTAGAACATTGATAATTCATAATCTTCCTATGTAAAATGAAGTAAAATGAAAATAGAAGTTCAAAAGTGACACTGAAAGTGGCAGAGATTTTAAAGTGATAAGACTGAAAAATTGCAGCCAGGTGAGTCTTCAGGGGTTGACAGTAGATTAGTATAAAACAGCTCATGTCTCAAGATACCTAACAGCATGAAACTCAAACCCTAGGATAAAGGAAGGAGGAATGGAACCAACAAATACTGACATCAGACACCTGGTGTCACCTAGTGTTTTGTGGCATATAACACAACTAATTCTCATGAAAAACCATTCATTAGGCAGACACCATCCATATTTCGCAAGTGCAGAAACAGAGACCCAGAGATTAATTAATTTACCAAAAGTCCTAGAGGAAGAATTTGAGTCTAAGCCAGTGCAAATTAAACTTTAAGAAATGTTTAAGGGTGACAATGGAGATCCTTCAGCTTCTGAGAACAACACTCAGATGAAGAGGGTCTTCCAATTCATGAGAGGCTGCTACCCCAGTGATGATTCTCAGCTCAAGTTATATGTAGTCATAATGTACCCAGTCAAGGACCGGTAGACTAATACCTCTTAAGCAGATGACACTGACGTCAACTCTTTCTGAGCAGCTGAGAGATTGCAGAGGTTGGAAAGGTACCTCTACCAGCCGAACTCACTGGGAGTAGGAGCTTTCACTCAGATCATATTTAGGAACCAGTGTTTTGCTTTCAACTACTGGTATGGCCTACAGCAAAAATTCTATCTGTTTGCATTTAGATCATCAGAAAGATGTATACTTAGACTAGAAGAGATAAACTCCATTACAGTTTATATATCTTCATGGTATTTAGGCTTCAATGTAGTCATTTCAGATTGTAGAGTCTGTTTTGGAAATGTCCCTCTGCCTTCAAACTAGAATTTATGTAGTGGGCACTGCCCATGTAACAGAGAACACCTCTCCAAAGTCACCAGTGCATTCAGTGTCAGTGACTTTTTAGCTGAGCCAAGAAATGTTCTATGAGAAGAAACAAAAGAATTAGAATCCTGTGAGCTGACATCTATTTCCTCTCTGCCTGTGCTGCTGAATGAACCACAGGGCAAAAGGCAGTGCTTGGCATAAATTAATCATTCCAGGAAACTATTTCATTTGCCTTTATCTTCTTCCTAATTGGTTTTTTATTTGCTTTTAAATTTTAATTGTTCTGATTTATATGTGTTTCACTTTATAATGTTCTTCAAATTCTTTGAGGAATAGGCTATAAAATATCAATTCTTTAAAAATATGTTGTCCTGTAATACATACCTATGACAATACTCAAAGGATGGTAGAAGGGTAATTATAGAACCACCTTCCTCTGTAAATGCCCAACTAACTTATAAAATGATTAAATGCATATGCTCTGCTTCATTAGTCCAATCTTGGTTATCAGGAGTAAGATGGGAAAGAAAATGTATTCTTGCTACTACCATAGAAGGCATTTGATAAAATACTTAACAAAACTCAAATCTGTTTTGCAAGTTCTTCTTCCTTTACCATGACTACCTGGGCATAAAGTGAAATTTGATTTAATTTTGTGCAAAATCAATAGAAGATAGCTCCCAAATGTATGTGAAATTCTTATTGATTGTTCTAAAAATCAAACATTATCATGTTTAAAGTCATCATATCAGAATTGAAATATTTGTTTTCAGAGTAATTTAAAATATTTGGTGTGATAAAACTTCGACATACACTTGTTTAATTTACTTTCAATTAAACCATTATAAAATTGAATTTTATCAGAGCTATTGGATTATGTTACAGTTGAACAAATTGAAAGGACTTATGTTAACTTTTTATTTAAAATCAGGAGAAAATTGATCTAAGTGAATTTGTCCATTGCTTTATGTTGTTATTGAATATATGAGAAGATTACTCTGGCATGAAGAAACATAAAAGCTTCTTCACAGAAACATAAAATTAATCTTTCTTTGAATCAATTCATCCATGTTATCCATTACTAGATTGGTGCTCTTCTTGTTTGAAATTTAGCCAACCATGATTTGCTATTGACTAATAAGGTTCTAGGAGCATTTTTCTATGCAAATTATTCAGTAGACTTTTTTTTTTTTTTTTTTTTTTGAGATGGAGTTTTGCTCTCGTTGCCCAGGCTGGAGTGCAATGGTGTGATCTCGACTTACTGCAACCTCTGCCTCCTGGGTTCAAGTGATTCTTCTGCCTCAGCCTCCCGAGTAGCTGGGATTACAGGCATGCACCACCACACCTGGTTAATTTTGTATTTTTAGTAAAGACGGGGTTTCTCCATGTTGGTCAGGCTGGTCTCAAACTCCCAACCTCAGGTGATCCACCCGCCTCAGCTTCCCAAAATGCTGGGATTACAGGCATGAGCCACTGCACCCAGCCGCTTCAGTAGACTTCATAGATATCAGGACAGTGACTTTCGACTGAGATTATGGCAGATGGAGGATGGAAGGGGTCCACACAACAGTGACTTTTCTATGTACAATCCAAGCTGAATCATGGGCTTAGTGGTACTTCTCACAGTCTTGAATTCAACAGACTTATTGGCACCTCTTGAATGCCAGACATTATGCTTGGCACCAGAAATTCAAGGATGAAAATGTTTAGTTTCCCTTCTCAAAGAGCTTACACCATTAGGAAGAATAAGGGCATATGAAAGAATAATCACATATAAAATGGCATATTCTATCATGGGGGTATGAGTAAATTGTAATTGAAGAAAAGAGAAGCTTCACGGAAATAAAAATAAAAATGTTGGAAAAGTCTTCTCAGATAACTACTTCAGCTGTGACTTAAAAGAAAAAGTAAAATTTACTCTGGCTGATAAAGGCGCATTACACAGGACTTGAAGGAAGTGAAAATGATCTGTTCAGGGAAGGCTGCCAAGTTCAATGCTTTTGGAGAAGTTTGTTCTTGTGGGAGAATTGCATGTCCAAATACTTTCGGAAGAGTCAGGGAGCAGATAAGGAACTGCTTTGTCAACCATCCTGATAACCTTCCACTTTCATCTTAGTTGAAAAGAACTACTGAAGTCTTAAAAGCTGGGGAAACAACATTACTGGATAGTTCTAGCTGGAAAGCAGAAAACAGGCAAAAGTCACCAACACTTGAAAGTCAATGATGACCATAATCTGGACAAGAGATAATGAGAGATTTAAAATAATAGAAATCAAAAGGGAAAATATGCAGTATTTCAATTATATCATTATTCTTACAACATTTTAACAAATGGCTTTTTCCAAAGTGCATTTTGTTTTTCTAAAACTGAAGTGACATTTATTTAACCATTGCATATTCATAAATCCAGTGATTCATGCTAGATGATATGAAGCATCCACATTTAATATAACTTTGGAAGATCTCTATAGGTTGGTAAACCAAAAGGTATCTGACACAGGTCTCAATCAATTTAGAGGTATATTTTGCCAAGGTTAAAGACAATGCCTGGGAGAAAAAAAAACGGGGAATCCCAGAAATAGTTTATGGTCTATGTTTTTCTCCAAAGATGATTTTGAGGGCTTCAGTATCAAAGTGGAAAAAGAGGCTGGAGGGGAAAGAAGGAGGATATGGTCACATTACTAAATCCATATGTTGCAAGAGAAAAGGAGCAGGTAGGGGAATAGTCAAAGATGTATTTTTCTCATACTAAGTAAACTGGCTCTTTACATAAGATGAGGTGAACATAGAGTATCTACCTGTGGAGATGTTTAACCTTTTATCTGCAGCTTTCTGCTTAGGAACAAAAGGAATGGCAGGTCCTTGCATGACTCAGCTTTCAGCTTAATTTTTTCCTTTTGCAGAGTGAATTGGGATCCCAAGCTTTAATTTCCTTTTCACAGGTTCATAAAGTTTGTTGACCCTGTGCACGAATGAGACATTGATTTATTCTATCACATTCTTAATAAAGCTACCTTGAAAACCAACATAACTCATAGGCTATTCAGCAGGGTCATCAGAAGGCTTCAGTGAGTCATTCAAGCACAAAATTAGTTTCATATGAGGAAAATCTGTTATGGTATGAAGCTTAGAAAACAGTTGTATTTTGGAAGCATCCTGGAAAGAAACAGATGGCACGTTGAAAGGATTGGCTGAAAAAAATCGAATGAAATGACTATTCGCACTGGTGGGGGTGCGGCAAGGAGAACCAAGAATGAAAGAAGGCCCCAGGGACTAGAAACCCTTACACTCCAGACTTGAGGGGGCAAGATGGGGGAGGGGTGTTCCCGGAGCTGGCTAGAGCTGTAGCTCTGGAAGGAGGCTGCCAGAGCTCCCAGCAAGAAAAAGGGCCATGTTGGGGGCTGGGCACTGTGACTCACGCCTGTAATCCCAGCACTTTGGGAGGCCAAGGCAGGCGAATCACTTGAGGTCAGGAGTTTGAGACTGGACTTCACAGGATGAAACCCTGTCTCTACTGAAAATACAAAAATTAGCCAGGTGTGGTGGTGGGCGCCTGAAGTCCCAGGTGCTCGGGAGGCTGACAGGCGAATTGCTGGAACCCGGAAAGCTGAGATCGCACCACTGCACTCCAGCCTGGGCGACAGAGCGACTCCATCTCAAAAAAAAAGGGGGGGCCGGGGGGGCGGGGGGGTTGGACTGTGCGTAGGGAGAGAGATGAAGCTCCTGCCAGACCCATTTAAGTAAAGGAGAAAATGGGGACTGGAAACCATAACCCTCTCTCTTTTCCTGCTGGGGCTTCCATTGTGCAAAACAAACTACAAGAAGTAAAGAGGGCAACAGCGAAAAGGAACCACCATCCAGGACGCAGAATGCAGAGGACAGGCAAAGACAGATGGAGTCGGGGGAGGGATGGTGGGCAGCAGATTAAACAGCTGGAGAAGGTGGCCATTGCCACTTTTCAAATAGTCTGCTTGGCTAGCTGAGGAGGCTGCTGCTCAGTTTAGCATTTTTTAAAAGGATGTGTCTTTGCACATTTAGTTTCCTTTGCCTGGTTTATAGCTGCACTCCAACCTTGGTTTCTACATGCCTACTTGGGTTTGAATTCCGTGTAAAAGCTCCCTTGGAACACATTTCCCACCAGTTAGGACTAACATGCTACCCTCTGTGCTTGGTTTATATGTTTAATTATACTGTTTAATATACTGAATTATGCTTTTGACATTTCTTTATAGAGGCCTTTGTGACTAAATAAACAAGAAAAATGGGTAGCGGCCTTGATAAATTATCCTAAGAAAGATAAACTTCAAAACTGAATTTCCTAGGACTAAAGAATGTGGGTATTAGGAAATGATCAAGGGATTATTCAAATTTATTCAGTTTTTTTGTTTGTTTGTTTGTTTGTTTGTTTTTACTATTTTGCCTTCCTTCCACCCTCATCCGTTAGTCAATTATCAATGCACAGTGAACATAAATGCAACCTTTTCTTTTAGGCTGACTAAAAGAGTGTCTGTATCAAGAGGATGGAGGAAGCAGGCATCTAAAAACAGTGATTTTTACATGGATTGCTAGTTGAAATAACACTTCGGTGCAACAGGATTTCTGCTTAATAGGTTTCTAGTGCATTAACTTAGCCCATTTTATAGCATTACAGAATTTTTTTCAAAACAAGTAATCTACTTATTATTCATAATCTTCAGAGCAGTAGCTTAATGTTAAATAGCCCTTAAAACACACTCAATAAAATAGTAATGTGTATTCCCTCACTTTATTCAGAGACCTCAGAAGCTCCTCTCCAAGGCCCTCCTCAGACACTCAGACCTTACTCTCTTTTTTCTGCAACACAGATATTTAATTGAGTGCAAAGGCATGTTGCTCAGCCTCATAGAATTGAGAGTCATAAACAATGAATAATGCAGAACTGAAAAAGCCAAACAAATCACTCTAAGATTTGTAACCCTGGTACTTTGTGAGGAAACATGGAAAAGAAAGAATTTTTGGTTAAGTGCTGGATTCTGCTTCCTCAGACACCAACACTGCAATCACAAAGACAGAGCAACCTCCAGAAATTAGGCTTCTAGGGAATTGGGGCCCTGGGCATTTGGCGCTGTAACATGGGGGTAGCCACACACTTAACTTAGAGCATTATTTTGAGAGTAGAAATGGTTATGGTTAATAAATGTGAAAGTAATGTGTAAATTGTGATGGCTTTATAAAGATTACTTATTACACTAGACATACTAATATATCACTAAAACATCTCAGCATTTAGTTTATTAATCATAGACATGTGTTGGTATAGGGAAAAAAGGATCATTTACTTGTGAACATTTAGTGATTAAAAGAAATAAAGCTAGATCCAGTTAATGCTGTGAATTGTCATCGTAATCAGCTCCATTGCTGATTTCCTGTAGTTTAGACACACAATTCTGATGTGGCATTCAATTCCTCGAAAGTTAAGTCAGTGTGCCAGGCAATGTTCTAAGACTTAGAAGCAGAAAGCTAGGTAAGTCTGATTATCTTTACCCTACTGATTTTATCTTCTACTTAATTAAACAAAACAAAACTCTGAAGACTTCTTCAATGTCTCCTGTTTGTTTGTTTTTCTTTTCTTTTTGCAGAATGAATTGGAAATCCTTTCTTGAATCCTTCTCTTCTCCTTTCTAATCATAGCTGCCCAATTTAGATCACTGTGATACCTTGTCTTGACTATGTATAAACTTTGACTGTTTCACTTTCTCCATTTCATTCCCTGAAACCCATTTCTTCCCATCACAGATAATGGATGAACAATCTAAAAGAGTTCAAGCTCCATAACATGACACCACTTTCTAGTTGCTCCAAAATCTGGCTTCCACCTCCCTTTCAAATCTCAGCTCTTGACACTTCTGGCTTGTGCTTTAGTGCCCATTAATATCAAATGGTGGAGTACTCAAAGTATTAAAATATTTGCTAACAGTAAACCTATTTCCACTACCCATGTGGTAACTGTTACTCATCCACCTAAGGGCACAGTTTTTCTCATTTCTTCACCTGCCCAAACTGGGTTATGTAGTTTGTGTCTGTGCCATATTCTACTTTGTCTCTATCATTACTGTTATTACAGTGAAATGAAATGATCTTTTAATGAAACTCTTTCTTTCAGCATACTAAGATCCATCCCAGTCATGTGCTGTCTGACACATCCTTTTATCCCCAGCTCCAAATAACAGTATATTACACACATAGTAAGCACTCTACTCTGAAATGAAATACAGGCTCCTTGATCCTAATTTTTTAAATATGTAAGAAGTATGTAGGAATACATAAGTGACTTACTTTGCATGCTGTAGGATATTTACACAGTGGGAGAGTCTATGTTGCCATGTGGATTCTCCCATTTCACCCCTATTAAGTTCACTTTGAACACTGGATATGTAAATATACTGCTGCCACTTCCATAAATGCAGAGCTGGAAATTTTCCAAACCACTGTGCACCTACTGAGAAATTCTCCATTTAACATAATTCTAGATCATCCACTGATACATGGGTTTCAGTTACAGAGCTGATTATGATGCAAAATGCATTCTACATGAATTGGATCTACCTTTATTTCTTTTAGTAATTAAATGTTCAAAAGTAGATGATAAATTTTCTCTAGTTCTATATATTTTCCTGACACAAACAGCACGCAAAGGGAATTAAAGTTTTATAGGAACTCAAATATGCACTGTACATATTTCCCTGTCAGACAAGCTGTTTTTAGTAATGACTTGTAGGAGATTCGGTT
This sequence comes from Homo sapiens, assembly GCF_000001405.40. Taxonomy (NCBI): domain Eukaryota; kingdom Metazoa; phylum Chordata; class Mammalia; order Primates; family Hominidae; genus Homo; species Homo sapiens. The sequence goes on along the minus strand of NC_000007.14, from coordinate 48,959,498 downwards.
TCAATTAGACTAAATTTAAATAAATTCAATCCAATCCCCACTTTGTCTTCCAGTTATAAATCTGGTGAGACTCATGGAATTAATCTGAGCTCATTCAAATGTAAGATCAATGGGAAAGACATTTTATTGATATTAAACAAAAAAATTACAATAGACTAAATCTTTGGATCAGAAGATGTAATAATAGAATTATACCACATCTGTCACCTTAAATCAAGATATTTAAATGTTCGCTTTCATTCAGGGTAAGATAAAGCTGTGTCATGGGTGATTTTTAATGCACTATTTTAAAAAGGAGAAGAAGAAGCTGCTGCTGGTAAAAGGAATAAGCAATTTGGAGCATTTATAGCCAATTTTACCTTTAAATGTAAATCATCAAGTTCATTTGATTTTCAAAACATAGAAGGTGGTCCCAATACAGGCCATTCCCTTATTTTTCTGAATGTAATAACACACACTATGTAGTACAGTAGAAGAGACAATGGTCATCAACTTTTAGGGCTAAACTTAGACTGTTGGCCCTGGAAGAGTCTAGCTCTGGTAGTCTAAGATTGTAACCATCTGCACTATTACAAATCTTTCTAATAGTGGCCCTGCTGTGAGGTCATGAGACAAACTGCAAATTGAAAATAAGTCCACTGACTGCTCCGGTGATTAGCCTGGTTTATAAATCCTGAACATAACTACCAAGGCTGCTTTGAGATTCACTGTTACACCCCAAACCTTTGATGGCATACCCCTCTTTTGAGATGCCCCAGTTTCTTATATGTGCTTCTCTGCAAGAACTAATATGTATATAGAGAACTCTCTCTCTATATATATATTTTTACTTTGTGTTCCTCATGGTGTTTGGCCAGAAGGCCCCATAGTTTCTAAATCATAAGGCTATTGTAAAAATTAAATAAGCTTATGTACCTGGCACAAAGTGATTTTTTATAATATGAGCTATTGCTACTGGGTGGTTATCAATTTATTATCTCTGAAATCCAAATCTACCCTCATTGCCTTGATTTGTGATTCTGGAGCTGGAGCCAGTATCATTTCTCTTTGATAGCTAGCAGAATGGCATGTCTGAGAGACAGCCACCCAGCAGTGTTCCCCTTCTGCACACCCTCAGCCATTCTAGCAAGAGGCTTCCAGTGTCTCAGACCCATGCTTTCCTCACCCCCAACAGAAGATTTTGTGCTCACCAGTCCATGCTCATGGTTTCCTAAACTGCAGCCTCACTGCAGAGCCTATGGACCATGCCTAGGCTAAGGCAATCCAGCCAGTTGCACCATCCTGTTGTCTGAAACTCAGCATCAGAGAGGAGATTCCCTCCCAAGTCAGCCCCTTCCTTTGCACTGTCTCTCAGTCCTAAGAATTCTCATGTATTCCTTCTTTCTGGTGTGCTGGAAGCCTCCTGCAGGAATGCTGGAAAATCAGGTGGAGGCTGATGTTGCTAGTTGCTGGCATACATGCTATTGTACCAACTGCTGAAGAGACATATCACCAGGTAATAATTATTCATATTGAAATCTCCATGTTTACATTCCCAGTGCGCTTTCTGTCCTGACTGACTGTGAATAATATAACTACTTGAAATAGAGTTTTTCTCAAATGGAAACTTGTTGCTATGGCTTTGCCTCTAGACTTAGTATCTCTTACTTGTTCTGCCCCTTGATTTCTGACCAATTAGACCTCATCATTTAACCTGACACCTAATTGGGTTATCTTTAGTTTTAATCCCTCACTGTTTCCTAATTTATGATTTCTTTGCAAACACATTGGTTTGGATCAGCCATTTGCCTTCAAGCCTGGACAGGGGGAATTTCTGTAAAAATGCCAAGCCTTGACTTCTGTCTCAATAATTGACGCTTGTATTTTAATAATATCAAGGTATTGACAACTTTGTTTCTTCCCCTTTACTTTTCTGCACTAATCTCATTTTTCTACCTAATAAAGAGTCTTGGTAATGCTAATAATAATATTAATAAAAATAGTAATTACAACAGTAGTAATATTTATTGTGTCTTTACTTTTCTGCCAGACACTGTGCTATGTATGTTTTACTTAATTCCCACAATAGAACTAATAAGTAGGTACTATTCTATATTTATTTTACAGAATGAGAAAGTGAGGTTTAGAGAAATTTAGAAACCTGGCTATAATCAAGCAGCTAATAAAGTGGCATGTCTAACTGTTTCAAATCTGTGCCATAAGCCAATGTGCACTGTTCTTCAAAAATAAATAAATGCCCTGAAGTCTCAACTCATGGGTAATTATTCAAAATTAAACTATTGTTATTCAATTTATGTTATTCCAACAGAAATCACAATTTCATCTCTCTATAATTTTAAAAATTATATTCATTGAATCTTTCATAGCTACCCAATTTAACCATCGATCATGGTATTTAAATGAATGTCAATGTTTGAATAGTACTGTTAAAGTGATATTTGATTCAGTAATTATTACAAAGATGATCAAAATTATTCAAATGTATGTGAAACTGATTGGATTGACTTATGTAATGTCAATGAGTGCAAACGTCTTGCTCTGATGACCCCAGCTACTAAATTCAGATGACAGAAATATCACTGACTACATTTTTGGTTCAATTTAATTAATTAAACTCGACTCTATTCGTTAAAAGTATGATTTATTCTTTGAAATACAGTTCATAAGCTCATTCCTAGAGTATATTTAATCAATTTAAAATTAACTGTTGCTGTTTGGGTAGAACAAATGAATAAATCATTTAAAAATATAATTATACAGGGCTAACATATAACTGAGAGGAATTGTGAGGCTAGTAACCAGTAAATAGACTATAAATGCGATTAATTAGTTTTTATTCTACAAAGCATGCGGTTTAATTTCTATTACATCAGGTGACACTATATGGCTGTTTACTCTCCTTCATAAGCCTGATTTAGAATAAATTAATATTCATGTATAATTTAGAAAAAGCCATGAGATGTGATGAAAAGAGGGATCAGAAAAAGTAGCATAGTCCTCATCAGTTTTAGATAGTTAGATATTTGTATCAATTTTTGCAAATACAAAATAAGGTGGGTGTTACAGGCTTGTGATGAATGTCAAATGAAATGATGTGCACATGTGCTGAAACTATAAAGTGTGATACAAATACAAATGGACGATGATAATATGACTGTTGTAAAGCTCCAGTCTACTTCACTTTTTCCTGCTGCCTCTGTCTTACATATATCAATTGTTTATTGCTGGATTTAGTTTTTCTCAACATATCCAATTTTAATATATTTCAAAATCTTTAGACCTCTTTATTTTTTTGAATATTCAGGCAATAAAAACATATCCTCTTACTTTCACAGAATTAGTGCATAAGGGAGGGTGTTAACACAGAAACACTCTACAAATCCTCCATATGGGTCCTCCATATGGAGATAGAGCTAAGCTTTGCTTTAGCTCATTCCCCCAACATTTCATTTTATTTTCACTTTAAATCACTCCAAAATATTTTATACTTTCCTTTGAGATTTCTTGGTTGAATTACTATGGATAATTTGGACTATTTGAAAGTTTGTTGTTTAACTTCCAAATCATTGATAGATTTTCTAGTTCTCTTTGTTATTGATTCTCAGTTAATTTTCATTATTTTCAAGGAATATACGTATACTAAAATTTCTATTATTTTATTCTTTTTTTTTTTTTTTTTGAGACAGGGTCTTGCTCTGTCACCCAGGCTGGAGTGCTGCAGTGGTCAGTGGTACAATCATAGCTCACTGAAGCCTTGACCTCTGGGCTCAATCAATTCTCTCACCTCAGCCTCCTGAGTAGCTGGGACTACAGATGCACACCACCACAGCTGGCTAATTTTTTGTATTTTTTGTAGAGATGGGATTTCACCATGTTGCCCAGGCTTGTATTATTTTGAATCTGTGAAGGTTTCTTTTATGATCCAGGATATGTCTAACTAGATACATGTTTAATGAGAACTGGAAAAGTATGTGCATCCTGCTGTAGCTGTGTGGTGTGTTCCCATTGATCAACTCAGTCTTTTAGTTGAAGTTGTTTAACGTTTTCTCTGCCCTTGCTGATTTTCTTTCTGTTTATTTTATCATTAAATGGGATATTGTTTATTTCTCCTTCCTATTTTGACAGTTTTTACTTCACAGATGTTAAAGCTCTGTTATGAAGCACATACTCATGTAGGTGTATTATAGCTTCCTGGTGAATTGTCGCTTTTGTAATGTTTAATGTCCCTCTTTATCTCTGATTATTTTTCCTGTTCTGAAGTCTACCTTGTCTGATATTACCATACCAATACAACCTTCTTTTCATTAGTGTTTGCATGGTAGATTTTCTTCCCATCCTTTTGCTTTTCTTAATCTACCATTGACCCTAGTTAGGATCAAGATGCCAGTCTGACTCACTTTCTATAGTCCCGATGTCAGTTCAGCCTTAAAGCCTTTGCAGGGATATCCAAATTGGCTCTATCTGTGCTCCTTTGGGGAGCGCAGTCTGCTTCCTCGTTGTTGGTCTACATCATGGCTTCTTTCTCAGTCACTTTGGTGTGCCGTTTCCAATCAATCCTACGCATCTGTAGCTCTAGGCTGGGCCCAGGACTTCAGACACAGCTTTGTAGGACCCCTCTCTTGAGATCCCCAGTCCTTGTGATTTCTTTCACTCTCCAGTACACAGGAGCTTTTTCTCTAGTATTCCGGGTAGAAAACTATGGACATTTGCTGTGTAATTCCCAAATACTTAGAAGATTTCCTAGTCATTTTTCTGTTATTGATTTCTAGTTAATTTTTATTATTTCCAAACAATATATATGTATCTGCTACTGTACTCTTGTGCTGTTACATACTTTTAAACTGGATCTACCTCTGGGGCAAAGCAGCAGGAAGAAAGAGAGAAGTAGCGTGTGGCAGAGATTCCTCCCCAACACTGTTCCCATTACAGGGGAAGCTTGCTCCTGTTACTGTTGTCAGGGAATTGGCTTTTTCTCTCGGAGTTTTAAGTGTCTGAGCAGTGGCTGCTGCCACTGCCTCCGCTGAAGGGTACTTTTGGAACTGAGACTTACCTAGGGGCTGAGCTGGGAAAACATTAAAATAACACACACAGAAACAAACAAGAAGAGGAAGTATTCCTCTCTCTAACTCCATTCTCTAGGGAAGCCAGTCCTTGAACTGATAATAGTGGGTTTCTCTCAGACTTTTCCTGTTCTGCCTGTTGCACAGTTCAGGGATTCAGGCTTTCTTCAGTCTAATTCAAGATATATATGAGGAAAAATCTCACACAGCAATATGCACACACATACAGCAATACATGCACACACACACACACAAAATGGACCACCCTGAGAGGTTTTTTTTAATGATTTCCATTCAGGACTCTTAGTTGCAATCAGTAGGAAAGATAAAGTGAAATATCAGTATTCCATCTTAACAAAAACCACACCACTCTTCCATATTCTAGACATTGCAGTTTTTAAGACTAAGTGCTTGCAATCCTTTACAGGTCACCTGACACTTTTTCCTGGAAACTTTGTATTTACAGAAATGCCTCTCCCCTGTTCACCTTAACTGCATCCTAAAGAAGTGAGGATTTTCCATGCAGCAAAGAACAGGAAAATTTTAATGAGCTGGGGTCTTAGGGGCCGGTGTTTACACTGGCTCAGATCTGCCATGAAATGCCAGCCTATGGATGCTGCACTTTCAGTGCTCTGAGAGTGGCGGTGGAGAGAGGGAATCAGAAGGACCCTTCCTCTTCCACAGTCCAACAAGATAAACTAGATAAAGAAACTGGTGTTTTACCTTAGAGAGTTTTGGGTGGAAAAATTTACCTGCTTTAATTTGGGCGTCAATGAGAAGTGGTTTCTGTTTTTTTGTTTTTTGTTTTGTCTTTTTCTTTTCCCCTTCTTGATTCTAACCAAGTATCTAAAGCTTTCCATTGTCTCCAGGGCAAATATTTCCTGCAGGCAACTAAAAAAGAGGCAAAGCTATCTAGAATAGTATTTCAATTTCCAAGATTCCTTGCCCCATCTTCAACTTAATCTTATATTCCATTTTAATATGACTACAGTAACTGCTAAAACTATTTTGTATACCTGTCACCCAGTCAATGGAATCTAATCATGGTGGAGATCCTCTGTTGCCTTCAAGCTCATTGGAGACCTCCTTCTTCTTGTCAAGGAGATGTGCCATCACTGTCAATTTAGGGATATAATCAGCCAGACTTTGATTTAAATCATAACTCTGCTGAGCTTCAGTATGCCACTTAAGCTCTTTGAACTTTTGATTCCACATCTGTGGAAAGAAAATAGTGTTTTCTATATCGATGAGTTTGGTAGATTCAATGAAAAATGTATATGAAAGCATGTAACACTCATTAGTGGGTACTAATGGATTCTCAAAGAAGGACAATTTACCTTCTGTTTATAATTCCGCATTTAAGTCAGAATTTCCCACAGTCCTCTGCAGAACCTCTATGCTATGAAAAGAAGATGAGTATGTGGTCAAATAAGGCAGGGTAATTCTAAGTACCTGATTTTATACTTAAAACTCACCATGCTTCCTGGCTTATTGAGGGCTCTGAAAAATTCCCAGGTAACAAAATCCCAATTACTTTATTTAATCCTGAGAATCCCAAACTAACTGAGACTTGGAATATTTTCTTCTCATCTCATTTTTCTAATTTCTGGTGAAAGTATGTCCCATGTTTTCTCTTTTGAGACACTACTTGAAGAACTACAGGGTCAATCTTCATACCCCTCCATTGATTCATAGAGTGCAGTGGCTTCTACAGATCCTCCTGAGAAATAATTCAAAATATTTTGTTTAGTTCTTATCTACTAGCCTGTTCACCTGGAATCCTTTGAGGGTTTTTGCAAATGCTGCCTCGGAGTCAGTGTGCCTTCTCACTCCTCAGGCCCACTGCTAATCTCCATTAATCTGCAAGGTGTTGGTGATTAGCAGAGTAATTGTCATAGTGAAAGCATGACAGCCCAGAAAGCATCTGAACTTCCAAGCTGTTTTTATGAAACTTCTGAAAGGTGATGAAAGAGAAGAACAGAGAAAAAATTACTGGGCCAAAAGTTTAACACATACTACCCAAATACCATCTGCCATTGGAGAATCATTATACCATACTGAGCAATTAACCATGGATTATTCTTTCTGGTTAATGAGCCTTTGATTTTCTTTTTCTTCTTTCCACTCTGTATCAAGGGATATATTTTTTTTTAATTTTATTTTTTTATTTATTTTTTGAGATGGAGTTGCTCTTGTTGCCCAGGCTGGAGTGCAAAGGCACAATCTTGGCTCACTGCAAAGTCCACCTCCTGGGTTCAAGCATTTCTCCTGCCTGAGCCTCCTGAGTAGCTGGCATTACAGGCACCAGCCACCATGCCTGGCTAATTTTTGTATTTTTAGTAAAGACGGGATTTTGCCATGTTGGCCAGGCTGATCTCAAATTCCTGACCTTGTGATCTGCCCACATCAGCCTCCCAAAGTGCTGGGATTACAGGTGTGAGCCACCGCACCCAGCCATGGGAATTTTTACCCCACTTTCCAAATTGCACAAATATTTATTGATTCCCATACAAAAGACTGAAGGGGACAGATGCCAAAAATAGCATTTTTTTGCCCCTCAGGATTCAAATTTTTGCAGATATCACAGCCTTATATATAGGTAGAATAAAAGGACAGCTTTGATAAACGTCAAAACAGAGACACAGGAAAACAGCTGGGAAGGTGAAAAAAAGGCAGACGTTACTTTTTCTGGAGAAACATAAAAGGGCTTCTGAAGAGGTGTAAGATTTGACCATGATCCGAGGTAATTCTCTATTAGACTGATCAAGATGTCAATATTAATAACATAAAGAGAGGCTCTAGAATAAAAGGTTATTTGTGAATAAAGCAATACAATGGGAATACACATGCCATAATAAAAATATGTGCATATTCTGTGGGGTAAAGGAAGACACAGGCTTATAAAGAATAAACTGAGAATTACAAAATTGTTTACAACAAATACCCTTGGCTACAAAGATAAATGATAAAGCTTGGATATTTCCCTTCCAAACCTCATGTTAAAATGTAATCTCCAATATTAGAGGTGGGGCCTGGTGGGAGGTGATTGGATCATGAATATGAATTTCTCATGAATGACTTAATACCGTCCCATTGGTCCTATCCTGGCAAGACCTTGTTGTTTCAAAGTATGTGGCACTTTTCATCTCTCCTTTGCTCCTGCCCTCTCAATGTGAGTTGACTTCCCCTTTGCCTTCCACCATGACTGTAAGCTTTCTGAGGCTTCCCCAGAAGTTGAGCAGATGCCACGGGCACCATGTATTCTGTGAAGCCTGCAGAACCATAAGCCAATTGAACCTTTATTCTTTATAAATTATTCAGTGTCAGATTTTTTATAGCACTTCCAGATCAGCCTAACATAGAAAATTGTTACGGAAGTGTGGGGCATTGCTATAAAGGTACCTGATGGTGTGGATGCAGCTTTGAAACTGGATAATGGCCAGAGTTTGGAAAAGATTGGAGGGCACAGAAGAAGACAGGAATATGAGGGAATGTTTGGAACTTCTTAGAGACCACTAAGTGGTTGTGAACAAAATGCTGATAGCAATATGAACGTTGAAGTCCAGGCTGATGAGGTCTCAAATGGAAATGAGGAACGTATTGGGAATTGGAGCAAAGGTCATCCTCGTAATGCCTTAGCAAAGAGCTTGACTGCATTGTTTTTATGCCCTAGAAATCTGCAGAGATTTGAACTTAAAAGTGATGTCCTAGGGTATCTGGTCGGAGAAGTTTCTAAGCAGCAGGTGATAAAGATGTAATGTGGCTATTTCTAACAGCCTAGATCAGATGGGGGAGCAAACAAATGACTTAAAGTTGAAAGTTATATTTACAGAGGAAGCAGATCATAAAAGTTTAGAAAATCTGCAACCTAGCCATGTGGCAAAGAAAACGCTTTATCAGAGTAAGAATCCAAGAAAGCTGTGGAGCAACCACTTGCTAGAGATAGTCACAAAATGAAAAATGAGCCAAGTGCAAATTTCCAAGGCAATGGAGAAAAGGCCTAGAAGGCATTTCAGAGATCTTCTAAGAAGCCCCTCCCATTACATACCCAGAGGCCTAGGAGGACTGAATGGTTTTGAGGGCCAGGCCTGAGGTACCACTGCCCTGTTCCACCACAGGTAACTGCTCCTCACATCCTGGCTGCTCTGGCTCCAGCTAAGTCTGGAAGGGCCTCATATACAGCGTGGGACACAACTCCAAAGGGCACAACCATAAGCTTTGCTGTCTTCTATGTGGTGTTAAGCCTGGTAGGCATGCAGAGTGCAAGACTGAAGGAGGCTTGGGAGTGTCTACCTAGATTTCACAGGATGTATCAGAAATCCTGGGTTCCCAGGCAGAAGCTTGCCACAGGGGTGGCACCCTCACATAGAACCTCTACTAGAACAGTGCCAAGGGGAAATATGAAATTGGAGGCTGTTGCAGGAAGTCAGGGACCCCAGATGGAGGGACCGGCTTGAGTCGCGGCAGAAGAACATAAATTGTGAAGATTTCATCTTAATATGGACATATATCAGTTCCCAAATAATACTTTTATGATTTCTTATGCCTGTCTTTACTTCAATCTCTGAACATAAATTGTGAAGATTTCATTTTAATATGGACATTTATCAGTTCCCAAAATTAATACTTTTATAATTTCTTATGCCTGTCTTTAATCTCTTAATCCTGTTATCTTCGTAAGCTGAGAATGTACATCACCTCAGGACCACTATTGTGTTAACTGCACAAATTGATTGTAAAACATGTGTGTTTGAACAATATGAAATCAGTGCACCCTGAAAAAGAACAGAGTAACAGCAATTCTCAGGGAACAAGGGAAGACAACCATGAGGTCTGACTGCCTGCAGGGTCAGGCAGAATAGAGCCATATTTTTCTACTTGCAGAGAGCCTATAAATGGACGTGCAAGTAGGGAAGATATCACTAAATTCTTTTCCTTGCAAGGAATATTAATAATTAAGACCCTGGGAAAGGAATACATTCCTGGCGGGAGGTCTATAAATGATCACTCTGGGAGTGTCTGTCTCATGCGGTTGAGATAAGGACTGAAATACACCCTGGTCTCTTGCAGTACCCTCATGCTTACTAGGATTGGGAGACTCCACCCTGGTAAATTTGAAGTCAGACCGGTTCTCTGCTCTTGAACCCTGTTTTCTGTTGTTTAAGATGTTTATCAAGACAATATGTGCACAGCTGAACATAGACCCTTATCAGTAGTTCTGTTTTGCCCTTGTCCTGTTTCCTCAGAAGCACGTGATTGTGGTTCTCCTTTTTGCCTTTGAAGCATGTAATCTTGTGAGATACTCCCTGTTTTTGCACCCCCTCCCCTTTTGAAATCCCTAATAAAACTTGCTGGCTTTAAGACTCAAGTGGGCAACACGGTCCTACCGATATGTCATGTCACCCCCGGAGGCCTAGCTGTAAAATTCCTCTCTTTGTACTCTTTCAGACTTGCATGGGGTTCATTGCCCTTTCTTTTGGCCGATTTCTCCCTTTTGGAATGAGAATATTTACCCAATGCTTGAATTTGCATTGTATCTTTGAAATAAAACGTTTGTTTTAGTTTTACAGGCTCATAGGTGGAAGAAACTCAGCTCCAGATGGGACTTTAGACTTTGGACTTTGAGTTAATACTGAAATGCATTAAGACTGGGGAACTATTTGAAAGGCATGAGTGTATTTTTTAATGTGAGAAGAACATGAGATTTGGGGTCCAAGGGGCAGAATGATAGGGTTTGGATATTTGTTACCCCAAACCTCATGTTGAAATGTAATCCCCAATGTTGGAGATGGGGCCTGAGGGGAGGTGATTGGCTCATGGAGGTGGGTTTCCACAAATAGTTTAACACTTATTCCCTTAGTGCTGTCTTCACAAGATCTAGAGTTTGAAAGTGCGGCATTTCCATTCCCTCTCTCTCTCACTCCTGCTCTTGCCATGTGAGATGTTTGCTTCCCATTTGACTTGAATGTAAGCTTCCTGGGGCCTCTCCAGAAGCTGAGCAGATATCAGCACAATGCTTTCTGTAAAGCCTGCAGAATCATAAGCCAATTCAACCCCTTTTTCTTATAAATTACTCAATCTCAGTTATTTCTTTATAGCAATGCAAGAACAATCTGACATTCAATAACAAAGATGATGCCAGTCCAAGATTGGACAGGCAGTTGCTGGGAAGATATCCTTGCAGAAGTAACTTTTGTGTAAAGCAGTGATGGCTTTTGTGCAAGGTTGTGGCTTTTGCAGTTTTTTTTTTTTTGATAGTTTCTGTTAGTAGGCATACACACATGGTTCCCCCTCTTTTTATTCTATGGCCTTCTGTAACTCTATTTGTCAAAGTTGGGAATTTTTTGTTATTGTTTTGGTTTGTTTGTTTGTTTGTTTTTGCCCTGACACTATTGACTCCATTTTGATTTTGACAACTTTTACAAAGGCAACAGAATTTCTCTCTGGAGTTTCTTTGGCATGTAGCACAACACCCAGGTGTACTGCAGGTTCCTAAAGATTTTTGGGTTTTTCAATTAAAGATCCAAGATCTTGAAGATTAAGTTTGCTAGCATGTAGGGAAGGGCATTTTGGACTGAAACAAAATCCTACATAAAAGTGTAGAGGACAGCATTCCTGGTGACTTTAGAAATCAGGTAGAGACAGATCACTGGAGAAAAGTGGGAGAATTGGGTTCAAATCCCCACTTGGGATGTTCCAACTTAGTAAATGTGTTTGACACATGTAATCTCCCCATACCTTTGTTTCCTCAATTAGAAGGCAGAGAAAATATCAACTCATACAGTTGTTTGTCACAACAGTTCTGTATATCCAAAACTCCAGGTGTAGAAGTGGCTTTGAAGTTGAGCATACTCATATTTGATGTAAGATTCACCATTTACTATTCATCCATAAAGTGATGATATTACTATTTCATGAGTATTCTTTTGATAATTAAATCTGATGAATAAATACAAGAGGCTGGCAGGGCCTACAGTATTAGACTTTTAACAAAGTTAGTTTCTCCTGGCCAGGCCTTTCTCCCATTGCTCTGGGTCAAGGGTGGAGTAGTTATTTATTGTTTTGTGGTGTTGCTTGTTGTGGGAAGTCAGGGACCCTGAACAGAGGGACTGGCTGAAGCCACGGCAGAAGAACATAAATTCTGAAGATTTCATGGACATTTATTAGTTCCCCAAATTAATACTTTTATAATTTCTTACGCCTGTCTTTACTGCAATCTCTGAACATAAATTGTGAAGATTTCATGGGCATTTATCACTTCCCCAATCAATACTCTTGTAATTTCCTATGCCTGTCTTTACTTTAATCTCTTAATCCCATCATCTTCGTAAGCTGAGGAGGATGTATGTCACCTCGGGACACTGTGATGATTGCACAAATTGTTTGTAGAGCATGTGTGTTTGAATAATATCAAATCTGGGCACCTTAAGAACAGGATAACAGCAATGTTCAGGGAACAAGGGAGAAAACCTAAAAGTCTGGCTGCCTGTGGGCCAGGCAGAAAAGAACCATATTTCTCTTCTTTCAAAAGCAAGTAGGAGAAATATCGCTGAATTCTTTTTCTCAGCAAGGAACATCCCTGAGAAAGAGAATGCGTCCCTAAGGGGAGGCCTCTGAAATGGCCGCTTTGGGGACAGCTGTCTTTTACGGTTGAAGATAAGGGATGAAATGAGCCCCGGTCTCCAGTAGCACTCCCAGGCTTATTAGGATGAGGAAATTCCCATCTAATAAATTTTGGTCAGACCAGTTGTCTGCTCTCAAACCCTGTTTTCTGATAAGATGTTATCAATGACAATGTGTGCCCAAAACTTCATTAGCAATTTTAATTTCACCCCGGTCCTGTGGTCCTGTGGTCTCGCCCTGCCTCCATTTGCCTTGTGATATTTTATTACCTTGTGAAGCATGTGATCTCTCTGACCCACATCCTATTTGTACACTCCCTCCCCTTTTGAAAATCACTAATAAAAACTTGCTGGTTTTGCAGCTTGGGGAGCATCACGGAACCTGCTGACATGTGATGTCTCCCCCAGACACCCAGCTTTAAAATTTCTCTCTTTTGTACTCTTTCCCTTTATTTCTCAGACCAGCCGACACTTAGGGAAAATAGAAAAGGATCCACATGAAATATCGGGGGTGAATTTCCTCCTATGGTTGCTTCCAGAGGAGGGGTGATGGATTGTTTTATTTTGAATCAGAGTGAGATTGAAAGGTAATGGCTTGAGAATCAAACTTGTGTTCCCATTCCGGCTCCCCAAAATACTAGTTTTTACCAGTTCATAATGTGGGCTAAGTTATTTCATTTTTATGAGACTGATTTTCCTAAACCTTGGAATAAATCTTTATATAACTGTTATAATTATCGAAGGACTGTTAAGCAGGCTCCAGCATACCCTCCAGCATACAGAGTAGGGGCCCATGCACAGGGCGCCCATCTCTGCTCTGCACTTTCCTTGGGGAAATCTCTCTGACAGTCCCTCATCTGTCTGAGACCTTTAGTAAACTCAACTGGCAATATAAGGCTACCTCATTTGTACAGATATAGGGTTTCTCCCTGAATATATAACAGACAAAAGTGAATATATTCTAATTAGCTTTGAAAACTGAAGTGGAGCACGCCAATGGGACCATCTGAGGCAGAGCATAGGAAGGTGGAAGCTTTCACTGTGGACGCCATCCTGTGCCTTGCAAAGTGGCACCTTACCAGTTAGGCAAAATCACATCATGTTCTTTTTTTTTTTTTAATTATCTACACAAGTTTCAGAATACCATTTCCATTTCACAGACAATCTGCACTGTTTTTTGACATGAAAAAGATTATTCTAATAACAAAAGGAGGAAAGGTATTCTATAATATATTTCTCTCTAGTTAATTCACTCACATAAAGTAGATGTGACCAGACATAGAAAGGTTTTCTCATGAAAATCAAAAATAGAAGGTTTAAAAATGGAAAACTATGCCATGAGCTCCAAATTAGATGATGTCAATCAAGAGTCTTAGACCACGACGGCTGAAAGCGTCTTTAGTGGTCATCTATTCAATTCCTGCATTTTAAGAAAATTGAAATTTAATGCATTTAATTAAGAGGCACAAAAAGGACTACAGCAATGTGCCTTTCCCATCAGCCTCAGTGCCAAATTAGCCACTCATTGAGGTGACCTCCTGGGTCCTCTTCAGCCACCTGACAGCTGCCTGTTCCTCATTCACTCTCCTGGCACACATTCTCAAGAGAGAAGGCTGGCTATAAAATAGTCACTGTTTTTTTTTGTTTGTTTTTTTGTTGTTGTTGTTTTTTAACAGATAAGAAACACCGAAGGAATCCTACATTCAGTAGTGCAAGTTTTAACAGCAATCAGCTACAAATTTGCTTGATTAAGGCTAAATTCACAACTATAAGACCTAATTCTCAAATGTGATGTCCTTCAACCTCTCATCTTTGACAAGCTCCTCTAAATTCCTCCCTCCATTGAATCTGCTGGTGGCACAAGCCCTGCCATCCTGCCGGCCTCGTATTGCACAACTTCTTTGGTGCTGCCTCCTCTACCTATCTCAAGCTGTTAAAAGAGAAGATTTTATTACAACAATGCAACTAATGATTTTCCATCTCTGCTGAAATCTGTCAGAACCTTCTTCAGGATGAAATGCAAAATGCCTTACATAGCATACTATTGCTTAAGGTCAGGAGGACATAGCTCTTGACTCACATTCTAGCCATTTTCTTGACACTTCTCCTCTAACACACTAAATAATCACTACCACCACCACACACATACACACATACACAAATATACACACAAATACTTATTTCCAAATAAATATCTTTTTTCAAGTCTTTATAACTTTGGTTTGACTGAAATGCCTTATCCTGCTTTCCCACTTGGCAAATTACTCTTCAGTATCTATATGAGGCATCACCTTTGGGAGAGGCCTTCAGGGGCCCTGTCCTTTGGCAGAGGTACTCTTTCTGGGCTCAGTCCTCTTGTGGCAGGCCAGAGCTCCACAAGCAGGTAAGTCTGCGTAAACCCTTTGCTGTAATAATGAATGTATAAGATAAATATTAAAGAACTGGAGAAATTGGTGCCTGAGTACAAGGGCTGGAATGCAAAAACAAACCCATTAAAACCACACCTGGACTTTCTCAACCTCTTTAATCTAGTCCAAGAACAAATCTAAAAAACCTTCCTACATGCAGACCTTTAGTTAAGATTAGATTGATTAAGAAATACTCTGTGGGAGGCCGATATGGGTGAATTGCCTGAGGTCAGGAGTTCGAGACCAGCCTGGCCAACACGGTGAAAGCCCATTTCTGCTAAAAATACAATCATTAGCCAGGCATGGTGGCACACACCTGTAATCCCAGTTACCTGGGAGGCTGAGGCAGGAGAATCACTTGAACCCGGGAGGTGGAGGTTGCAGTGAGCTAAAATCAAGCCATTGCACTCCAACCTGGGAGACAAGAGTGAAACTATGTCTCAAACAAAAAGAAAGAAAGAGAAAGTGAGAGAGAGAAAGAAAGGAAGAAAGGAAGAAAGAGGGAAGGAAGGAAGGGAGGGATGGAGGGAGGGAGGGGGAGAGAGAGAGAGAAAAAGAAAGAAAGAAAGGAAGAAAGGAAGGAAAAAGGAAAGAAAGAGAGAGAAAGTGAGAGAGAGAGAAAGGAAGAAAGGAAGAAGGAAGGAAGGAACGAAGGAGGGAGGGAGAGAGGGAGGGAGAGAAAGAAAGAGAGGAAGGAAGGAAGGAAGGAGAAAGAGAGAAAGAAAAGAAAGAAAAGAAAGACTCCGGCACATAGGCATAAACCTGAATTGTATATATAAGCTAAAAAAAAAAGTTGTAAGTTTTAGTTGGTCTGGTGAGTTACTCCAACCTTCTCCCTGTAACCATTGCAGACATAAACTCCTTTCTTTCCCAGTTTGTCTGCATCTTGTTATTGCACAGTGAGAATAAGCAGTTGGACTTCATTTGTCTGTGAATACTCAGAGCAACCAGACTGGACTTGTGGAGAGCACTTACTCTTCCTACAGCCTTCTATGAAGCCAGCGATTACTATTCTCTGGCAAATGATAGAAATGCTGGTATATAAAGAAGGAAGAAATTAATGTTCATTTTAACATTAACAGGGGAAATGATCAGGACACCACTGTTAATGTTGACATTGGAACAGTCTCTCTGCTCATTTTTTAAAAACTCCAGTTGTGTCACATCAATCTAATCTCTTCCATTGGACCCATTTTTTAGAAATGTATAATTTTGTAAAAGAGAGTTATTTCATATCAAAAACAAAACATGAAGTGGTGATAAGCCCATAGCCTTCATGCTTAGCAACATCTAAAATATCTTAAAAGAAGGGACAAGCTAGGATTCTGAATTTCTATTCAGAAGATTTCTGTGTGTCTGTTTTTGTTAATCACAGAATATTCTATAGACTTTTGGTGACACAGGCAAACAGCTCCCTGGAGATTTATTAACAAGCCCTTGTGGAATCAAAAGCTGGGAAGAATAAGTAAATGAATGTGAGGAAATATTAAACCAGCAACAACCTCATTTGTAGAACATCTGTTTTATTCTAAACTCTAATAAAATCTCATTTTTGTCAGAAGCCTATGCTACCATAAGGGCAAATAAGAATCTGAAAAGAAATTTTGAAAATTTCCCTGGTGAAAAGGAGAAAGAGACCTCCCCTCTTTTCTTAGAGCATTTCCCTTAGGAAACTGGTAATTGTAATCCTTTCCATGTCCAGTTGAGTGGTATGTAAACCTGTTTAAACGCTAAATAAGCCCCTCTCCAGTTTTATAACCAGAAATGTTTTCCTCAGGGGCTTGGGAGCCATCTCTTTGAAATGTAAATGTCAAGGACATTAGTGCCTCTATCTCCCCTCCTAGGCAGGAGAGTGAGACTTTAATTTAGGTGTTTGATTTCTAGTTGTAAAACTACCTGCTTGTCAAGAAGATATAAGAAGTTCCATTTTTCTTCTGGATAAAGGCAATTAACTAACACAGATAGCCACTTCTATTACTAGGTGAATTTAGAATCAACAGTATATTGCAAATGGTGCTGTTACCTCCTCTTACTTGAGTACTAGTTGTTTATCCTGTGAAAATATATGTATTGGATTGTATCTTCCTAGCTATATAAAAGGGTCAGATTTCTTTCTGATTTTGTGCTCCCTTTAGGAACTGCCTGTGATGGGCATTACTACCTTCTTTAATGTTTATTCAATAGCAAAACTCTGCTTCATTTATGGAGAGACTTTCTGAGATAGCAGGATATTTTGCTTTTAATTATTTTCCAACACTGTCAGCAAACTTCTATCTTCCTATATTTTAACAATCTAGGCATTTATAAGACAATTATTTATACATTTATTAAGAAATGTTACATACAGTCTTTTCCAATAATTCGGTAAAGGATGAAATTTAGAATACCCATGGTACTGCATGTAGATATTTGTATGCTTGTTTTCTGAAAAAAAAAAAAAGGGATAAAACACATTGATTTATATATATATATATATTTATATATGTATACTTACATGTACATACATATGTAGAATACTGTTCTCCATAAATATGTAGAACTATGCCTAAAAATTTTTAAATTTTTGTCTAAAAATAGTATGTAGCTAAAAATTTTTTAAAATTAAAAATTATACTTGTTAACATTTACATAGTACTTATAAGGTGTCAGAGTCTATTCTAAGTGCCGTCACATACATTCTTCTTTCCCTTATTTAATCCTCCTCCTCTTCTTCATCCTTCATTCTTCCTCTTTCTCTTTCCTTATCTCTTTCATTCTTGTTTTCCACTTCCTCTGGTCCTTCATGTTTTTCATTTTACAGATCAAAAAACTGACTCAAACAGATTAAGAGAGTTGTCCAAGGTCAAGCAAGTACTAAATGTAAAATAATTAAAACTGTATATATATAGTACCCACCATGTGGAGTGCAGCTTTGCACAACATTGACAAGCCGGATAATTATAAAGTAATTTTATTCCTCCAACACTTTTTTTGGAGTATCTATTTTTGTATTAACTGTCATGAGCATCCCTGTGAAGAGACCACCAATCAGGCTTTGTGTGAGCAATAAAGCTTTTTAATCACCTGGGTGCAGGTGGACTGAGTCCCAAAAGAGAGTTAGCAAAGGGAGTTAGGGGTGGGGCAGTTTTATAGGATTTGGGTAGGTAGTGGAAAACGAGTCAAAGGGGGTTGTTCTCTTGCAGGCAGGGGCGGGGGGTCACAAGGTGCTCAGTTGGGGAGCCTCTGAGCCAGGAGAAGGAATTTCACAATGTAATGTCATCTGTTGAGGCAGGAACTCGCCATTTTCACTTGTGATTCTTCCATTGCTTGAGGCCATCTGGAAGTATATGAGCAGGCTTGGACTCAGAGGCCTAACATTAACCACAACTGAAAAATATTATTTTTTTACCATTGTAAATATGTTAGAAGTAAAATATTCAAAATATTTAAGTTTTAAATCTGTATTATAACATCAAAACTATAATTTTGGTTTCTTTTCTTACAATGAACAATTGTGCTTAAGGACCTAGCTTGTATAAGCATACCAACTATGTCCTTTGACTAGTCCAAGAAAGTTTGGAACTGTAGTGAGTTTTCATGCTTCCATGATATCATTTAATTAATGGGTAAATCAGTGTGTTACAGGGTACTGTGGTGGAATGTTTTAACCAATGAGACCATCTCTGACAACATTATGAAGACTAATTGATCTAACATAAATGATTGGGTTGTCAAATCAAATCAAATTAATCAGAGATCTTGCCCAGAATCAAGCTTTACTAATAGTTTCAAGGACCCAGACAATCAAGAACAAAAGCAAAGCCTAGAAAACTGGGGGCATTCCATGTGGCTCTCTAAATCTTTCCTTCCTCACATTGGACACAGGCTCTCTGTCCCAGGCTGAAATGAGGTCTCTAACAGAGATTTGTGGGTCACCTCACAGAGTGATGAGTATTTGTAATAGGAAGCATCTCCATTTTATAGAGCCAGAGAGTTATAGATCTTATATGACATTTTTTGGAGAGTCAGCCCTCTAAAACCCACAGATTGTTGGTTTCTATAAACAATGCTAAAACAGGGACACCCAACCATTAGCATTCTAGATAATGATTTTCCTTTAATTAACTATCATTTCTCTTATTGCCAAGAGGTCAAATTATCAACTTATGTTTACAAAGAGTAAGACTAGATCATTAGTCTACTTTTCAGGGAAGAAATGGATGAAAAGCTAACTGCTTTAACTCTTTCTTCCCCAGTGGGTAATCAGACTAGATGCATATCTGGGCTCCCCGCAGTGAGTGGTTGTCTAATCTGACCTGTTTTTCCTGAGACTTAGCTGTGGTTATCATCGTCTAATTGTCTGGATTTCCATTAACATTACCTGTGATAACTGCAACCAGACCTACGATATCTAAATCCTTGAAACAATTCATAATATATTCCATTACCCACATGTAAAATAAACATGAAGCACAGAGAAAAATTTCAAAATTTCATCTGTGACCACATGCATAAATCACTACTTTTTTTTTCTTTGTTATAAAAAATTTATTTAACCACTTACATGGGGTCCCATCCCTGATCTATTAAACCAGAATTGTTGGTTATTAAACTCACCAGGAACACGTGTTTAAAATTTTTCCCATGTGAACTTCATGCACACAAGGCCTGAGACCATGTTCTTTAAATGGGAGTTATAGTGGTGGACTACTGGCGAAAATTACAGTCAATGCATCTTAAGTGTCATCACATTTTGATGGATCATTCTTTAATTTCACAGGGGCTGGGTGTGTAAACTTTGAAAGTTAGAGGAAAGTGCAAAAAAATCTTACTTTTTTTTTAGTTTTCAGGCTGAAATAAATAAAAGGAAAGAAGATTGTTCTTAAATCTGGACTCAGGTCCTTTGTGCCTTGAGCAATTTTCTTTCACTTTTTTTAAAAATTATTATTCATATATAGTTTGCATGTTTGTCCCCTCCAAATCTCATGTTGAAATGTGAACCTCAATGTTGGAGGTGGGGCCTGGTGGGGTGTTTAGGTCATGGGTATGGATCCCTCATGAATGGTTTGATGCTCTACCCATGGTAATGAGTGAGTTCTCACTCTATTATTCACATAAAAGCTGGTTGTTAAAAGGAGCCTCCTCCTCTCTCTTTCTCCCTCTTTCATCATGTGACATGCCTTCTCCCCTTTTACCTTCCCCCATGATTGTTGGCTTCCTGAGAACTCACTAGCAGATGCTGGCACCATGATTGCATAGCCTGAAAAGGCTTGAGCCAAATAAACTTCTTTTCTTTATAAATTACACAGCATCAGGTATTCCTTTATGGCAACACAAAATGGACGAACACAATATGGTATCTAAAAACAGATGAAGGAAATCTGCATGAAAACACTCAGAACAGTACCAACATATGGTAGGCACTCAAGAAAAAAAATGTTTCTATGTCCTATTTTAGGATTAGACTATAGCAAAATATTATTCAATAGGATTCTTTCATATTTTGCAAAAACTATTCTTGCTTCTTTAATCTCAAAATTCAGGAAAGCCTAATTGAGAATAACTGTTTAGCTTTGGTCTTTAATACTGAGTTTTTGTCTCAACTGACCCTTTTATCACATTTCTTGTCCACTTATTACTGAGTTGTGCTTTCTTCTCTTGGCTCTGATATTTGGCCCCATGACCAATCACTGCCTGATTCACCCATCAGGCATGTACTGGGCAGATGCCATAAACCGATTCCACATACAGCCTGTAAACTAAAGAAGCTCCACTTTTAACTGCCTCACTTTCTTTTCTTTTCTTTTTTTTTTTTTTTGAGATGGAGTCTCGCTCTGACACCCAGGCTGGAGTGCAGTGGCACAATCTCAGCTCACTGCAACCTTCGCCTCCCGGGTTCAAGCAATTCTCCTGCCTCAGCCTCCCAAGTAGCTGGGATTGCAGGTGTGCACCACCATGCCCAGCTAATTTTTGTATTTTTGTATTTTTGTAGAGATAGGGTTTCACCATGTTGTCTCTCAAACTCCTGACCTCAAGTGACCCACCCGTTTCGGCCTCCCAAATGCTGGCATTACAGGCGTGAGCCACCGCACCTGGACTTAACTGCTTTACTTTCTGTGTGGACTTGACTTATTGTTTTTAAGGGGAATATTCTGTTCCCCAACCTTTGTTAGCTTCCTGAGATTTCTGTCTAAGAACATATTTCAAGTTTATACTTACTGTAATGGTATAACAATATCTATGGATAATTTATCATTGGAAAGCTTTTCTGTGTACTTCAAAATCCCCCATATATACTTTATTCATTTTTGAAGATAAATGTGTCCTTAAAATTTGTTAATATTTTATTCCAAGTATTTTCAAAAAGCTTTATTTCTAATTTGTTCAACTTTTAATTCTTAAACAACTGAATCAATTTTGATAAAATTTAGCAGTAATCAGTGTTACATGCTGCAATTAGTTTTAATAATTATTTTAAAAAAGTATAAAGAGAACTTTTATGGTTATTTGGCTTTTGGCAAAGATTCCAAGGAAATTTAATGGGTAAAGAATAGTGTTTTTTGTTTGTTTGTTTGTTTTTTCACAAATAAATAGTGTGAGAACAATTGAATATCCAGAACAAAATAATAAACATAGATCTCTACCTCATATTATATACAAAAATTAATTCAACATTCATTATAAAAATAAATTTAAGTGTTAAAATTTTAAACTTTTAGAAGAAAACAGAAGAAAAATCTTTATTACTTTGTTTTGAGCACAAAGTTTGTAAATAGAACACCAAAAACATTATTTCTAAAAAGGACAGATGGACAAATTGAACCAAAAAACTTAAAACTTTGTCCTTCAAAAGACATCATTAAGAAAATGAAAGACAAGCCACAAACTGGAATAAAAATCTGTAAATCATGTATTTACTAAAGGGATTGCAAATAACTCATATCTTTTAATAAAAACAAACACCTCAATTACAAATGGACACAAAATTTGAACAGATATTTCATCATGGAAAATATAGGAATGGTAAATAAGCATATAGATGCTTAACATTATTAGTCATTAGAAGACAAAATTGAAACAAGATGAAGTAACATTGAACATCCACTAAGATTAGCTATAATTTTAAAAGACAGACAGTACCAATTATTGACAAAATATAGAGGACTAAGAACACTTATACAGTGCTGATGGGAATATAAAATGATACAGCCACTCTGAAAACAGGCTGGCATTTTCTTAAAACATGAAACATAAACTTATCATATAACCAGCAATTAGACTCCCAGGAATTTATCCAACAGAACTGAAAACACGTCTGTATGAAAATATGCATGTATTTTCACAACATCATTATTAGTAACACCTTAAAACTGAAAACAATCTGAATATCCATCAACAGTTGAAGAGATAGATAAAAGTGTAGTATGTCCACTAAATGGAAAACTATTCAGTAAATAAAAGAATACATGCTAGAGCACAGATGAGTCTACAAACATTATACTAAGTGAGAGAACACAGACACAGACGGTACATATTCTATGATTCCGTTTACATAAATTGCCTAGCACAGCCACATTTGTTAAGACAAAAAGGAGATTGGTGGTTGCTGGGGATGGGAGCAAGGAAGACCTGCAAGCCTGCATGAGAAAACATTTGGAGATTACAGAAATGTTCTGAAACTGAATTTCAGAGATAGTTGCACAGCTCTATAAATGACTATTATAACTAAATTGCACACTTACAGTGAGGTAATTTTATGATATGAAAATTATACTTCAACAAAGCTGTTTAATTTTTTTTAAAAGAAGAAGCTTTATGGAGAACATTTCCCTTGGGAGAATTCAACTGACTTCCTCTTCTCTCACAGGCTGTTAGTATCTCCTTTTGTGCCAGGCCCCTTTAATCAGTATCCCAATCTCTTAATCTTAAAAATACCCTTCCCCTCACAGGCCCTGCTACTCAATCTGATCTGATCTCTAAACTTTGTTGCCAAAGTCACTTTCTTGTCTTCTTTGCTTTCCCCTGACCTTTAGATATATTATATTCTGCCTCCACCATTTCACCAAAATCATTTTTTTAAGTCATGAATAGCTTTCTTATCAATGGATGAAATTAATTTTATAAGGCTTTGGTATCTTTGAATTTTGTGTACTTTCTGACATTGTTGACTCTCTCCTTCTGTATTAAACTCCTCGCCCCTTGGTTTCCCTGAAACCAGACTTTTTCTTCCGCATTTCTAGCCAATGTGTTGGAATCATTGAATGTTGAACTTGGGATCATCCTTTCTATTTTGATTGTGTCTGTGTTTGAGGCCTCTTCTATTTTCATTACCCTGTTCAAGTGTGATTTCAGGTACTACCCAATGCTGCCTCTCTACTCTCCCAATCCTGCCTCTCCCCTCTCCTTCCTTGTTTCCATGAATAGCCTTGTGCCCAACCCACAAATCTGACATCATCTTGCATTTCTCCTTTCCTTTACTGCTCCACATATGATCAATCACTAAATCCTGCTAAATCTGCCTCCTAAATATCTATTTTCTGATCCCACTTCTCTCTGCTCTACCACCAACTTCTGCAGGAGACCACCATTTCCAGTACCCAAGCCTCCAGTTCTTCCCCAGTCCTCTGAGTCAGCATAACTGGCCTTTAACTGGGATATGCACACCTTCTCTGTAGTTCCAGGTCCCCACGCTACTCCTATCATATTATGTTTTGTGCAACTAAATATCACTGAGTTAATTGATTTTTTGCCTTCTAGATTTTAAGATCTGTGAGAGCGAGGTCTGTGTTGACCTAATTCACCAGTGTATTTACAGGGGCCCCAATATTTCAAGGAATGAATAAATGCATAGATTAAAAACAAACAAACGAGGTTTTCAGTTGTAAGCTCAATATTATTCAACAGAGTAGTGGAATTTTAAAAAAGTCCTACTGTGAACCTCAGCTTCACAGAGACCATAACTTCAGCACAAAAAATGCCCTGTCCCACTCCTGGCACTGTTGGCCTACTTGCAGAGCACTCTCAGCAACACAAACAAACCCAGTTAGCAGGCAGGGTTTACATCAGTGAATAGTCTCCAAACTACACTAAATGAGGAAAATTCAGTGAGAGAATGGAACTACTTTAAAATAGTTTTGACTGTCTATGGATAAGATATTTCCTTTTTTTTTTTTTTTTTTCCCTACAAGGTCTGTGACAAAGACCACTGAAGAAAAGTTAAGTACATATTGCTTTTAGTTCAGGAAGCACTTTACGTCAGAAAAGATGCCCATAGATGGAACAGGATGATTTCGACCTCCAGTCCCTGGAAGTGTTATGTTCAAGATTCAAGATTGTAATTTGGTAAAATATTGGCAAAATTTTTAGCATTAAATGAAAGTTTTGGCTTTAGTGACTAATAATCTTTCTTTGGGTCAAGGGAATCTGTAGTAAAGCAGGAAATGGTACCTAATTCCAAATCAATAGTTACTTATTGACATAATCAGAGATATGACATATTAACATCATTCCAAGTTGCCTTGAGAAGTTAAATTTTACCTACAATAGATTTTACAGTGTGCTAACAATAAAGGCAATTTCGTAAATGCCAATACATGAAAATCATATATGTGATTTATAGGTTAGTAGAAATCAGAGAAGAATTCTTCACTGCCTTGAAGAATTAACAAAAATAAATATAGACTTTAGCAAGTACATATACAGTAAGCTAGACATAAAAAAGCCTTTGCTGACTAATAAAAAATAACAAATTAGGAAACTAACAAAGCATATCTTGGAATTTCTTACCATGGAGATAAAAATAGAGAAAATGAGGAATATTTACTGATACTGTACAATATACAAAATACTAGTCAATGAGATGAGAAATTAGTGTACAGATTTCTCTTAAAGGTGGTTAGAGGTGACCAGAGGAGAGAACATATAGTTAAAAATGACATTTATGTAAAGTCTAACACAAAGTAGAAAATGCTAGATCTCAAAGAAGTGGGATACTTTGGGAGTTTAAAGAGGGAAGAAAATGTCTCCCTTTTAAGAGAACCAGGTGCTAACATGTGGTAGAGGCTCCACTCCACTTTCCTTCATGAAATTTCAAATGTCTGCAGTCCCCTTAGGTGTGGAAAAGAACTGAGACTACAGAGTCTCTGTCTTGGATCCAAAATATGCTAAGTCTTCCATTCAAATTATTTGTTCTTTCTCAATACTGATGGGAGGAAGAAAAAAAGACAAGGAAGAAAATTAATCATCTTTATGTGAAGTAGGAGATAGTTGGGCTCCCTCAGGCTTTGCATAGGAGATAATCCCAGAAAATGAACGGTCAAGACTCTTACTGTTTCTATTTTAACAAGGATCTGGCCAATTATTGTTGACAAGCTCATGAATATGATAATCAGCTTGGTCTCCTGTTTCTCTTTATACCAAGCTTTGCAGTAATAGTCTGCAAAGTACATATATCTCTGCGCCTTCCTCTCCCAGGGCCCTAGCCTTGTTTCTGACACATAAGTTAAATTCCTGAGGTATCGATACTAAACCCCTGCTGCTCATAATTCCTTTCTATTGCCTGTCAACACCTGGTCATTTTTATCTGATGAACACACTCACCACTGGGTTTCCAAGCAGGACATTGCAGTTATTCATTTATGCCCACAATTTATTAACTCTGTTACAGTCATGAACATAAAGAGTTTGGGTGTGATTCCAGAATTTGCTGTTCCCTTTGAAATTTATTTCAAGGCACTTTGTGACCCTGTAACTTTGAAAGGCCTGTATAAAAGAGAGTTTATTATTAGAGCTACAACCAGTAGGGTGGCTTTTGTTATAGGCCTGGCAGCGATTCTATGAGAGATTTCTCTTTTTAGCTCTTTCTGTGGACTAGCCCTCAGTCAAAATTTAACAAGTGCAAACTCAAGCAAACAGGGAGTTTGTGTTAACAAAATATCATTCCATGAGTTTGTCTCTTCTGAGCTAAAATAATAGCAAGTCTTTTAAAAAAACACCATAGTAGCCTGATTTATCATTGTTTTATATATCAAAACTTTTAGCTCTAAATTCTTAAACCAGTATAAGAATATAGTGGGATAGAATGATGTCAAGGACTTGTTCACAGTAACAGTCTGGGGCCTTAATTTTTCAGGTTCTTTGTAATTTGCTTTTCTTTTATAAAAACATCATTTTTAAAAATTATAATAGACAAGGGTCAGTTATATGGACAATCAGCTATTGCTGCTGCCTATTAGCCATTTACCTATGATGTGTCACTACATTGTGCATTAACTAATACAACATGTTGATTTCACATCAAGTTTCAGTTCCCATGAGGGTGCCCAGCCTTGCCAAAGGCACTGTGTGATCATTGCATTTCAACTAATTTAATGGCATTATATCAATAATGAGGTTATACATCCTTTTCCATTTACTGTGGAAACACAGAATTTTTTGCTCATGCAATAGCAATGATATCTAATACAGTAATGAATCATCAGAGATTAGAATAAAATAAAAACAAAGAAAAAAAAGCATAGACTCATCCATCTTTTTTATCTGAAATTAACTTATTGGCACATACCTTTATGTTTATGAGTTAGGAGCCCCAGACTCCAGTCATGAGAGCTAGTTAAATTATTAACTGTACTGAATTCTATCAAACTCTTCAGGAGAGCAGCTTTGTACTTCGATGATTCTATTGAGATATTAGGAGGGAAGATTTACTATGCTCAGTCCAGGCCTCTCAAGGAAGAAATCAGGAGTTCCTTCAGTCACCACTAATCTAAAAATCCTGCATTTAGAAACTCGGTTGAATCCAGACATTCAGAGGAGACTGACTCAATGCTTGTCTAGTACATTCAAAAACTGAAACCCATAGATATGTTTCAGGGAGCTGTGAGTTCCTCATGATAATTATTTTATTCTGTGTTTTCATTTTGTGGATGATAATAAGAGACTGAATGTTTTTATCTCCCAAAAATTTTTATGAAAAAATCTAATCTCCAATATGATGGTGGTTGGAGGTGGGGCCTCCTGGAAGTGATTAGGTCATGAAGGTGGAGCTCTCACAGATGGGATTAGTGCCTTCATAAAGGAGGCCCAGAGAGCTCCCCTTCCACCATCTGAGGACATTGTGAAAAGAAACCATATATGACCAGGAAGTACACACTCACCAGACACTAAACCTGCTTACTGCTGCCTTGACTTTGAACTTTTCAGCCTCCAGAACTGTGAGAAATCAGTTTTTGTTTTATATCAGCCACCCAGCTTATGGTAATTTGTTATAGCCATCCAAGCTGAGAAAGATAAGATCATAAAGCATTGAAAACCATCACACAATGCAGTATTGTTACATAATTGAATTCCTTACGTTTGTATGTATTTTAATTACAGCATACTAATGAGGAAAGAATTAAGGTAGATTTGACATATAAATTGTGCATTTGTACCAAATTCATTCGATGTACACTATTTAAATAAATGTTTCACATTGCTTAGTTCAACAAATACTTTGGGATGGTTATTCTATATTAGACACTCCTCTGTACCTGGAACTGAAGAAATAGTGTTGAATAATTGCTTCTTTCTCTCAGAAAATATACATCCTCATGAGTCAGATAAAGAGGAAGCAAATAAACTAACACATCAACAAATTCATTTAATCATTTGAAAACTAGGAAATAGTGATGTACGCTGAGCCGGGATTACTGTGCAGTGGACAAGAGAATCAGGACAGTTGGTTGAGACCATCTGGAAAGTTGTTTCTGAAATCTGAATGATAAGAAGCAATCTGTGGTGTGAATGTCATAGGAAAGAGTATATCAGGCTGGAAATACCTCTTAGTGTGAAGTCCCTCTGGCAGAAGTACAAAAGTCCACACATAACAAAAGGCACTGGGGATGAGCTTGGTGGCCAGCTCAAGGATGGTGTGGAATGAAGTGGGGGCAGTAGCCAGTGGCAGACCATGAAGAACCTGTGCAAGCCGTGGCAAGAAGGTAGAGTTTATGCTCTGATGGGAAGCCTCTAATGGTTTTAAATGTGAAAAAGTGGTGAACTGATTTTCATTTATAGATGATAACCCAGGCTATGATGGAGATAAATACTGTAGTATAGGAAGTCAAGAAAGGAAATAAATAAACTGGTTAGATGGCTATTGCTGTGATCCAGGTGAATGAGGATAGGAAAAACTGCTGACACAATGAGGCAATGGGGAGAAGAGGAAGAATTCAGGGTGTGATTTGGAAGTAGTATTGCCATCTATGGTCATGTGCTGCATAATGATGCCACACATCAAAGATGAACCGCATGTGTGAGGACGGTCCCATGAGATTACAATGCAGCTGAATAACTCCTATTGCCTAGTGATGTCATATCACTATGAGGTAGCATAAAGCATTACGCACATATTTGGGGACATGCTGGTGTAGAGAAATCTACTATGTGGCCAGTTATATAAAATTATAGCAGATACAATGAAGTACAGTACATAATACTTGATAATTGTAACAAATGACTATGTTGCTGGTTTTGTATTTACTATATTATGCTTTTATTATTGTTTTAAAGTGTACTTCTACTTAAAAAAAAAGTTAACTGTAAAACATCTTCAGGCAGGTCCTTCAGGAGGTGTCCAGAAGAAAGTATTGTTATCACAGGAGATGACAGCTCCATGCATGTTATTTTCCCCGGAAGACCTCCCAGTGGGACAAGATGTGGAGGTGGAAGACAGTGATACTGACAATGCTGACCTGTGTGGGCCTTGGCTAGTGTATGTGTTTCTGTCTTAGTTTTTAACAAAAAGTTTAAAAAGTAAATAATAAAATTAAGATTTAAAAACAGAAAACAGCATATAGAATAAAAATATAAAGAAAGGAAATAATTTTGTACAGTTGCACAATGTGTTTTAAGCTAAGTCTCAATAAAGTAAAATAGTTACAGGAAGCTAGGGTTAATTTTTATCAGAGAAAAATATTTTTCAATAAATTTTATGTAGCCTAAGTGTATAGTGATTATAAAGTCTACAGTAGTGTATCCTAATGTTCTAGGCCTTCACATTTGCTTAGCACTCACTCACTGTCTCACCCAGGGCAACTTACAGTTCTGTAAGCTCCATTCATGATAAGCTCCCTATAAAAGTGTATCATTTTTTATCTGTCATACTTCCACCTTCCACCAACTTTTCTAAGTTTAGATAAACCAATATTCGCCATTGTTTTACAATTGCCTACCATATTTAGTACATGATGTACAGGTTTGTGGCCTAGAAGCAATAGGCTATACCATATAGTTTAGGTGTGTAGTAGGCTATCCCATCTTTGACTGTGTGAGTACACTGTATGATGTTTATACAATGATAAAATTGCCTAAGGATGCATTTCACTAGCCAAGTTTCTCCAGAAAAACAGAATCAATAAAATAGATGATTGGTAGGTAGATTAGATAGATAGATAGACACCTACCTACATACATACATACATACATATAGATATAGATCTAAAGATACATATGCTTTCACACTATGTAGATAGAATATAACAGATATCATATATCTGTATCTATATACACAATCTATAGGAAGATATTTATCATAAGGAATAGGCTCACGTGATTATGGATGCTGAGAAATCCTGTAATTTGATCGCTGCATGTTGGAGACCCAAGAAAACCAGTTGCATAATCCCAGTCTGAGTTTAAGGGCCCAAGAATCAGGGGCATCAATGTTGTAATTTCCAGTCTGAAGGCAGCAGAAGACCAATGTTCCAGCTCAAGCCTTCAGGCAAAGAGGAGAGTGAATTCATCCTTCCTTCAACTTTTTGTTCTATTCAGGTCTTCACCCGAGTAGATGATGCTGTACACCCACCCGAGGAAGGGCAATCTGTTCTACTCAGTCTACTGAATCCAATGTTAATCACATCCACAAATGCCCTCACAGATACCCCTAGAATGATGTTTGACCAAGTATCCAGGCACCCTATGATCCAGTTAAGTTGTCACATGAAAACTTGCCTAGGCCCAAGAAAAGAGAGAGGTAGCAATCACCCCTGTGAGAGGGCTAGAGGGGAAGGGAGGAAGTAGGTAGGGAATAGGCTAGGGGCATCAAGCTCAGAACGGGGAAATTCTGGAGGCCGGCAGACCCGCGTGCTGCCGGGAAGCACTGGCCACGCCAGGCCATTCTGCTCTCATGAGGAGCTGCTCTCCACCAAGTTCTACAAAAAGCCACGTCCGTCCCTACTTCCAGGAACCCAGTTTTGCAGATGCTCTTCCTCCAGACTGTCCTTGACTCTTGATAATTTTGAGTCCCCAGAAAGCTTCAAGGGCACCTAAAAATATTCACTTCTAATTTTAATTCCATCGCAAACTGTCCCGGTGTACTTTCAGGGCTATTTAAGGCTCTTAAGGGAATCTATCTGACAGACACAGTTTCATGTTCCATAGCAACAAGGTCTTCTATAACAAGGACTCTAATCCCAGAAGATTCTGGGTGTTTGTGGTTTTAGTTGGGGGTGAGGGGAAGAGTCCACTCTCATTCATAGCAGGAAGAACTTTCCATCCCTCAGACCCAGAGACTTCTTGGATTCTAGAGACGGTCCCCATAAGTCTAGAGACGGTCCCCGTAAGTGTAACACTGTTGCTATGCACACCATCCCAAGTCATTTGATTATTACAAGGAATGTTTCTTCACCAAATCACAAATTTTCTATGACTAATTTCAGTGAACCAGTTAAGCAGAAGGATTTTTAGAAAGAGTCACAGTGATAGCAATTCTAGGTGGAAACTTGAGCAGGCAACATGAAGAGGCAGTTTATAAAATGAAAAAGGACTGTGGTTCCACCAACACCCTTCCCTTTCTCGGACAAAACACCAGGAGGCTTGTTCACCGTGAGGGAGACAGTACTCACAAAAGCTGTGGCACCCACATTTACTTGTTCTGATGGGATGAAAAGCCAAACTAAGAAGGAATCAGATGGAAGCACAATTTTCACAACTACCTGGATTATTATTTATGAAGGGGATGGCCTTAAAAAGGGTAAGGGGAAGAAGAAGTGCCCTGAGAATTCAATGCTTTATGCATGGCACAGTTTAAATATTTGTATTGTCTCAGCTTAAAATAGCAAAAGGAATGTTCCTCCTCCCACCAAAATCTTATTGAAGAGTGGTCTTCCCACAGCCAAGTGGGTCTTTGTGCCTATTCATTTCCAGGGACAGAAAACCACTGTTTTTCTGTGATCCAGTCCCCAGTGTTTAAAAGCTAGCCTGACCCCACCCCATAGTGCTTGGCAGGGAAAGAGTCACTTGTTTGGCTGAGAATACGGCATCTTCCGTCTCTCATGATGCCGGTCAATTTCGTACTTTCTTCCAAGAAAGTACACCAAAATGGAGGCACTGCCTTTCAATTACTTTTTGCATTAAAGACTTTAACTTGTTTATTCCAACTGCTTTGGTTTCTTACAGTTTTATGAAAAAGGCAGCTTCTTAAAATGGAGTTGCCTCCTGATCTGGCGCACGCCTTGTGACTTAGGAGGGCATTTGTTTCCCACTGCCTGTCAACATCTCAGCCCTCCATGCTCCCAGCACAGGCAAAAATGGGTTAACAATCATTAAACCACCCACTTCTTATGGAAGGAACTGAGGTGAGTACTAAATATTCTTTTATTTTGGGCCCCCCCTTTTTTTTTTTAGCAGCGAAACAATTCTGTTTCTCTAATTTCTTCATGGCACAGACTCTGCTGTGTTCCAGTAGGGTTGCGGGAGAAGGCACTCTGCAGAGTTACTAGTTGTGTTCCCTAGCCAAAGGCAACAGTGAGATTCAGAAGCAGATCATTGTTACTGAGATCACAGGCCTTATCAATGGCCTTAGGCTGATCTCATAAGGAAAAAAAAATCCAATATTACAGAGAAGGACTCTAAAAAAGCGGTAACTTTTTTTTTTTAAAGCCGACATTATTTGGGATTGCTGTTTCCAAGGCGAAAAACCAATAGTGTGTTTTTTCCATGCATGGAAGGAAATATGATTTTAATTTGTATGACTGGCAACCAAACAATGGGCAACCTCCCAGTTCTTCAGTCCCTAAAGGACAGAAAAAGGAATGACTTGCAACATCTTCCAGCTCTGAAGTCAGTTTCTCCTCCTGAGTCTTCTAAAGCTACCACTAATATTCTCTTGCAAGTTTTAGGTTACCAAGGTATCACCTGGTATTACAACATGCAACAGTGTTTAAAATGTGGTTTTCACAGATTCTTGTTAATAAAGCACTCTTTGGTAGAAGACAAGCAGCTTGGGTACTTATCAGAGTTAATATTACTACAGTATTACAAACAGTCAAGTGAAGATGGTAAAGCCAAATAGTATCAAATTACAGAAAGTACCATTTCAGTAATGCCTTTTGTATCTTTACAAATTTTGACACAGGGTCACAAGCTGAACAGAAAATAAATACATTAAAAAACCTCCATCAGATCCTCAATTCTTCTGAAGGCCATCAACTACAATGCTTGCCATCACAAGGACACACATGCACCACAGACCAGCCAGCTCCCTGAGTACCAGAGGGCTTGGGTATTTACACCTGAGACTAAATTTACAACAGCATTTTTGTCATTCAGCTTGAGAGCTGGGCCTTTCTTTGAGTCATTCTTTTTGGGAGCAAGCCCCCCAAAATCCAGCCATAAACTGGCCCCAAAACTGGCCATAAATAAAATCTCTGCAGCACTGTAACATGTTCATAATGGCCCTAATGCCCACGCTGGAAGGGTGTGGGTTTACCGGAATGAGGGCAAGGAACACCTGGCCCACCCAGCCCAGAGTGGAAAACTGCTTAAAGGCATTCTTAAGCCACAAACAATAGCATGAGCCATCTGTGCCTTAAGGACGTGCTCCTGCCGCAGTTAACTAGCCCAACCTATGCCTTTAATTAGGCCCATCCCTTCGTTTCCCATAAGGGATACTTTTAGTTAATTTAATATCTATAGAAACAATGCTAATGACTTGTTTGCTGTTAATCAATATGTGGGTAAATCTCTGTTCGGGGCTCTCAGCTCTGAAGGCTGTGAGACCCCTGATTTCCCACTTTACACCTCTGTATTTCTGTGTGTGTGTCTTTAATTCCTCTAGCACCACTGGGGTAGGGTCTCCCTGACTGAGCTGGTCTTGGTACATTTGCTTGCACCCAAACTCAAAAGTTCATTACTGAAACCCCGTGGACATTTTCCCCATTGATTAGCTTCTTAGGTGGAAAGCAACTAAGTCTTTTGCAATTTTGTTTTGTTTTCAAATTGTGCTAATTTCTGTTGCAGTTTTCAGTTCCTAGAGTCTTCCTTCAGTTCTGGTCACAGGTTTTTACTTAATGCAAAACCATTTTAGTCCTTGAAATGGAGAGAAGCAGCTATCTGTCAGGGGGTCCTGATGGCTACTATGTTCTGAAATCTTTGAGTCAGAATAGCAGGATGGGAAGAATGTAGTCACAAACAATCCACCAGATGACAACACTACACAGTGTAAAGGTCAGCACAGCCAGGGGAGATGGGAGAAGAATATCGTTTGTTTTTGATTGTCTTCGCCTTTTCAGGGCCCGACTTCTATCACCTTGTGTCACTCCATTGATTTCGTCGTCATCACTGTAAGGTTTGGGTTCTTGCTGGTCTTGATTCTCGACCCCATTTATGGAAATGTCATCAACACCAGAGAGAAGTTTGGAGAAGGCTGCTCTGTGTTGTCCATTCTCCTGCCCCTTTAACCTCTGACGAAAATAGTCCCCTTCCAGCCAGAGGCTTGTTTGCTTCATCACCAAAAACTGCTGCTGAGGCCCGATCACCAAGCCAGGTCTGCAGATCCTTACCCACGCAATGGTCTCGGCTGCTGTCATCCTGTAATGCTTCATGATGTAGCAGGCTATCAGAGTGCCTGTGCGACCAAGGCCAGCTTTACAATGTACTGCAATGGCACCCTCAGCATTTTCACAGATATCCAGAAATCTTTTGACAATGGCATCAGTAGGGGTGCTGCCATCCGCAAAGAAAAGATCATGGTGATCGAAGCCAGCATCCGTAAAGCGTTTGGCATCATACATCCTTTTATTCAGACGAATAATGGTAGTAACATTGTGATTCTTAAAATATTGAATATAAGTCTCGGGAGAATGTTGGTGGTAACCACTTTCAAGTCTGGCTCTTGAATGAGGTCCACAGAAGGCAATAAATCGGTCTGGTATTATCCAATTTAAATCTCCGTTTTCTGCTTTTTCATAGTGTTCATATTCATCAAGGTTAAATGAGTTGAAATTAAGGAAGCCATACTGCATTGCCTTCTTTACTGCATGAAAACAGTCAAGAAGTGTAATGTAGAAATTGCAGCTTCCATAGGCAGCATCTCTGAAAGGAATATAGGGTGTATCTCCAAAGATTAATATTCTATATGCTGCTTCTGGGGTTCTCCCCAAGTATATAACCATGTAGCATCCAACAAGGAAGGCAGCATTTGCTTGTTTTCTCTGATCAGAGCCAGTAAAATGAACAATTTTCTTCCTTAACATTGTAATGGACTTTAATTTCTTATTTATCTTGCAACAATATCTGTAAACCATTGCCAGATTGAGTGGTCCAAAGTCTTCGGAGAAGTTCTCATATTCGAGTTCATTATCTATGCTGAAATAATGTACATTTGATGCACTCTTTGGTCTGCTGTAGAGAATGGCAAAACGAAGGCGATCGGTGATGTCCACGTACACGTCGTCCTGGGGGTCCCGGCGGCGCGGGTCCTGCAGCGTGGAGCTGCGCATCTTCTTCACACCCTGCGAGGTCAAAGAGCAGCGCGGCGAGCAGTGGGGCGCGGCGGCCCAGCTCGACCGCCCCTTGCTTTTCCGCTTCCTGGAGGCCGCCGCGGCCAGTCAGGGAGCAACGACCACGGCCCCGCGCGCGCCGCCAAGGCTGGCGCCAGTGCCGCGCGGGCTCTCAGGACGGCGGGCACAGAGCGGCATTGCAGGGACGGCGGGAGCCGGCGGAGCCCGAAAAGAGGCGGTGGTGCAGGAGCCAGAGGAGGGGCCTGGCCCACAGCGCCTGCCCCGCTCCCTCCCGCAACCGCCCTCCCTTTGCTTTTTTAAACCATGAACTGAAGGGCTATATCATACTGACATCAACAAAGTGTTGGATGAATAAGTCATCATGCTCTTGTCATAGCAACCACCTGGATCTTAACCTTCTCTCCAGTCTCTGGAAATTCAGCCAAATAAGTGTTACTTCGAGTATGACTTTATTACCAAATGACAGTATTTTTGAAGCACTCATTTAGGATCCATTAAAAGTTGGAGGTTGTGACCATTTGATATTGAAAGTCATGCCTGCTTGGAGACAAGTTAATGTTGACATATTGCTCTTTCACCAACTCTCCCAATACCCCAACCTTGGAAACATGGGGCCACAAGATAGTTAAATAGATAGTTTAAAAGATGGCATTTCTTTTTTCTGTTCTATGTGGGCTTTCCAAAGAAAAGTCTTGGAGAAGCTAAACAATGTGTGTAGAAGATCACACAGGGATATCACAAGTGATAAATTTTATACCCAATGTCATCCCAAAGCCAATGTGCAGCTTTGCACTCCTTGGCAACGGAACAGGCCTCTCTCCTTCACAAAAGAGAGCTTCGTGAAGCTTCATCCCTAAGTTTTGGTTTGGGGGTAAAATAAAGAAGAGGACTGATGGGTTGTTCTTGAGCTTACTACTCATTCATACATCTTCTTGCCCTTTCTGTTTGGTGGGATTTCCCCTAATCATTTATATCCTTCTGGTGTCCACAAGGAGTGAGACCTAAATTCCCAATTAGATAGGCTTTATGAAATTTTAAAAGTAAATGTATATATTAGAGTTAGTTTAGGAGAAAGGAGAGAAGAGTAAAAGAAGATGGGTAAAGATTCATATTTGTCCTTAAAGATTCAAGCTTCTGGATGCCACAAATATTTTGATTAATGGGGACCTCAAGAATAATTTTGCTCACCACTGTCCCAATGCTTGCCCCCCGTCCACAATATTTCTGTCCAGTGAATGCATTGTATTTTCTTTTCTCCAGTTTCTGTTGGAATACCCGTATCTGATAGGAAACACACGTCTGAAGGCATGCAGTGAGGATGTTGATTTCCCTTGCCTTTTCTTATCATTTATTAATAGATTCAGAAACAATTTACTGAATGTTTGCTCTTTGCTAGAGACCTGGTTCTTGCTAAGAAATGCGACTTTTCATATGAGACAGTCTTGCTCTTGGAATTTGCTTGTATAGTCACCACACTATCCATGAACACTTAGACCCCTGTTTATAATAATTTTAAAAATCCTAAAGACAACTGATTAGAAAAGTCACTTCATCCAGGTTGGGCCACTCAGATCCCTTCTTCTATGAGGTAAACTTGAGTCCCAGAGCCCCTCCTTATTCTCTTTGCGGTCCCCGAGTGAAATGCTCATGTAAAATTTAATCTGGGTAGCCATATCTGAAATAAGTGAAAGGTAGGCTGAGAAGGCCATGCTTCTAAGAAAAAGTAATAAAGCAGACTCCTAGAGAGAAACAACAATGATTGACCACGTGGCACCAGAGACGATGGAGACTGTTATCTACCCTTTCAGCCTGAGGTGGTTTCCCTCTAGTTATTGGCATTTGCTTCTCAAGAGATCTTCTCCTTAAGTTCCGGAGATACTATCTTATTCTTCCTTCCCCAGTCCTCCTGCAATTGTCTGGCTAGTCTGAGAGTGTTTGTATCTACAACTCAATGATTTCTGCCTAGGTCTTTGTTATTCAGGTAGCCACAGGAACAGACTCTTTTGACACATCTGAAAAGATATGTCCATGGCCGCTTCTCTGTGGGAGGAAAGTAAAGGGCTCTACTTTTCTCAGAGAGGTTATTTATTTTTCATTGTTGAATCCCTTTTGCTCCTTCTACCTTTACTGTTGAACTCCAATGTGTGTGGAGGGTGTTGGGCATGGAGAAAGTTTTATTTTCTCACCCAAATTAGCTACCATTTTGACCACCATTTCTGCATAAGGTGGGATATACAGACAACTAGAGGAAGGTTTAAAGAGCAGTCTACTAATTGTCTCCAAGATCGTCTAAACTTTACAGAGTCAAGGCTGTGTGGAAAAGTAAGCTATTCTGTAAGGTTGGATCAAACAAAAGGGGAGGTTCTCACTGGTCATGCTTATTGAAAACAAAACCCAACAAATGAGGATAACTAAATTACAATGACCAAACAGGGTTGTCATGATGCCACAGTTACTCCCCTGAAATTCCTGTACCTTTTTACTTATAAGAATTCCAGGAGCTGGGTTCATCACAAACTGATAATGACTATTCCAAGAAGTGCTGTAGCCTTTAGCCAATCATCTGTTAGCTCCTTTCTGTTGACCAATGGTATTTCTGGATGAACAGGCTGAGACCACCTTGGTATACCTCTTCGTTTTGTCCTTAAAAATCTGCTTGTAACCTCCCCAGCTGAAAGCACTTCTCTGACGTAGTTTGCATATGTGTTTCCCGGGTTACACTCCTCAAATTTGGCCAAAACAAATTCTTTACTTATGCTAATTTTGCCTTAGACTTTTATTTCAGATCAACATTATGGATGCCTTAGATGGATGTGTTTTAGGTGACCCAGTTGTTCAATGGGTCGCCTCCATTCTTTATCTCTTTCTAAAACCTCTTATTCTTCCCTTAGTCTTATTCTTTTAAGTCTTTCCCCCATCCTAAATTCTAGTCCTCATTTTTTGTCTAT
Organism: Homo sapiens; assembly: GCF_000001405.40. Classification (NCBI taxonomy): domain Eukaryota; kingdom Metazoa; phylum Chordata; class Mammalia; order Primates; family Hominidae; genus Homo; species Homo sapiens. Next base: position 48,921,703 of record NC_000007.14, on the reverse strand, counting down.
TTTAGTTACTCTTCCCTAAATACATATCCAATCCCGAATCTCCTCTGAATTTTATGGTGAGATTATTATCCCCAGCTCCTCACAGCTGCTTGTTTATGCTCCTGGGGAAAGAGAAACTATGGCATCAGTCATGGAGTCACCTCTGCAGCCTGGCTTTCTCCCTTCCCTTTCGTTTGAGCTCCAGCTATAAGCTCGTTCCCAGAAGCTATACTTGCTTTGGCGCTTATACTCATTCTGTTCCCTCTATGTAAAGTAAATATTCTCCTACATTTCCTAACTTTGTAGCTTACAATCCTCTGTCCAAACTTGGTGGTTCCCAGAGTACTTGCATCTTATTTGATTGTTTGGTCACTGCACCTGAGAATTTGCCGTGTGTAATTCTGCATAAAGAAATACTGTATGGTAATATATTCAACATACTATCTCACATGCTTACCTGATACATCTGCTTGTATGGCTGTGAAGTTTAAATAACTTAAAATACAAAAAAATTAGGGCTATTGGATTTGGGAAATACAAGAGTTGTAAAATGACTTATTAAATAATACAACAGTAAATGCTTTTATGGCTTCTAGTTATTTTTCAAGCTGGAAATTATTTGGCATATAAGAAAATGCAGGAATTCAAGCAAGATATTTGTCATAAAATAAAATGATTAAGGTGGGGATTTCATGTGGTTCTTTTATTTGCTCCTCTTGCGTCAGAACAATTCAGGAGGTTTGTGCTTATGAGCCGTTTATGACACTTAATTCGTCTTTAAATTAAGGCATATTTTCACTCCAGGATTGTTTTTCCCCTCCATATAAAAATAAAAGACAAGCTTTGTAAGGCCTATGAACAGTTTAACTAAGTTGCTTGCCCTTCATGCCAGTGACAAGTAATGAGTAAGAACTAGTAGGTGTCATTGAGAAAACAGACATTGTCACTCCAGTGTCAATCAAAATTATCTGGTAGTGAAAACTGGACTTTAAATTTTAAAAATAATGTGAGAGCTGCTAGAAAAATTATGAAGAATTGAGTAGGGTCACAGCACTCGACAAATCTTCCAATTTCTCTGCCACTGGCTTAGTGTCACCTGTACATTTTCTAGTCTAAAAGAATGTAATAGCCCAACAGGGTCAGCAGCGATATGCACCTCTCCCAAATACATTTCTGTTTACATTCCTGAGGTCCAATTATGATAACAATGACATAATATGAATTCTAAACACATTTGTATTGTTGATATAGTAAGAAATTTTTCAACTAATTAGAAAATTCTACCTTTTAAAACTGCACAGTTAATAAATATAACACATACGCATGTGCTGCTGTTTCTGCTTTTGTTTTTTGTTTTAGCTAAGAGCTAAGCCTATGACTACTACTTCAGGAATGTTTGTCAATTTAATATGAGCTGAGGACCATCGCACTTCTAGCCTTCAAGCTTGTATTCTATCAGGAAGAAGGGATAGAGAAGAATTGGTAGAAAACATTGTATATCTTTGCCAGGCACATGTTTGTAGTCCCAGCCATCTGAGAGACTGAGGTAGAAGAATCACTTCAGCCCAGGAATTCAAGACCATCCTGGGCAACATAGTGAGACCTTGTCTTTAAAAATAAATAAATACAAGTAAGTTTTAAAATAAAATAAAACAAAATATGTGTTTTTTAAAAAATTGTATGAACTCAACATATAGGTAATTTTCTTCATTTGTTTCATTATTAATGAAATTAAGGAAATACAAATATTCATTTTAATACAGATTTATTACTTAGAAGTGTTTGAACATCTTTACACTATTTACTCTTTTATCACAAACCCTTCATTGCTTTTTATTCTTGGCACCATTCTTAGGAAAATGGAGACCACAGCACCAGCTTCTCCCTGCAAATCCCCATTTGTGCTTGAGCAGCCAAGTGGTTCACACTTCTTGCCACATTCAGAAGAAACTTCATTCATTATGCCAAAAATAACTGAGAAATAATGAGAATGTTTCCTATAAAGTCTAAAAATCATACTAAAGAGGGGATCCATTTATACTGCTGTTAGGAATTGAATTGTGTTCCTCCTTTCAGATTTCTGTGTTGAAGTCTTGATCCTCAGAACTTCAGAATGTGACTGTATAAGAATACTGGAGTAGGTTGGGCCCATCATCTTATATGACTTGGGTCCCCATACAAAAAGGAAATTTGGATATCTCAACCTGAATGAAAAAAAGATAATCCATATATACCAACTTTAAGGTGAACCAAATATTAAAATTATCTAACAAAGATTTTAAAGCAGGTGAATTGAAAATGCTCCAACAAGCAACCAACCACAGATGAAAAATATTAAAAAATAATAAACAGCAATACGATAAAAATAATACATATAAGAAACCAGTATAGTATAACAACTATTTACATTGTATTAGGTATTCTAAGTAACCTAGAGATGATTTAAAGTATACAGGAAGATGTGCATAAGTTATATGCAAATACTACACTATTTTTTATCAGAATCTTGAGCATCCTCATATGTTGATATTCAAGAGGGGTCCTGGAACCAATCAATCACCCATGGATACAGAGGAATGACTGTACACAGCAAAAAAACAAAACAAAACAAAAACTAGAAAGCGTCAGCAAAGAATTAAACAATTCAGCAAAGACACAAAAACATAAAGACTTTGAGAGAAAAGAGGAGACCAGTTGGGCACAGCTGCTGTAATGTGATAAACAGCTTTGAAAAACTAGGTAATTTTACTTTTTTATTTGTGGTTACATTAGTTTGCTAGGGACAATCACTTTAATCATTTTTCTCCTGAGTATGATGTCCACCTGTATTTCTAAAACAATTGGCTTATGTCATAATTTCTTGTTTTTCAGATTTTTGTTTTGTTTTTTTTTTGAGATGCAGTCTCGCTGTGTCACTCAGGCTGGAGTGCAATGGCATGATCTCGGCTCACTGCAACCTCCGCCTCCTGGTTTCAAGCAATTCTCCTGCCTCAGGCTCCCGAGTAGCTGAGATTACCGGCACCTACCACCATGCCCAATTAATGTTTGTATTTTTAGTAGAGACAGGGTTTTGCCATGTTGGTCAGGCTGGTTTTGAACTCCTCACCTCAGGTGATCCACCCACCTCAGCTTCCCAAAGTGCTTGGATTACGGGCATGAACCACTGCGCCTGGCCCTGTTTTTCAGTTTTAAGAATTGTCTGTTGACTTGCTGCTATGCAAAATGAGGATACCATTGTTGAACACACACACACACTCACCACCTCCTTTCATTTTCCCAGGGTAGTTTTGGATTAGAGCAATATCCTATGTTACATTTCTAGGATAAAATGTATATTATCTGCTTCTGAATGGTGGAATATATTTTGAGATAAATTACTTCCTATATGCATTTCTTAAATTACCAACTTACCTTATATTTTTACTTTTCTCTTTCTTTTAAGCTTCTTCATTGTTTGCTATCCAAGTTACAGTCTAATTTGAGACTTTCTGAGGATTGATCAGAGTCTGTCCTTGGCAGTGGGAAAAGTGGAATGGAAAAAGTCTTTTTGCTTTTTTAGTTTTGTTTCCATTTTGAATTCCATACATGTGTTATTTTGATAAAAAATTAAAATGTTGTAAGAGAAATAAAAGCAATTACTAGGAGCTTAGAAGAAGTTAAAACTTTTTTAAGTACTTGAGATTATTATATGCTCCCACTGTCCACCGATTTTATAAAGAGAAGTTGAGGACCAGAGAGACTGAGAAAACAGCACCATTCCACAGTTAGGGGAGCCAGGGCTTCAGCCCACATCTGTCTGACTTCCAGTCCAATCTCTGTGCAATACCTTAATGAGAGGTGGGGGGAAGAAGCAAGGGTGACATGGGTTGGCATGCTGTCTGTTCAGAGGATACCTTCCAGGCTTGGAGAACAACACTGTGATGAGGCACCATGATTCAATTTGTAGCCAGAAAGGTAATCCACGTCACAAGGATGACAGGGCTGAATTACAGAGGGCTGGGAGCTTCTGTCAGGATTAACTGGTCACCTGAGTAGAAGAAAAGACACTCAGCTGTGAAGCAAAATGAAACAATTACGATAAGAAGGCCCCGCTCAGGTTTACTTGCAACTATGAAGTACTGTTTTCTAGACTTGAGCTTAGTTTGGGCAAATTAGCAAATTTATATATAAATGAACAAAGGAAGACCGTTTCTTGATCAAATTAGTCAAAATCCAGTGCCATGTGTCTTCCTTGCTAATGTTAGTTTACTTCAAAAATGGGTTATTTATGCTAATCTTTCATCCATCACCCCAAATCAATTAGCAAAGTGCGCAATTGCTTAACAAGTAATGCCTATATTATAAAATACTCTCTAATACCTTAAGATGATGTATAAATGTTGGGTTTTATTTGTACCTCTCACTATCCCTTTATGTTACAGGCAATAATACAGCAGGCCATTAATGTCTATTAAGTAATTGCTTGTTTATTAAGCACTTAACTGAAGTGCTTCTCATTAACACAGGGGGAATTTAAATAAGAAAATAATAGGAAAATAAATTGTTGACAAATGGATGTCATGGCATATGGCTACTGTTGTCAAGGCTTGCAGTGATCAGCATCTCACCTTTTTTCTTCTTTCACATACTTATCACATTTCTTTTGTGTTCTAGTGTCTGAGCTAGGTGTTGGGGGTGCAGAAATATTCTACAAGCAGTCCTAATCCTGAGGACATGGAGGAAAGAGCCACCACCTGTCTGTCTTCAGGGGAAAGGTAATGCTTTAGTGAGATGTTAAGCTTGAGTGGAAGTTTTTCCATCAGAAGAGGGTGGAAAGGCTCACTCTGAAAGGGCACAAGGCTACACCAAGGCTTGTTTCCTTTGCCTCTGAAGTGTCCAGTCATCATGAGCAGGTCTTGCTATGGCACTAAGTGTTTTATCTATGAAAATATGATTCTTTAGAAATATTTTTCCTGGTAGTTATGATAAACTCCTTTAAGATTTTAATGGAATATAATTTACTTCACATACGTAGGCTCTAAGGCAAGCTTGTCCAACCTACAACCCGCGGGCCACATGTGGGCCAGGACAGCTTTGAATGCGGCCCAACACAGATTCATAAATTTCTTAAAACATTATGACATTTTTTGCAATTTTTTTAAAGCTCATTAGCTATGATTAATATATTTTATATGTGGCCCAAGACAATTCTTCTTCTTATAATGTGGCCCAGGGAAGGCAAAATTTGAATACCCTGCTCTAAGGCTAACAGATCTTCATATAAATCCCAAATCCTCTGCTCTTTACCATGTGACTTCAATGTACTACATCTACTTGAAATTGTCTCCTCATTTTGAAATTATAAATAGCATAGCCTACGTGCTAGAGTTATGTTGAGTATTAAATGATAGAATGATAGTAACTAGCACACTGTTTTTCATCTCATTTTGCTTTATTTCATGTGACTGTGTTATACTATCTAATGTGAATGAAAAATAAACAAGATTTGGTTCTTTGCAAAGAAGAAAGTTCTAAAGCCTTAGAAGTTAGTGTCAAGTTTCTATGACCTTTCAGAAATGTATTCATGGATCAATAGATACATTGAAAATGGATATTTATGAACATCATTGCGTAAGTTCAAGAAAAAGAGAAAAAAGTGATATTGACAATGGCTGAATGTTGCATGATGTCTTTCCTCATAGAATCAGAGTCATGAAAGTATTTCTGAGATGAAGAAATATTTCTGAGACTGGGCCTTGATATAAGCTGTAACAAGGCTAAAGTAGGCCTTTCTCTGGGCTAGGGACACATTAAGAATCTGGAAATAATATGCATATAGTAGCTGTTTAGGCCACGCCTGGCAAGTATTCTGGGTATATATTTCCTTTAAGAACATAACCAGTGAGATTAGCTTGAGTGCTATTGATTTGGCTGCCATTCATCAAAAAAAAAATGAAGAAAAGTAGACAAAGAATTTAAATTAGGGGTTAGATCTGCTGAAAATTATAAGGCTGAGATTTCCTTTTTCAGTGAAAATAACTTAAGAAGCTTAATTACTAAGTTAGGAATTTCTAATATTCCCTCAATTCCAATACACACACACACACACACGCACACACACACACAACTTGAAGTTTTCTCCTCCAAATACTTACAATGTTTTATAATTTGAATGCCACTCCAATAAATATGTTCCTGAAACTGTTCTGAATCTTCATTCCAGACCCCTCTTTAGCTAGCTGAACATTCCCAGCGAGTGAGTAAGTCCAATATGGTATTGATTGCTGTTTTGGTGTTAGGTATTAAAAAAGATTATCATTATTGACAAGAAACTAGTCTCTCACTTTGCCCTGTTGGACATTACCTGAATTGTAGCCAAGAGTAGCCTTCAGAATCTGTGTGTGAGGGTAACCATGACCTTGAGTAGCCATCTCTGAACACTGCAGGAAACAGGAAAGGAGGCATGTGAGGTAGAAGCTCACATTTTTCCACAGCACTGATTTTTGGCTGCTGTTCACCTTGCAGGCTCTTCTGGGAGGCTTCACAGATCCGGATAAATGATGGTCTCTGCTAATGTTACATGTTAGAAAAGCAGACTGCGGGTTGGCCAGGATAGCTGACCAGAAACACCAGTATTATAGGTCACCTACTAAATTCCAGCTCTAATGATATACTTTTGGAAAATATAAAGAAATTTTCTGTTACTTAATGGCAATTGATAGATTGCTTATTTTACTTTTATTTGAAATGTTTCAGAAAAATTCCATCCATGTAGGCTCCAGGACAGAGTGGGCTCTTCTCATGATTCCTCTAAAATAACCTGGCCTGGACTGGACACTCTTACCTATCATAATCCCATTATTTCAGTGTCTGGCCTGTAAGCTGATATGTTCCATAATGGGCCTGCACTTAGCACTTCTATGAATCTCTTAGTTCTTGATATTCTCTCATATTTATGCGTCATTCTCCCCTAAAGCTCATAAGCCACCAGGATGGTACAGTGTATTCTCAAAAGCATCTAACCATGCTCAGCATTTAATTGTCATATAAAATGCTCTCTAAATTACAGAGGATGACAATTCGTATTTTAGCTTCAAATTATCTATTTTGAGAGGGCTAAAGTAAACAATTTTATATGCAGATGATTATTTAAATGGTAAATGATTTGTGGAAAATATAACAACTTGAAAGCGGAATATGAGTTGTAGTCTTTGTTCGGCCTAAAAGTGTCCAAGCTGTAAGTTATAGGAATAGTCCATGTAAATCCAGCTCATCTGAAGCTCTTTTACTAATTCACTGTGCAGCATAAGCCCACTCACTTTGTCCCCATGTGATTTAATCACCTACGTAGAGTGAAATTACTAGATAAAACTCTTTCCAATGGGAACACGGTCAGGCTCCTTGTATAAGAATTTAATTTCCTTGATTACATTGAATGTAAAATGGAATAACATTAAGTAGAGTATTTATTTTTACCACTGATATAAGGACTCCAGTTTCAGCTCAGACATGTAAAGACCTGGGAAGTCGTTATATCTGCCCCACAGCAACAAGAGATCTGAGCAAAATGAAAATCAATGACTTTTCTTGGACCCATCAGAAAACTGAGGTTGTAGCATTTGTTAGTCTGCATTGCTATGAAGGAATACTTGAGACTGAGTAATTTATAAAGTTAGTTGGTATATTTTGGCTCATACTTCTGCAGGCTGCATGGGAAGTGTGGTGATCTGCTTCTGATGAGGGCCTCAGGAAGCTTACAATCATGACAGAAGGTGAAGGGGAGCCATTGTCATGTGTCAAGAGAGGGCACAAGAGAGAAGGGGCTAATTTTGTGTTTTTAGTAGAGGCAAGGTTTCACCATGTTTGTCAGGCTGGTCTCAAACTCCTGACCTAAGGGATCTGCCCCCCTCAGCCTCCCAAAGTGCTGGGATTACAGGCGTGAGCCACCCTGCCTAGCATGGTGGTGCATGCCTGTAATCTCAGCTACTTGGGAGACTGAGGCAGGAGAATCACTTGAACCAGGGAGACAGAAGTTGCAGTGAGCTGAGATCATACCATTGTACTCCAGCCTGGGCAACAAGAGCAAAACTCTGTCTCAACAACAACAACAAAAAAAAAAAAAAAAAGAGAGAGAGAGAGAATACGGGAGGTTCCAGTCCCTTTTAAACAAACAGATCTCACATGAACTACTAAAGTGAGAACTCGCTCATTATTGTGATGACAGCACCAAGCCATCCATTAAGGATCTGCTTCCATGACCCAAACTGTCCTCACTAAACCCCACTTCAAAACTGGAGATCACATTTCAACTTGAAAATTTAAGGGGTCAAACATCCAAACTATATCATAGGGAAAAGTGACATCCCGACATCTGGAGAGAAGGCTCCAGCATTTTCTCATCTGAAACAGGAGCCACTGTATATTATATAAGCCAATCAAAAATTAAAAATTGTATAGAACTTTTGGAGGCTGCGGGTGGGCTAGTGTGAGAATGTGAAGCTTCCAAAGGCTGTATTCCTAGGAGAGAGTTCCACTCTCTTGTGAGCTTTTTGTCCAGGAACTCACCCAACATTTACAAAGGGGAACAAAGAAGAACCTAGAAAAAGTTCATCCCTCACTCCTTTCCCCACACACACTGTAGTGCTGGCTGGGGTTGGTGGAAGAAGCAGCCACTGCCAAATCTACCCAGACTATTTCCAACTATGTACTTCATGGATAAAAGGCTTAATCTGGAGGGAAAATTATCAAAGTTAACCCTGAGACACTGTTTTAATTTATTAAACTGAAAGATGGAAATAGAGATCACCACCAAATCTCCAACCAGAAGCATAATCCCAGTTTCCCCTAAGCAACCAAAGTCTCAATCTGCAGGAGAAAAGGCTTCAAAACCACTGCAATTTGGGAAAAAGAAGAGGAGCAATAAGATGAGGAAGAATTTTTATCCCAGGAAAAGGGACAGGAATAGCTGTGAAGGCTACATGTCCAGGACTTAGGTTTTGATACGTGCCAAAATCTTTAGCTAAATGTGAACATCAGATAACCTTCTTCTTAGCCAGGACCACCACCACTGTAAAAAACAGCAGTAAAAGTAGCAGTGGAATACAACTGTGAAGAGGCACATGGGGAGACTCAGTCAAGTGGGAGCCAAAAAAGGGCACCAATGGAGTGGCCAGAAAGCGCTGGTGCCCATGGCACAAACAGTTTCAGATGCAGCTTGTCTTCTGACCAGATGAACATCCATCTCCACATTTAAGGCCTCACACAAGGAAACTTGTGCTTTTCTCCCAACATATAAAATTTATCTAATATCTGCTGTTCTTTTCATGTCTAGCTATAACCAAAAAATTATAAGGAATATTAAAAAGCAAGAAAAAAAGTCATTAAGTGACAAAGCAATTGTTAGAACTAGACAGAGCCATGACACAGAGGCTGGAATTATCAGACAAGGAATTTGAAAAAGAAAACTCTGCTTAACATGTTAACGGCTTCAATGGAAATGCTAGACAAAATGACAACACTCAGTGCCAGGTGGATAATTTGAATAGAGAGATGGAAATTATAAGAAAAAATCAAATTGAAATACTGGAAATAAAAATATAGCAATGGAAATGACAAATTCCTTTGATGGACTCATTAGTAGACTGGACATGGCTGAGGAAAGAATCAGTAAACTTAAACATAGGTTTATAGAAACTTACTAAACTGGAAGCAAAGAGAAAAAAAATGAAAAACAAAACCAGAACACTAATAGAACATCCCAACACTGTGGGACACAATCAAATAGTGTAACATATGCATAGTTGCATTCTGAGAATAAGAAAAGGAGAAGGGAGTATAAAAAAAATTGAAGAAATAATGACTGAGAATTTTCTAAAACCAATAAACAAAACTACAGGCCTAAGGAGTTTAGAGGAAAAAAAACAGAATTAATACTGAAAACACACACACACACACACACACACACACACACACACACACACTCACACTCACAAACACACACCCCATATCCTATTCAAACTCCCCTGAAGCCAGGGCAAAAAGCAAATCTCCAAAGAAAGTGGGAAAAAAAAATCATGCTGGTCACAGAGGAACAAGGATAAGAATTACAGCAGACTTCTCATCATAAATTATGCAAGCAAAGAGACAATGGCATGGTATACTTAAAGTGTAGAAAGATAAAACAGAAAGATAAACACAAAAATCTGTCATATATAGAGCAAAAATATTCTGCAAAAGTGAAAAAGAAATAATGAAGGCTTTCTCAGTCAAAGAAAACTAAGTGAATTCATGGCTAGCAGATATCTCCTAAAAGAAATGGGAATAAAATGGAATCACAAACATACAGACACAAAATTTAAAAATAAATGTGATCTCTGTCAGCATAGGGCAAGATCCTTGCTTGTTCTAGTCTCCAATATGTAACAGAAGGCCCACCCTCTGATCCCAGCAGGAGCTTGGGTGCCTCTTCTAATTCCAGGTAAGAGATGAGAGCTTTTGCATGAGCTGCAGTCATGAATCCAGGGGATTGGCAGCAGAGATGAGAGATCAAATCAGGAAATAGTATTCAAGATGGAAATTAAATTGGGAAACAATAGGATGTCACAGAGACAGGAATACTAGAGTAAAAAAAGGAAAATAAATGTGGATGCAGAGAAGTATTGAGATCTTGGAGGCTTCCAGAGACCAGGGGGTCTCTTCTTAATGACACGTTTGCATAAAGGAGTGGAATCCCCTTCAATGAGGTTATAGAAGTGTCATATCCTAAATGCATATCAAAGAATCATCTTTAATTCCTCAGCTTGCTCCTCAGCTTCTTTCAGTCATTTACAATCGGTATTAACATCTGTTGCTCTGTAGCTTCTCAGTCTAATTCATTTTAATTACTTTATCATGCTCAGTGAACAGATTATAAAATATTGAGTACCTAAAAACTAATTAATGATTCTATGGCCACAATTCAAAAACAGTGGTCAAACAGGGAAACATTTTCTGATATATTTAATAACAGTGTTAGCAATTTTTACAGTAGAATAAATACTAAATATCCTTTAGGGAAATGGCCCATTATTCTTTGATACCTTAGAAATAATACACAAAAGAATCCTCAAAGATAGATAAAATCTATAACTGTTAGTGCTGTATTTTTAATAAAATATTCCCACTGATATCTAAGGTAGATTCTTGACTTAAAAGAGTGACAAAGACTTTATTCTGATTGGCTGTGTTGAGTAGAATGGTACGGCAAGGAAGTAGATTCAGAAGAGAGGCAGAGAAAGAACATGGTTTATGGTACTTGCAAGACTCAAAGCTTCTGTGTGCCACAATTTCCTTATCTCCAAAAGAGAGAACAAAAACAACTGCTGGTCTTTGCACTGGGACTGACCTTAGAGTGGAAAATGACCTCTTTAGTTTCAGATAACAAGTTTCCAATCTTGTTCCAAGATAAACCAGCTTAGTTAGCTTTTCTATTCTATGAGATGTCTGTGAAGTAAGGACAATTATGCCTTCCTTATAATTTATGAATGAAAAAGGCTGTATCAGTTAATAATGCTTTCAGCTGTGTGGAGCCGAGAGCGACTCCAACTTTCCCCTTAACAAATATGGCTGTATTTCCCTCACTTCCCAGGGAGCCCAGAGGCAGCTGAGCCAGGGTCGATGTAGCACATTCACATTAAGCTTCCCATAACTCTGAGTGAAGTGGGTGGGTTCATGGCCCCAGAGTCACAGTTTCTCTGATCCAATTCTAACATCACATCTGCATTCCAAGCAGGAAGAAGGAATAGAAAGAGAGGCAGCAGCAGAGTTCTGTGAATGCTGGACTGAGCACATTTATGTTACGTGACCGTCAGAAGCTACACTGAAGGCTGGGAACATGAACACTTAGCTTTTTCTATCTTTATAATAAAATCACAGTAGGAAAAGTGGAATTTGGTGAGCCAATTCTCCCGACAGAAAGGAAGCCAAGGGCAGGGGAAAGAAGTAGCCTAAACCAAGAACTAATGGGAAAATAGGGCATACCCTAAAATATTGGAAGGGGGGCAGTGATTGATGGACTAGATATTTCTTTCCTCTGAAGGAAGAGAGCACCTGGGTGCATCTGGGATGGAATGGACAAAACTGGAAATCTTATTTAGAACCCAGCTGCAGGTTGCTGCTTTTCCTGAGAATGATGAACGAACGATGCAAGTAAACATTTCAAAGTATCAGTACCAAGCCCACACCTCATCCATTTTCATAAAGACTTTCCAAAGACCTCTGACCTGACTTTACCTGTGGCTTTAATCCTCATTCCTACATTGCTTCTGACACGGTTTCCAACCTAGTGCACCTGCCTAGGTTTGCCTAGGCTGGCACTTCCACCATTAACATCTGGGCACGATGGCAAAGGTTTTCATGCCATAAAATGTGGACTTTATCCTGTGGGAAATGTAGGTTTCAAAGCAAGGGAGTAGAGTGAACACATTTGAAATTTAGAAAGCTTCCTGTGTGTTCTCCACAGTGTGGAAATGTATTTGGATGGGTGAAACTGGGGGATGTTACAATTCAGGTAAGAGATGAGAGCTGAGCCAAGGTAATGTTAGTGGAGTGGAGGGGAAGGGTATGAGAGACAGGAGGTCACTGTGCATTTGTTGTGGAGGATAAGGGTGTAAAGCTGGTCAAAGGTGCTGACAAGACTTCAAGTTGAGTGGAAGGTCCAACTTTCATGGTAGGAGAAACAAGCTTTGGAAGAAAGATATAGAGTTAAATGACAGACCAGATAAGTTGAAATTGCCTCTGGAAATGCAGGTAGATGAGTTCCCCAGAAAGAAAGACATATGGTGACTGAAACTGGCAATAAATGATGTTTCTTTCTGGATGGAATTCCAGAATTTGAAGAAACTAAGGCCGAGGAAATAAACTGTGGAACATTGATATTCAACAGGCAGGCAGATGAAAGTGAATCAGGAGAGGAAAGTAAAAAGTAGAGAAGAGAAGGGGAAAGGTTAAAAAAAAAAAAAAAGAAAAGAAACAGATGCCACAGAAGTCAAACTAGGAGAGAACTTCTTTGTTTATCTCATAGCATGGTTAAATGTTAATAGCATGTAGTGGGTGAGAGAATAGTCTCCAGAAATACACTGTCTGCTTCAAATATTGCCTTTACCATTTATTAATTCTTTGATTTGAGGCAAGATATTTCATTCCTTCAATGTTGGTTGTGAGTGTTAAAATAGTTAATACAAAAAAGCAGGTAGAACCTTGTAAGTGTATAGTTGAGTGTAAATAGATAGCAGTCAGCAAATGCAACTTAATATTATAAAAGATGCTATAACTCCCTTTTAGATGGTGAGATTCTTAACATGAAAGTCCATTTTTTCTTGTCATTGCTGTAGCCTCAAAACTCAATGAAGGAAACATTGTTGACACTGTGTAGTTATTTTATTATCAAAACAATTGTTGTTCACTTCCAGCATTTGAACAAAAGAGAGAAAGAGAAGGAGAGGGAGAGGAACTAGGATGTACAAAACCTATGCTAATGTTTAGTTTTGTTTTGTTTTTAAGCGCATTTTAGCTATGTTTTTCAACTTCTCTTGGCCGTATGTGTTAAAAATCCTGCATTTTTTTCCTAATGCCAGGAAAATCTCTAGAATTCAGACCACTGAGAGACATCCACTACTACCACAGGGGTCACCATCTTCTTTCCTTTGCCTTTAAAAATTGAAGTGTTATGTAAATACAGTGCAATGTGGAAATCTGAAGTGTGCATCCAGGTCAATTTTTAGCTGTCTGACTTTCAATGAGATAAAGATACAAACTGTTTCTGTCACTCAGAAAGTCTTTCCATCCTTTTCCCCAGTCAATCTTCACAGCAGAAGTATTCATTATGCTGACTTCTGTCATACCATGCTCTACATGTTCTTGAATTTCATAAATTGACTCCTACACCATGTACTTTTCAACTCCACAGAATGTTTTTGAACTTTACTCATGTGGTTTTATGGCCCGTTGTTCATTCCTTGTCATTGCTGTGTAATATTCCATCGTGTGATTTATGACGATGGGTTTATCGAGATGAAGCAGCTGTCCTCTTCAGGAGGGTTGATCAGACTGTACTGTGCAATCACTAAGAATGTGGGAGTTCTTGCAGAATCATCCCACTCCTTTGAAGATTCCTGACTTCCAACCACAGAGTTGATCATCATGTGACCTGGTTCACAGAAAGAAAAAAATTAAAGGGATTTGGGGGTGGGGGTGGGAAGGAGAGACAGCAGCACTGTCCATTTGTTTTCTCTGAGGAGCTTAAATACCCTTCCCATCATCCCCTAGTTTTAAGGAACAATAAAGAATAACTTTCTGGGTCCCTTGGGTGTTTTCATTAAGTAGCCACAGAAAGTGCTAGCTAGAAAAGTCTATAGCGACTTATATACAGAAGTGATAACATTCTAAAATGGGCAGTTTTGGCTTAGGGGTGGAAAATAGTTCTCATATCTCCTAATCCAATACCTGCTTTTGGTGAAACTTTGATTTGGAGAACAGCTAGGGTCTAGCTGTACCCTCTTTTAAGTTATTTTATGCCCAAAGTCCAGCCTAGCCCTTGTGGAGTAGACATCTGTCAGGACAGCTGCCTGGGGGCTGCATGCTGGAGACGGAAGGAGGCAGAGGTGCAGAGAGGGACTAACATTTACCTCTGAAATGCTCCCATGAAAGATTGTCTGGATTTCTGCTTAAAAGTACTTTATTTATAAGATGAACTAGCTGAACTTGATATAACTGCATATATTCATTACCAAAATTTAATGTCATCTTTCCAAGCTCACCTTTTAATTTGCAATCAAAACACAAAGAAATAGGTGTACAAATGTAATATAAACACAAATGTTGCATGTAGTTGCAAAATATCAGCACATTGTAAAATTGGACATACTATATGGCTTCATTTGGATGAAATTACTTTAATTAAAATGAGAAAGCATTGAATAATCTTAGAAGTCTGAATGTGCAGCAAACAGCAGAATGGGTGAGAGTGAGCCTTCTGTAATGAACTCTCCTGACCAAAGTGGGACTTAGTGGCATATACAGTGATCCATCAGAGGTGCCATCTGTCTATGGGAATTCATTGCTAAAGTAAGGTCCTCTTAAGTTAATCTTTCAGGGTTCCTTGCACAAAGGATAGGTCTTACCAATGACGTATTTGGAACACAAAGCTCAAATACTTCATATATGAAACAATAAAATGACTTAAATTCCCTTCTCCAATTTTATGAAACAAACATCACTTGAGATGCACTATCTTAGGGGAAAGAAAACTGTGCCCTAAGCACCTACCATATGCAAGACACAGTGTTGAACATCATCGAATTATATGCAAGTGATATCATTTTGTTTTTATGACTACTATATAAATATTAATATTCTCAGTTCACGTATGAAACCATGCCATGTTCTTGGGTTATATAGATACCAAAGATCTGTTTTTCACAGTCAGGAATGATGTGATTCTGGGCTTGATCTTATTCCCTGAACTTCTGGTTATTTTTACTATAGAAGCTTAAAGAGAAAAATCAGTTAAATCTTTGGGAGCAGAAAATTTTCCTTATGAATATGCATGGCCTTATCTCTCAATGCCTTAGGTAGGGACACCTATTTGTCTTGGAAATGAATGGTACTAGTTTTCTTAATAGCAGGACTAATGATGTGTGGCTAGAACACAATCAGAAACCATACTAGTAATAAAATCATGGTGTACTTTATCATATAGTTCTTTGATATGCATAGTCAACAATGTACTGAGAATGAAAAATGGTGCTTCACAGGTAGGACTAGTCTCCTTACAGGAAAGCAGAAGTACAGGATAAAGGTAGAGCCAAGATAAACATTCCTAGGATGCCTTAGGCAGAGGGTAAGAAGACAAGGGAACCGAGGCAGTTTATCTGGACTCTGGAGAAAGGAAAAGAAGTCAGAAGGACGCTATTGGTCTAGGAAAAGATAATATTTTATCATGATTATGCTTATAATGGTAAGGAAGGCAGAAATTGGAGATTATGGCAATGATTAAGAACAAACGTATTCGGGCCAGGCGCGGTGGCTCACGTCTGTAATCCCAGCACTTTGGGAGGCTGAGGCGGGTGGATCACGAGGTCAGGAGATCGAGACCATCCTGGCTAACACAGTGAAACTCCATTTCTACTAAAAATGCAAAAAAATAGCTGGGCGTGGTGATGGGCACCTGTAGTCCCAGCTACTCGGGAGGTTGAGGCAGGAGAATGGCGTGAACCCGAGAGGCGGAGCTTGCAGTGAGTCGAGATCGCGCCACTGCACTCCAGCCCGGGGGACAGAGAGAGACTCCGTCTCAAAAAAAGAAAGAAAAAGAAAAAGAAAAAAAGTGTCATATAATCAAGGCCATGGTTTTTGTTTTGTTTTTGTTTTTGTTTTTGTTTTTGTTTTTCTGCCACATTTCCCTGCTTCTTAATGATAAACCAAACCTTCTGGGAAAAACACAGCACAGTGTGAAGCCTACTCACCAAACTGTCCCCTGTGCCCCATGATCTCCTATCAAAGGGGCAATGAATCAGCACATTCCTGATGGTTTCACTTCTTGTCAAAATAAATAGCAAATGGCAGTAGAGCTCAGCGTAGAACCAACATCAATAGATTCTGATACTGCAGGGCATATTGGTTAATGATTCTGTGAGATGCTTTCTTGGGACACCTATCTACCCCATTTGGCTGTCATTCTTTGTCTTTGCAGTTGGTTTGCAAGAGCTGAGAATTTTACATTCATTTTTAACCAGCCATACACACAATAAACGCTGGACAACAACTCTCTACAGAGAAACTTGCATCAGAATGAATGTGCAGCCAAAGAGAAATATGTTTTAAGAATAAGGAAAAAAATGTTTGTGTGTTATCTGTTTTATTTACTTGTATTTTATTTTTTAGCTTTGTACCTATGGGCCTGAAAAGGTGGTTGAAACAACAGAGGGGCTGGGTTGAAGCCCTGTCTCTATCATTAATTATGCTATCTTGTTTCATATTCTTTGTAAAAATAAATCAAAGATTACTTGACTTGATTTTCCAGTTTAACACATAGTTATGAAAGACAGCTGTCCACCAGATACTGTGTGTGCTAGGGATCTCCCGTACATCATATCAGTAACCCTTTTTGCAGTTTCACATGGTAGACATTATTATTCCCATTTTACTCAACTGAGTAAGTGGCAGAGCAGTGATTTACATGTTGATAATGTTAAATCCAATATCCTTCAAACTATGGAAATAAAATAATATATTTAAGCCATATTCAAGCAGGGGAAATACATACTTAGGAAAATGAAGTCAAAGAAAAAGTATTGAAAATGATATTTTTAAATTAGATGGTTTTCATAAAATTGAAGATCCAGTGTAAACTTCACTAGAAATAATATTTCCTTAAAAAGTGGAGAGGAGTGGGCATGGTAGCTCACGCCTGTAATCCCAACACTTTGGGATGCTGAGGCAGGTGGATCACGAGGTCAAGAGATCGAGACCATCCTGGCCAACATGGTGAAACTCCATCTCTGCTAAAAATACAAAAATTAGCTGGGCATAGTGGCGCAAGCCTGTAGTCCCAGCTACTTGGGAGGCTGAGGCAGGAGAATTGCTTGAACCCAGGAAGCAGAGGTTGCAATGAGCTGAAATCGCGCCACTGCACTCTAGCCTGGCTGACATAGTGAGACTCCATTTCAGAAAAAAAAAAAAAGAAAAGAAAAAAAAAAGTGGAGAGTACTCTTCCCTTTTCCCTTGTGCCAGAGAGCACCTCACAGCCTCGTAGGGAGGTCACAGAGTCCGTGCGCCTTTTCCTTTCTTGGGTCCTGCATACACACCTGCCCCACCCACCATGAATGAGGAGTATGATGTGATTGTGCTGGGCATTGGCCTGATGGAATGTATCCTTTCAGGTGTAACATCAGTGAAGGGCAAGAAAGTTCTTCATATGGATTGAAACCCTTACAATGGAGGAGAGAGTGCCTCTATAACACTACTGGAAGATGTATACAAAATATTTAAAATACCAGGACCACCATAACCATCAATGGGGAGAGGAAGAGACTGGAATGTTGACTTGATTCCCAAGTTCCTTGTGGCTAATGGTCAGCTGGTTAAATGCTGCTTTATACAGAGATAACTCACTATCTGGATTTTAGCGACTGAAGGGAGCTTTGTCTATAAGTGTGGACAAATCTACAAGGTTCCTTCCACTGAAACAGAAGCCCTGACATCTAGCTTAATAGGACTGTTTAAGAAACGTCACTTCAGGAAATTCCTAGTTTATGTTGCCAACTTAGATGAAAAAGATCCGAGAACTTTAGAGGGAATTGATCCTAAGAAGACCACAATGTGAGAGGTGTATAAGAAATTTGATTTGGGCCAAGATGTTATAGATTTTACTGGTCATGCTCTTGCACTTTACAGAACTGATGACTACTTAGATCAACCATGTTGTGAAACCATTAATAGAATTAAACATGACAGTGAATCTTTGGCAAGATACGTCAAAAGTCCATACCTTTATCCACTCTATGGCCTTGGAGAACTGCCACAAGGCTGTTTGCAAGGCTAAGTGCTATTTATGGAGGTACCTATATGCTGAATAAGCCAATTGAAGAAATCATTGTGCAGGATGGAAAAGTAATTGGTATAAAATCCGAAGGAGAAATTGCTCACTGTAAGCAGCTCATCTGTGACCCTAGCTATGTAAAAGATCAGCTAGAAAAAGTGGGCCAGGTCATCAGAGTTATTTGCATCCTCAGCCACTCCATCAAGAACACCAGTGATGTCAACTCCTGCCAGATCATTATTCCACAGAACCAAGTCAGTAGAAAGTCAGATATCTGTGTTTGCACGATCTCCTCTGCGCACAATGTAGCAACACAAGAGAAGTATATTGCCATAGTTACCACAACTGTGGAAACCAAGGAGCCTGAGAAGGAAGTCATATCATCTTTGGAGCTCTTGGAGCCAACTAGATGGGAATTTGTTAGTATCAGTGGCCTCCTGGTACCGAAAGACTTGGGAACAGAAAGCCAGATCTTTATTTCCCGTGCATACAACCCTACCACTCACTTTGAGACAATTGTGATGACATTAAAAACATCTATAAGAAGATTACAGGATTCGAGTTTGACTTTGAGGAAATGAAGCGCAAGAAAAATGACATCTATGGGAAAGACTAACACCAGTACATGTTATTATCTAATTAGGACAAATTTAAAATTTGGCAAATAATGCATATTATGTGAAATCAATATTGTAAGGCCTGCTTTTGTAATCAAAATGGAGAGATTGAAGAGTGCTGTGTCAGTAAATACTCCTCCCCTTCATCTTTCTAACATGTATTAACTCGTTTTCATGGAGTGGCTATTCAGAATTGACAGGTTACCACATTCTCTTCAATTTAACCAAACTGGCTTTTTTTTCTAGTGAAGGATCAGCTTTAAACAAACATTGTGATTCTGATACAGACAACTTGAAATAGTGTTTGTATCTTTTAATCAGCGTAGGCTTTGCAATTATGTGCTTCTGCTGCTCAAGAGCTGGATCCATACAGATTGTGTGCCATCTGTCATCTTGACATTCAGGAGATTCTAAATTGAATATGTCATGGTTTGGGATGGCATCCAGAAGTTTTTCCTATGACTTTATATTTTGTATTATGTCAGGTATTATGGCAGGGCACGAGTAGTATAGCCACAAGTTTGGTTTAGGACATAAAATTCTAACCAAACTCCAGACACAGGGAGTCATTTAGAGAAAGCGGTATGTGGTGTTTTAACCCAATAAAGTTGATGAAAGAAAAGGGGAGAGGAAGTAAACATAAAGCGGGTAAAGTGTAGAAGCATCTTTTATATCTCAGGCATGGCTTCTTCAACGGACCAAACTGTAATGCAGTATTGACTTGACAGATCTCCTACTTCTGTCTCAAAATGGCTCCGCATTATTTCTCTCCTACAAAATGAAGCCAAATTCTGAGAACAAACAAACAACAACAACAACAAAAGTGGAGAGGTAGTTTTCCTATTACTCTAAGTTGTGAAGGTATTCAGTTCCACAAACTAATCAAACATGTCAAGAAAAAGACAGTGAGCTCATGGCTTTGGTAAATTCTTACCACTTTCTTATTTTCCCTATGTCTTTAAATTCCTTGATCTGCTCATTTCACTACTCCATACATTTTAAAAGGCACTTTCACTAGAAAAGAAGGTGAAATCCAGTTATAAGAAACGTCATTTGTTGAATTATCTCTAGACAGAACTAATTTAGACTAGGATGATATTTACTAGCTTCAGAAAGAAGTTTGAGATTATATCCTCCATTCAAATGAGTAATTCTGAATCGTTGTGGCTGGGGAAGTATCTGATCTCCCCTGCTTATAAGAATAAAGAAAAGAATGGACTGTCCCTCTACTGAGAAAAACACAGTTGATTTTACCACAGTAGGTTGGCTAATACATTATATTTTCCAAAGAAATAAAAGCATATCAATAATTTTTACCAAAGATGTTCTGATAAAATTAATCTAAGTTTGCAAAATATATATGAAAGTCAATTGAGGCAACTTTTACTGAAATATGAATGAGGAACTTAATGAAGTTTTCAGTATGATTTCTAAGCCCCCATTAGTAATCAGGACAAGATATAAAATCATTTTAAATGAAATTTAGCTGCTGAATTAAAAAAATTCAATTTTAAAAAAATGTAATCTAAAACATTCAAAAAGGGACACTCTTTTGTTAAGTCTGAAAACTCCAGCAAATGTCACCTGTAGTCATCAGGAGCCCCTTATATTTAGAGACTAAGTTTGAATTTATGTGTCTGAGTCCATGATCACAGCGGATTTCATCTCTCAGTTGGGTCAGACCATAAATAAGGCTATATCAGCTGATTTCAGCCTCTAAATATAAGTCTTATGTTTAGGCTAAAAATAGCTAATTCACATGCAGTGCAAAAGATCCTGGATCCTAAAATGTATTTTGAAATTTCCCTTCTCAGAATGACTTTGCACTTCAATTTGTTTATTGTCCTGTGGAAGATGTACAAGAAAATATTCTTTATATTTAACAAAACTGTCATGGGAATGAAACTAGTATCTATTTAAAAATCAAAAAAGAAGTCTCTATTTTGAATGAACCAACACACAAGAATAAAAACATTTTCAAATGTTTTAATTTGGCTTTACTATATGGGTTTAGTTTTCAGAGTTTATCATCTGCCAATTTCATGTTTACCTGCCTCCGTGACTAGCGTTGTTGAATAGACAAAGAAAAAGAAAAAAAGAAAAAAAAATTGATGACTCTGGCTTGCTGAATTGAAACATAAAATAAGTTGGAGTTTAGAGACCATTTGTATCTTTAATGGCCTTCTGGTAAAGTACCCTCTGGGGCACCAAGCCCTTCAAGCAGATGTTACCTTAAAATGAGGAGCTTTTCCCTTTGGATACCAACCACATCTTTGCTAAGTTTGTTGCAGTCTTTAGACCCTGAGTCACAAGCAATATGATCAAACTTGGTTCTGGTGCAGCATGTTGAATTTCCAAACAAATGTTGTTTCTAAATGTTGTGGTTAGATTTAGAAAGTGTAGTGTGACTAATGAAAAGAATTAGTCAATGACTTAAGAGTGGGGTCAAGCCCACACCCACTTAGTCCCATGTACATTCTCCCAAGGCAGTTTGATGTCAGAATTTGTGCAGCCTCTCTCATGTGGTAGCTCTGACATCAAGCAAGCAGGAGTCCTTTTCCATCACTGACCACTGACCTGCAAGTTAGACTCGGCACTGCTGCAGACGCCACAGGAGGCCAGGGCATTGCCCATTTACCTCTGTGTGGAAAGCTAAGAGTGATCACTCTTCTTCAACTCCAAACCAGGGTCTAGCGGCCAGCATCAGCTAGCACTGAAATGCCCTTTTATTTACTCATACCAAGGCAGTCTGCGTTCTCTGCGTAGTGCCCAACACATAAGGAGAAAATAACAATGTGGAACTGTGAATTAACTTCTAAATTAATAAAATCCATGTTTGATCCATCCTTTCTGAATTTTTATTTTGAGCAAAATAAAATACAAAAGGGCAAGAGATCATGGTTTCAGATTGGCCTAAAATCAAATTCTGGTTCCGATAGTTAACTGCGATGTCACTTTTCCTAGTGGGTTTACCTCCCTGAACCCCAATTGTCTTACCTAGAAAAGGGATTGTTATCTGCGTCTCAAGGCAGTATAGAAATGCAATTACTTCTAAGGAGAGAGCCAGCAGCATGGGCTTCTCTAGAGAGTGGTGGAAGAAAAGTGGGGAGAGGCAGTGGGGTGCCCACCTGGAAGCTAACAGTAGCTGGGAAACTGACCGGTGGGCACGAACTGAGACCGAGAATTGACTAAAGAAACTCAAAAATACCTGAAAGTTCATCTGTTTCAGTGCTGGGTCCTGTATATAAAGAAACTGGAACTCAGAATAGAAGTGAACAACCTGGCCAAAGTCACATAACCCCTGATTTACAAAGTTGGAATTTAAACAAATTATCGTATCCACTGATCTGATGATTTCTCCATCCTTTGAGCTTCGAGCCACCTGGACAGAGAAAAGGGAGGCAGAGAAAATAGAGATGGAGAGAGTTCCAAGGAGAGATGAAGTGCAGCATCAGAGATATGTAAGACGTGGATAAAAAGAGACCACATGTGTATCTCCTCGGGTACCACACACCTACCATTCCCTGAGATGCCCTCCCAGCATAGCACAAAATTGGTGCAGAGTACACCCACCACAGCTCTCCCAGGGAGGGGACACAGTAAGGCAGTCTAGGGACAGCAGGACTCTCACAGCTCAGTGGTTACAGGAGAACTCACCCATCGACTGTTTGGCTTGCATCTTCATTCATTCTTTCATTCCTACAACCAGTCCTAAAAACTGAACACAAGTGTAAATTTCCTGCCTCAACACTAGAGTAGATACCATCTCTGCCTTCAAAAAGCTCATGGCTTTCTTGAGAAAAGTTTGAAGACTCTGTGTGGAAGCTTGTAAAAGTGGAATATACTCTGTCCAGGAACATGACAAATTGGTCTTTAGTCCACAAACTGATAACAAACTGATTATATAAACAGATATAAGCATGCGTTTTTCTCTTATGTTTTTCATCATTCTGCCTCCTAGCAAACAAAACAATCCTGGCCGGAGATGAACAACCATGACCTGCTGCTGGCTGCTGCAGCTGAATTCATGAAGTAGAAAGAAACATGGGTGCTGCTGTGACACAAAAGCCCACTTCAGACTCAACTGAACCCCTAACTCAGGAATACACATTTTATTTTATATTATTTTGTTTTATTTTGTTTTTTGTGTGTTTCTTTTTAAAAATACTTCAAAACTTTTATTTTAAGTTCAGAGCTACAAGTTCAGGTTTGTTCTGTAGGTAAACTTATTTGATGAGTGTTTGTTGTACAGATAATTTCATCACCTAGGTATTAAGCCTAGTACAGTAATTCTTTTTCCTGATTCTCTCCCTCCTCCACCCTCCAACTTCCAAAAGGCCCCAGTGTGCGTTGTTCCCCTCTATATGTCCATGGTGTTCTCATCATTTAGCTCCCACTTATAAGTGAGAACATGTGGTATTTGGTTTTCTTTTCCTGTGTTACTTTGCTAAGCACAATGAACTCCAGCTTCATTCATGTCCCTGCAAAGGACATGATCTCATTCTTTTTTATGGCTGCATTATAAGGAAAATACACTTTTAAAGCATCTTTTGTAACCTCAGGAAATTTAAAAAAAACTTAAATCCTATGACTGGACAAAAATGACCACAGATAACTAGCTCTTAATATACAAAATTTGCAAAAAAAAAAAAAAAACATTGTGAGAAGTTATGGGTCACCCTAAATATTACTGTATTAAATTGTGGACACATTCCATGAGAAAAAAAGAATATTCCAAAAACCTTTATTTCATATTCATATTCTTTAGCAGATTAAAGGAATAAAAGTGGCAATTTAATGAGAACATCAGAACAATCAGAAATGACAAATGACTGCTTTCAGATGGAAAATATGATTATTAAAATTTCAAATGCTGGAATCAATGATACTGAACAGGAAGGAAATGGAATTTATTGTTTGGAGGAAAGTTTCTCCTGCTTAAAGGACAAAGTATTAACAGATAACGACAAAGTGAAAAACTACAAGCTATTGATATAAGCTATAGATCCCAGAGGATAAAAAGCTCATCTGTGTGAATGTGTCTGGGTTCATATGTGTGTGCCTGTGCCTGTGTGCACATGTGTGTATGTGTGTGGGTGTGCTTGTACCTAACTAGAAGGAAAGACAACCAACAGTTACAGTCATAGCATTCATAGAAAAGATATTCTCAATCTGAAGAAAGTTCTTGAAGAGGAAAACAAATAATATAAAAAGATTGACATCCAGACATACCTTAGTAAAATTTCTGATTTTTCCAAAATAAGGAGAACCGATGTAAAAATGTATATAATATGAGAACAGAAAGCACAATTAACTGCCAAGAAAACAAATTAATAAATTAGCATTAGGCTTCTCTTCTACAATACTAAATGTGGGAAGATAGTAAAACCCATAGAGAATTGTATTGAGAAAAAAAAACATGTTGCTCTCTTCATTTAAGCTGCTCAACACTGTCCTTTTTGGACCTCTGGCCTAGAACAAGTCTCATGTCTCAGCAGCAAATGGCTTCTGTTGTGTGAGGAGCAATTGCCCAACAGGGCTGTAATTCATCTTACTGTCAGAAGTGTCTATTCTCTGTCCTGTGAGAGGGTCTTCCTTTTCCATCATTCCCTTGGGCCAGGGAGGCCATTTGGGTGTTGAAGCACCACATAGCTTTGCAGCCTGATTCTTGTTTGGGAGACACTGGAGACCTAAAGACTAACAGACCCACAGACTAACAGTCAAATCAGTCAAACAGGTTTTTATTCCATGGGTTTTTTTGTTTGTGTGTTTGTTTTTTGCCTTTGTTCTTTTTTGCTTTATTTTCTATACATCTTCCTTAGAAAATGTTGCCCTGTAATCTGTTGTAAAAATTATTATTGTAATACTTTATGTACTATTATGAAAATGATAATTATACTCTGACATTCATCTATTATTTCATAGATGTTAAAAATGTGGGGAAAATATATAAATATATATTTATTTCAGGCATCCTTAATTAATTCTAGAATTCACCCATTTCTGATATAATTCTTAAAGCAAACAAATACTTCATTCCACAACTAACACCACAGCAAGACTGTGCCTTACCTTAAGAATCCAGTAGAATAAAACTGTTGGAGGACAGATGTGACACATCAGCCATACACAGGTGTCAGGAGCCAGGTACAGCTGTGGTGGCATGCTTGTCATTCTGTCTCAGGCATAGCAATGGCTTTAGAAACATCCAATATCTTACTCAACAAGGCAATCTTTTTGCAGGTGGGAAAATAATGTTTAAGTAACTTGCCCAGCGTTTTCCAGCTAGTAAAAGCTAGCAGAATTGGCATTCCAACCCAGAAAAGATGGCTCCAAGACCACACTCATGCTTAAACTTTCTCTATTAATTACCTCCTTATACCATATATATAATATATATATATACACATTATATATATAATATATATACACATTATATATATAATATATATACACATTATATATATAATATATATACACATTATATATATAATATATATACACATTATATATATAATATATATACACATTATATATATAATATATATACACATTATATATATAATATATATACACATTATATATATAATATATATACACATTATATATATAATATATATACACATTATATATATAATATATATACACATTATATATAATATATATAAAATATATATTATATACACATTATATATAAAATATATATAATATAAACACATTATATATATAAAAATATATAATATATATAATATATATACACATTATATATATAAAATATATAATATATACACATTATATATATAAAATATATACACATTATATATAAATATATATAATATATACACATTATATATAAAATATATATATAATATATATACACACATTTTATATATATATATATATAAAATGAAGCCACCGGCTTTAGGTTTGGGTGGCATGCAGCGAGGAAGCTTCTCTGAGACTTAAACAATTGAGACCCATGCCATGTAGTGAAACAAAAATTGGTAAAGCCAAACACCAAAACTTTAATAACTTGGAAATTATTGGCTGAAATCGTAGCGCTGGTGGAAGAAGTTGGGAAATAGAATGTTTTTACCATGTATTGGTTGCTATATGCTCTATTTTTCAATATTATTATGGGGTATTACAGAGCAATATTCCAAGATCAACTGTGGTCCTAAAATATTAATGGAACATTCCAGAAATAAGCAATTCATATGGTTTAAATTGTGCACCATTCTGCATAGTGTTGATGCAGAATTTTTGCTCCTTCATTCAGCTGTAACCAAGAAAAATTAGGCAAGTGGTCACATTGAAGGGTGAGGAGAGCAGAATTTATTGGGCAAAAAGGGGAAAAAATAAAAATAAAAATAAAAAACGACTCAACAAAACAAGAGGGAGCCCTGCTAATGGGCTCCCACCACACAGATTGAATACCAGTCCACCCCACATGAACTGAAGAGGGCAGGCTCCTCCTACCTGCCCAAGGCACAAATTTCCCATGACTCAACCCCATCCTCCCAGAGCATGGGTGGGTCCCCAGTCCATTGCAGGCACGCACAGAAAAGACCCTGGGCAGAGTCTCTCACCTGCACAAAAACATCTGATGTAAATCCTTGTGGGGCAGGTGGGAGATTCTCCAGGGACAGCCCCCCCACCCTTATCTGCTTCCTACATCTATCATTCCCCAGTCTAAAGAAGTATATTTAACTACCATTAGAATAAGGATAAGGTAAGGATGAAGATTGATCTTATCTGCTTCCTGCTGACAGGGGGCGCTGCTTTGGGCAAATGGCAGTCAGCTCACTCAGGGACTGACCTAAGGGTCCCCTGGCAGAAGGGGCCATAGTCAGAGGCTCTGGTTGCATGACTATTTGAAGTTTGATGTCTTGAAGGTGAGAAGAGACAAACTGGGTTGTTAGAAAAGATGTATCAAAAGGAAACAAGGTGGGGTAAGGACAGCTAAAAAATCCCAAGGCCTTTTACCAATTCGCACAGGAAGAGGGAGGCCAAAAGCCTGACTGGTAAAAAAACAAATGTTTCCCCTTTGCCAGCATGTCAAGCTTCTGGGTTTCCTTCCCCAAGCCCAATCTTAAGCCAACCAGTTTAAGGTTTGGGAAATTAACTTTTCCCAGTTTGGAGGATGTATCCAAGGGGAATGTCCTGTAGCATGGAGACAAAATTACCTATCTGTGAAGAGAGGACAGAGGAGGAAAAAGAAAAAAGAGGGCATTTTTTTTCAAAGGAGTCCTAGGGGTTCAGGATGCATTTGAAAGGGGTACACACTGAAGATGAATAGCTACTCATGTAGAAAGACGGGAGTGAGGCATCTCAGGTTCCCTACTCTTTTCTAGTGAACACCCAGGGTGTTTGAGGGGGAGAAAGTGAGTCATTTCTCTTTCTTTCTTCCATTCTTATATCCCAAGTCCCAGCAAGAGTGACAGGGAATCAAAGAGGCTTTCACTTATGTTAACGTGGGCCAGGGGGCTTTGTACGCCCTATCTCCCCTGTTTCAGTAGCCTTAGAATTCCCTACACCTCATTTATGCTATGGATACTAGCATGGCTTTATCCATGAAATGGGAAGCTTGGCTTAATCAGCAGGAATCAGTCACGCTTACCTGCACTGTGCCTTTTAACTTCCATTATCATCTGCTTCTGGATCCCTCAGATCCAGTTTTCTTTCATGAGACTTCTACCCAAAGCTTGGAATTGAGTTTGGAACCAAAAATATGTTTTGAGGGGGCTGCATGGACTCCTTACTATAAGCCAAATGCTAAAATGAAGCTGTGGAATTCAGTCCTCCTCCAACAAGGGAGAGAAAAAGATGTCTTGTGACATGCACAGATAACTGGTGGCTATAGTTATGCTTGCCAAGATTTGGGTGCATGGGGCTTGGCTTTGGTTAGCTGCCTTGGCCTTACTTTCCCAAAAAGGAAACCTCTGGATGATGGGTATCCTGTTTTATTCCCATCACCTGGCAGGATCTGCAGGATAATTGCTCAGAACTAGAATATTGATCCAGATGTTTACATTTCCCATCTCCTTTTGTTCCTTCTGAGCTGCAGTTGGAGATTGCTGGTTGGTTCACAGGAATAAACAAGGTTAGCCTGAAATGTAAGCAAAAACTTAAAAACAACTAAGGAGTCTAGAATTTATGACAAATGTGAGATAAGTTTTGAAACATAATTTCTCTCTCTCCAATCCTCATTTTTGTTAAAAACAAATCATGATATGACTGAGTTATTTGCAAAATAGAGTTTAGCCTTATACTTGGCCTGATGATTTGCATAAAGTTCCACAAGAATAATTATTTTTACATAAGCCTTTTGCATTGGCTTTGATGGAACTCTGTTTCACAAGGAATCTCAGATAGGATTTTTAAAGCTGAGCCCAGCTATGGGTTTGTACCCTCAAATACCTGTGAGTTGGGTAAACTCCTCTTTTCTTGAGGTCCCAAGAAAACGAGTTTCTTGGGCCTGTTAAAAAGTGACATTCTTTATTCACTGCAGGTTAGGAACCCTGTACAGGGATGGTGTAGACAGGGTATGAGGCCAGTTTTACCAAGGGGCTTTTATCAGCTCTAGTAGTCAAGCTTGACTGCTTAAAGAGAAGCATACCATTCCAGTCAAAGCCTTGGTGACACACCAAGTTTCTCCAATTGCATCTCATTGCAAAAGAAAATGGATTATTATTGCACTGATGCAAACAACTATATTGCCATAAGGTAAGAATACTCACAACTAGTTTCCAAATTCTGGAGAAGCCAGAAAGAGAGAGAGGTAAATATGCTCCAAATTTTGTTCACAGGAGTATACCTTACTCAAGGTTAAGATAAGTTTCCTTGATTCTGAAAAACAAAGCATGGATCAGCAATGTTCCAAGCAGAAGTCAAAAAGATTAATTCAGTTTTCTATTAGTTCAGTCCATTCAGGTAACTCTGTTTTGCTTGATATTCATGAACACTTCAGCTCTTTATGAGTCCTGTACAATTTTCCTTTATTCCAATGTCACAATCTCCAAAGTTATCAGAAACCTGCATTTGAAAGCAGATATCAAATTTCTGTAGTTGACTATAAACTGTCTTTTGAAGAGGATCAAAACAAGACAATGGTCTCTGAGAAACAAAATATTCAGGGTAGTTACAGTTAGAAACACAATTGATAAAGTCATTTGGTTATCTCAGTGGTTTATAATAACTTAACATACAACCTTAATTGTGATTGATAGCATATACTCAGATATTAGAACTTTAGAAATCCCATACAATTTTGGAACATATATTAATATTTTCCCTAAAATATAACATAAAGAACATTAAACATCATTTTGGTAATCCTGTGTACTTAAACATGTCAAATAATCCTGCTTACTTCTCTTCTGGATGCTGCAGATTCTCTCTGTAGCATCCAAAAGCCAGTTGTCAGGAAAGACAATTTTGAAACTGATGTTTGATTTGGGGAGGCCTGTTAAATGTGTTAGAGGTTTAAAACTCTTGATGTTATGAAATAGAATTCCAGATTGCCATAAGTTATTTATTTTGCCAAAATGATGATTCAGAAATTTTAAAAAGAAAAACCTTTTCTAACCCTTTACAAATTTTGCCAAAGAGCAGATTAGTGCCTTAAGAGTAGCTTGTTGTGCTTTTATTTCAATGCTCAATTTACAGAAAAACCATATCATACCCTTTTGAATTTAGTCATTATGTTCACACATGGAATTTCTTTTGCAAGATTAATTTTTACAATCCTTCCACAGCTTGTTTGCACTTTTACCTTTATCTTATCTAATTCAAAACAATCCTTTAACCCTAGGCAAAAATTTAATTTTGATGACTTCTGCATTTTACCAGTAATCTTTAAGGCTGCTCTTATTTCTCAAATATTAAAATCATGTGAACTAAAAGGTACCACAACCTTTATCTCCCCCTTACAAATTCCCTTCAAGTCAATTAATTAGAGCTAATTTTTTTACAGACATCACACACACAAAACACATATATAACTACATAGACCGACAGAGAAAGATCCAATAGCTAGAAGGTTGTTTTTTTGCCCATCTACTAATTGGATTATTGGCCTCTGGGTGGAGCCCTTTAAGAGCAAGACTGGGAAAACATGTGGTTTCTAGGGCCTAATAAACAGGGATAGCCGAAATACAAAAACAGATTTTTAGAGGGATCTACTTTTAATTCCTGGAGCCCCATGAGGAAAACAGAGGTCTCTCCCCTTTCATGCATGCATTAAGAGTGGCAAGGTAAAATGGAGAAAAATAATTCAGTTGACTGAGAAAAAACCCTTTTCCATCAAAACAAGATCCCAGAAGAGAAAAACATAAAAGCCTTTTAAATATATTATAACTTGGATATCCACTTTAATTAAGCTGAGTGTTCTTTAAGAAAATCTTTTCAAATCCCTTATTACCTGGCTTTAGCTGTACCAAGTGGCCAAGTATTTTAAAGGCTTAAAGAAAGTAAAATCCAAGGTGGTTTATGGAGGAGAAGAGAATCAATAAATGGCAACAGTGATGCAGATACCAAACCAGAAAGAACTCATTCCCTAAGCCAGGATTGAACCTGGGCTGTCATTGTAAAATGGTGGAGGCTAAAACAAAGTACTGCCACATGATTACAGGTCACACTCCCAAATACATAAAACAAGTTGGAGGCCTGCAGCAAAGTTTGCTACTGATTACACAGAAAGACATGCAAAGTACACCAGATTGGCTACAGCTTGAGACCAACCTCACAAAAACAACATCACTGTTTACAGAGGATATAAACAGTGATAATTGGGGTCCTGGCCTAGTAAAATGTTTTCTAAATGGAAAAAACTCTCCCTTAAAAGTTAACTCCTGACCTGGGGGAGAAAAGAAAAAAAAGCAAAACAACATTTAAAGTTCAGGGCTGTGTTAACAGCTAACTGGGTAAAAAAAAAAAAAAGAAAAAGAAAACAAAACAAAAAAACCGCTTAAAGTGCAGGGTTTGAAAGATGCTTGGGGTGATCACCTCTTATTCTTAGGCAAATGGTTTTCTCCAACAGGGAGAAAAACCTTATTGCTGTTAGATGGAGCTGGACTTCCTGGCCAGGGGAGGGGAAGACTTGGAGGTGAAGACTCTTTGGACACATGGCAGGGAACACTGGCCAGTCTGCCATGCAGGGATGTTGGGCCATATCTGGCTGCTCGCCTGTCCATCCCGAAAAAAGGAAGGAAAATCCCATAGAAAGGCTGAATTGGACTGACACTGCCATTCCCAATCCCTGAGAGTGATATGGACAGTGGCAGGCGCAGTTTTCTCTACCCTAAGAAGAAGTCCAAGAACAAAAAGTCTTAGAAATAAAAGGGAAAAAGATTTTTTCATCCGCACCTTACGCACCCTTCCTCATGTCCCCATATGGGCCATCTTAATGATGCAGAATTTTTGCTCCTTAGTTCAGCTAAATCCACGTTCTTGTGTCTTAACCAGAAAAAATTAGGCATGTGGACACATTGAAGGGTGAGAAGAGCAGAAAGAAAACACTCAGCAAAGTGAGAGGGAATCCTGCCAATGGCTCCCACCTCACAGATTGAATACCAGCCACCACATACTAGCTGAAGAGGCCCAGCTCCTCCCCCTGCACAAGGCATGAACTTCCCATGGCTCCACCCCATCTTCCCAGTGCAGGTAGGTCCCCAGTCCATTCCAGGCATGCGCAGACAAGACCCTGGGCAGGTTTTCTCATCTGATCAAAAGCGTCTGATGTAAACACTTGTGAGGTGGGTCAGAGATCCTCAAGGGACCCTCCTTATCAGCCTCCTGCATCTGTCAGTGTGATGAAACCTGTCCTTCTTTTCAGATCCGTCTCATTTTCAGATGGACTGTCACGGTATCTCAGTGTTTATGTTCAAGTCGCTCTTATTTTACCTAATAATGGCCCTAAAGCACCGAGGTACTGATGCTGGCATATTGTTACAATCATTTGATTTTACTACTAGTCATTGTTGTTAGTCTTGCTATGCCTAATTTACAAATTAAACTTTATCATAGGTATGTAAGTATAGGAAAAAACATAGTGTATTATAAGGCTCAGTCCTATCCGTGGTTTCAGGAAGCCGCTGCTGGTTTTTGAACATATCCTTCACAGCTAAGAAGGAGCCTCTGCATAAAGTCGTGTCTGGGGGGTCCTCTTAGCAGTTCCATATCTTCATATTCCATGTGTTTTGCTTGCCATGGGCAGCTCCTAGCCAATCAAGTCCCCTTAAGCCATTTCAGATTGTATTCTTTGCATAACGAAATGGCTCCTTCATATGGTGTTGGGGGTGGGAGGTAGAGGGAGATGGTATGTTACACACATCTTCATGGCACAGAAACAGTAAAAGATATCATCTTTCTAGACAATTTAAGCCAGGACATCTCCAACCTGAAAACCAAACTCTGACTTGGACATGCGTCCGGAGTCTATCAGTATATCCTACAACACTCAGAGAAGGGCATTTAAATTTTTTTCAACTTTTATTACAGATTCAGGGGGTACATATGCATGTCTGTTACAAAGGTATATTGGGTGATGCTGAGATGCAAATGTAAAAGAATCCAGTTTTCTTTAATTTTAAAGTTCTATTTTTTAAAAGTTTCATATATCTAAGTAGATTTTCCATTTACTCAATAAAGTGTTACTTTATTACCTAAGTAATTCAAGCTTTAAAAAATACTACATAATAAAATGTATAAAAGAAAATGTGACCCCCCCCAGCCACCTGCCAGCAGCATTCCAGTCCCCAGCAGCAGCTGTGGAGTGAAGCCCTGTTAACCTGATTCCCAGGTAGTTTCTGTGCATATACAAGTTGTTTTGTTGTGTTGTGTTTTTAAAGAAACGAGAACATACTGTACAAAATGTTCTATAGAATATTTCACCTTCAAGTACTACATAAAAGCCGAAGGGAAATCAGGAGAGAGAAAGGTAACATCATCTTTATGATAAAGACGCTGCCGTGGCTGCCAGCCTCCCCTCGAGAACTGCGAGGCAATCAGGCAATGATGAGGCTGCTGAAGACAAAACCCAGATAAATACCACTGGTTTTTAAGAGGCCTGAAATCACTGGTTCTGGGTAGAAATTTCTGCTGAATTGGTCAATGCTGAAATCAAAAGCTGAATGACTGTTAGGAGAATGAGAGTGGGTGTATGATCCCAAGAATGCTGATACGTGTCGTTCGCCTCTGTCTTTTCTTGTCTCAGGCTCTTGTGTAGGACTCTGCTAGTGCACTGGAAGACTCTAGCATTTTAAATCTAGCTGAATTTGAGTTGCTCCTCATAGAGACCAATGCTGCAAGGTTGCTGACTTGGGGAAAAATCTCTCTCCTAGCAGCTTCTGACCTCCTCGGAGCCTTCCATCTCTCTCCCCTCTGCTCACTCTCTGTCACCTGCTCTGAGGGCCCTCCTGCCCAGAACTGTCACTTACCCCACAATCCTTGCAGCTCTGTTGCCATGACAGACACAGCCTCAAAAGGGCTCTTAGAGAAAG
Organism: Homo sapiens; assembly: GCF_000001405.40. NCBI lineage: Eukaryota > Metazoa > Chordata > Mammalia > Primates > Hominidae > Homo > Homo sapiens. The sequence goes on along the minus strand of NC_000007.14, from coordinate 48,888,053 downwards.
AATAGTAGCATTGGGGGACCCTGAGACTGATGACTTAGAAGGCACAAATCCAAATTAGAGATCTGCAGTTTACCAGCTAGGTGAGGCCAAACAGCTGGCTATGTTCCCTTAACCTCCCTTTCACCAGCTGTAAGATGGGAGTAATACCACCTTCTCTAAGTGCAAGGATGTCATAAACTCCAAATGAGTAAAATGTACTAAAATGTTATTTCTTATTGCAGCAACAAACTGGAAGTGAATTATTGACAGCCCCCAGAAAGCATACCCTCAGGGATGTTCTGGTCTGGCAGCTGGGATGGGAACCTACCAGCCAAGCTTGGACTCAGCCTCTAGTCCCATGTCTTCACAGCCAGCAGCTGCCTTATGAGTCATGCCCGCTGAATTGCACAGCTCCTCTGCCTGCTGCAAGCTTCAAAAAAGGCCCCAAGCTCCCTTTTCCTACAAGCCATTTCCTGAAGCTTCCTGGTTTCCAGGATTTCATACCATTCAGCTTCCCCTCCACCCCGGTTTTTATGCTCACAGAGTTCTTAACAAGCACATTGAAAAGGAGAGTTAGACACAGACACAGAGTTTGTGATTCTCAGTTTCCCACTAAGAGTGCCTAGGGAAGGGATAACACATCAGATCATCTGCTTTGCTCACAGCGCCCTGCTCAGACACCTTCTCTGATCTAGTCTCCCAGACTATGAGAATTGCATGTTCCAGGGGAGAACACCTGGACCAGGGGAAAGGATGGTGCCACAACAGGGCACTTGCCCTGGAAATGGCAAAAACTCTTATTACTCCCAGGAAGAAAGGGTTCAAATCACAAGCCCTCTCAGAAGGACAATTTTGCTGGGGGAACTTAAGAATCACACAGTATAGTTTGCCTAAAAATGAGCAGTGTCCCCCTTCAAATGCACGTATGAATCATAATTCACTTTGGTTTTTACACATTTTTCAAATAAAAAATCCTTTACCTATTTTGGATCTCTCCCATGCCCCTAACTTCATTGAGGGTGCTCCATCTTTTAAGTGGCTTCAAGTGAAAGAAGAAAAAAGATCTACCTGGGAAGCAGGGAGTCCAAGAGGTTTACTCTCTGTCCAGAGCTCACCTTTAGTTATGATGTTTTTGCCATGAAGCCTGCATCCCCTGAAGTCTGCCTCTCCGTGCTTCCTAGCTCATCTGTGCTGCTGTGGCTGTTCCCAACTCAATATTTGGTCCCAGTGACAAATTCCAAATTCCTCTTCAGTCTGTCTTTCACCATTCTCCCTCACCACAGACCAGGGCCAGCCCACTGAAGGGCACCCTCCCACCGTGCCCTTTTACTTGTTTATGTTGTGCATATGCCATTCCTTCTCTCTGTTCCTTCTTCTCTCTGCAGGGAAATGATCCTCTTTCTTCAGGGCGCACTCAAGTCACCTCATCCATTTAGCCTTTCTGCACAAGCCTCATAAATCCAACTTCCCCTTAAGTATTCTTTTCTAATAGCCCATGGACTTGTCCATCAGTGTTATTGTTCTTTTTTTTTTTTTTTTTTTTTTTTTTGAGACAGGATCTCACTCTGTCACCCGGCTGGAGTGCAGTGGCGCGATCTCAGCTCACTGCAACCTCCATCTCATGGGTTCAAGTGATTCTTGTGTCTCAGCCTCCCAAGTAGCTGGGACTACAGGTGCCCGCCACCACACCCGGCTTATTTTTGTATTTTTTGTAGAGATGGGATTTTGACATGTTGGCCAGACTGGTCTCAAACTCCTGACCTCAAGTGATTCACCCACCTCAACCTCCCAAAGTGCTGGGATTACGGGCGTGAGCCATGGTGCCTGAAAAGTGTTACTCTTCTTATAGCTCCTAATTCCTCACTTATCTCAGTTTCTTGTTGCAGCTATCCTAGAGCAGTCCCTAAAATACACAATAAATATTGAGTGGTGGCTGTATCACAGTAGGTTGAAGGGGACCCACAAATAGTCACAATCTTGCTTAGTGAGATCTTTGACTATAATTTCTAGATGACTTTGTGACAGGCAGAGTGACTGCCACTTAATAAACCGCCAATGAATGTGTGCTGAAAAAGTGAAAGAAATAAGGGAATTTCTGTGTATAAATGTGACAGGGAGCCCCCAAGCCATGTGCATATTTTAAATCGAACAGTCAAATAAAATGATCAATTGTTTCTCTTATGGCTCATTATTCTCGATTGACTTGTCTGCCTCATCTATCACTGCGGCTATCCCTAGGCTAAATTGTCAGTGCTTTTACTGTTTGATCATTTGGCACAAGAAATCCAAGCTGTAGTCCTTAAAGTTTGATTTTGTTAAGTGGATACTGTGCAATTCAGCAAATATATTAAATATCATCATCAGTGGATAAAGTAAATAATGTTACTATGAAAATTTACATCGATGTTCATCAGGGATATTGGTCTAAAATTCTCTTTTTTTGTTGTGTCTCTGCCAGGCTTTGGTATCAGGATGATGCTGGCCTCATAAAATGAGTTAGGGAGGATTCTCTCTTTTTCTATTGATTGGAATACTTTCAGAAGGAATGGTACCAGCTCCTCTTTGTACCTCTGGTAGAATTCAGCTGTGAATCCGTGTGGTCCTGGACTTTTTTTGGTTGGTAGGCTATTAATTATTGCCACAATTTCAGAGCCTGTTATTGCTCTATTCAGGGATTCAACTTCTTCCCGGTTTAGTCTTGGGAGGTTGTATGTGTCCAGTAATTTATCCATTTCTTCTAGATTTTCTAGTTTATTTGCATAGAGGTATTTATAGTATTCTCTGATAGTAGTTTGTATTTCTGTGGGACGGGTGGTGATATCCCCTTTATCATTTTTTATTGTGTCTATTTGGTTCTTCTCTCTTTTCTTCTTTATTAGTCTTGATAGCAGTCTGTCAATTTTGTTGATCTTTTCAAAAAAACCAGCTCCTGGATTCATTGATTTTTTCAAGGGTTGTTTGTGTCTCTATCTCCTTCAGTTCTGCTCAGATCTTAGTTATTTCTTGCCTTCTGCTAGCTTTTGAATGTGTTTGCTCTTGCTTCTCTAGTTCTTTTAATTGTGATGTTAGGGTGTCAATTTTAGATATTTCCTCCTTTCTCTTGTGGGCATTTAGTGCTATAAATTTCCCTCTACACACTGCTTTAAATGTGTCCCAGAGATTCTGGCATGTTGTGTCTTTGTTCTCACTGATTTCAAAGAACATTTTTATTTCCGCCTTCATTTTCTTATGTACCCACTAGTCATTCAGGAGCAGGTTGTTCAGTTTCCCTGTAGTTGAGCGATTTTGAGTGAACATCAATGCAAAAATCCTCAATAAAATACTGGCAAACCAAATCCAGCAGCACATCAAAAAGCTTATGCATCATGATCAAGTTGGCTTCATCCCTGGGATACAAGGCTGGTTCAACATACGCAAATCAATAAACGTAATCCATCATATAAACGAACCAAAGACAAAAAACCACATGATTATCTTAATAGATGCAGAAAAGACCTTTGACAAAATTCCACAGCCCTTCATGCTAAAAACTCTCAATAAACTAGGTATTAATGGAACGCACCTCAAAATAAGAGCTGTATATGGCAAACCCACAGCGAATATCATACTGAATGGGCAAAAACTGGAAGCATTCCCTTTGGAAACTGGCACAAGACAAGGACGCCCTCTCTCACCACTCCTATTCAACATAGTGTTGCAAGTTCTGGCCAGGGCAATCAGGCAGGAGAAAGAAATAAACGTATTCAATTAGGAAAAGAGGAAGTCAAATTGTCCCTTTTTGCAGATGACATGATTGTATATTTAGAAAACCCCATCGTCTCAGCCCAAAAACTCCTTAAACTGATAAGCGACTTCAGCAAAGTCTCAGGATACAAAATCAATGTGCAAAAATCATAAGCATTCCTGTACACTAATAACAGACAAACAGAGAGCCAAATCATGGGTGAACTCCCATTCACAATTGCTTCAAAGAGAATAAAATACCTAGGAATCCAACTTACAAGGGATGTGAAGGACCTCTTCAAGGAGAACTACAAACCACTGCTCAAAGAAATAACGAGGAAATAAAAGAGGACACAAACAAATGGAAGAACATTCCATGCTCATGGATAGGAAGAATCAATATTGTGCAAATGGCCATACTGCCCAAGGTAATTTATAGATTCAATGCCACCCACATCAAGCTACCAATGACTTTCTTCACAGGATTGGATAAAACTACTTTAAAGTTCATATGGAACCAAAAAAGAGCCAGCATTGCCAAGACAATCCTAGGCCAAAAAAACAAAGCTGGAGGCATCATGTGACCTGACTTCAAACTATACTAAAAGGCTACAGTAGCCAAAACACCATGGTAATGGTACCAAAACAGATATATAGACCAATGGAACAGAACAGAGCCCTCAGAAATAATATCACACATCTAAAACCATCTGATCTTTGACAAACCTAACAAAAACAAGAAATGAGGAAACGATTCCCTATTTAATAAATGGTGCTGGGAAAACTGGGCTAGCCATATGTAGAAAGCTGAAATTGGATCCCTTCCTTACACCTTATACAAAAATTAATTCAAGATGGATTAAAGACTTAAATGTTAGACCTAAAACCATAAAAAACCCTAGAAGAAAACCTAGGCAATACCATTCAGGACATAGGCATGGGCAAGGACTTCATGACTAACACACAAAAGCAATGGCAACAAAAGCCAAATTTGACAAATGGGATCTTATTCAACTAAAGAGCTTCTGCACAGCAAAAGAAACTACCATCAGAGGGAACAGGCAATCTACAGAATGGGAGAAAATTTTTACTATCTACCCATCTGACAAAGGGCTAATATCCAGAATCTACAAAGAACTTAAACAAATTTATGAGAAAAAATCAAACAACCCAATCAAAAAGTGGGCGAAGGATATGAACAGACACTTCTCAAAAGAAGACATTTATGCAGCCAACAGACACGTGAAAAAATGCTCATCATCACTGGCCATCAGAGAAATGCAAATCAAAACCACAATGAGATACCATCTCACACCAGTTAGAATAGTGATCATTAAAAAGTCAGGAAACAACAGGTGCTGGAGAGGATGTGGAGAAATAGGAACACTTTTACACTGTTGGTGGGACTGTAAACTAGTTCAACCATTGTGGAAGACAGTGTGGCGATTCCTCAGGGATCTAGAACTAGAAATACCATTTGACCCAGCCATCCCATTACTGGGTATATACCCAAAGGATTATAAATCATGCTGCTATAAAGATACATGCATATGTGTGTTTATTGCTGCACTATTCACAATAGCAAAGACTTGGAACCAACCCAAATGTCCATCAATGATAGACTGGATTAAGAAAATGTGGCACATATACACCATGGAATACTATGCAGCCATAAAAAATGATGAGCTCATGTCCTTTGTAGGGACATAGATGAAGAGGGAAACCATCATTCTGAGCAAACTATCACAAGGACAGAAAACCAAACACTGCATGTTCTCACTCATAGGTGGGAATTGAACAATGAGAACACTTGGACACAGGGTGGGGAACATCACACACCGGGGCCTGTTGTGGGGTTGGGGGAGGGCGGAGGATAGCATTAGGAGATATACCTAATGTAAATGACAAGTTAACGGGTGAAGCACACCAACATGGCAAATGTATACACATGTAACAAACCTGCACATTGTGCGCATGTACACTAGAACTTAAAGTATAATAAAAAAGAAGAAAATTTAATCAATAACTCCCTTGGCTAATATAAACATACACACAAGTAGTAGATTGCCTCTCCTTCTAGGCTTAATTAGCATCCTTCATAAATAAGTAATCATCGCTCAATGGGTTGAAAAATCAAATGTTCTTGAAACTAAAATTTTTAAACAATGATGTTTATTTATAAAAAGTATTGAACATTGTCTTAGAAAGTTATAGAGTTTTACGGTATCTGTTATCTTGAATTGGAAGCTTTTAATTAATGGAAAAAATAAAGTATATACTTAATTTCTGCCCCAAAGACAATAATTTATTCCCCACAAATTTTTAATTATTAAATATTTAGTTTATATATTTTAAGAATAATACTTGCTATGACTTGAATGTGTCCCCAAAAGTTCATATGTTGGAAATTTGTTTCTCAACACAGCAGTGTTGGGAGTTGGGGCCTGGTGGGAGGTGTTTGGGTCACGGGGCATGTGCCCTCCTGAGTAGATTAAACTCATTATCTCAGGAGTAGGTTCAGTTTCTCAGACGTGGGTTCTTTACAAAAGGACAATTTCAGCCCTCTCTTGCCCTCTCATCATCCACCATGGGATGACTTAGCGAGAAGGCCCTTACCTAATGCCAGCCCCTCAATCTTGCACTTCCAGAACTATGAGCCAAGTACATTTCTGTTAATTATAAATTACCTACCCTGAGGAACTCTATTATGTCAGTACAAAAACATGAAGACAATACTGTTCATTAAATAGCAGAGACAATGATTTTCAAAAAATTAAATACAACAGAAACCTCCAGTATTTGAAGGCTTCATTTTTTATGAAAAATATTTTCAAAATATCGATAAAAAATAAAGTTATTAAGCCATTACATTTAAGGATGAGCCAAATGGAATACATATTTTTGAGATAAACAACAGTTGAATACAGACACATGCAAATAGCACAGCCTAAAAGTATATAAATTCAAATAATCTATATGCTAATAGTAGTAAGGCAACAAAATGCATAATAATAATGGGTTATATTTGGGGCTTTATTTGGACTCAGGAGAATTAGATTATGTTGTGCACTACAAACATGACCATTGCCAAGTTATAGCTTTTCTTGAACTCAGTTTTCCCGTATGGAAAATTTCTAATTTTCTCATTTCTGTTTCAGTTCTGAACTTCTATAATTCAATTTACATATTTTGCCCTGCCATTAAAGATATTTACACTGCAATATCAGTAGAACTCTTTTATCTCATTATAAATATTTACTAATGTAATTAAAAGCACATTCATTCATTGATGCAGCAGATATGCATTGAGTGTTTTCTGTATTTCAGGCACTTTGCAGTCACTGCAGATGTGTAAAACAAACAAAAGTCCTTCCTTCATGGAAGAACTTACATTCTAGTGTGTGAGCAGATAATAAGTAAGTAAGTGTCATACACAGTGGCTACACGTGGTCATAGAATACATAGCTATAGAAGTGCCAGGGAAAAACAGGTAGGAAAGGGGAAAGGGCATGTTGGAGTAGGGTGTTAAATTAAATAGGGCAGAGAAGGAGGGTCTCACTGAAGTGTCTTTCTGATTTAGCAGTGTTTTGCACATTGGTTTCAATGACTGTGCAATTCTAGGACCAGATGTCAATTTCATAAGGTAGGGCACGGCCCTTCATTTGTCACAGCCACATGGCTGTTCCTATGGGTGTCCATTCTTCACTCTGGGGTGAAGAGTAGTGCACACTCACCACAAGCTTCATCAACACACTTCAAAATATCCTTGCCAAAGTCTATGAATTCCTGCTTTCCTTGGTTGGTTGGAAATTAAAATAGAAATAGGCCAATTTTGATTATTTGGGGCTTTCATCATTATTAAATATTTAAATAAAACACCTTTTTAAAATATCATATTTATGATTCTTTCTATTTCTGCCAAATTTACTTTCCAAAGAACAAAGTATGTGTGTTGATGTGGTCTGGTATTTTGATTTTTTTTATGTTATTGCTGCAGAAAAGCAAAAAAATAATAGAAACACTCAGGATATGCACACCTTCTGAAAATAAGCTGTAGTTAGCAAAAACTCCTAAGTAAGAAAGCATATCACTATGATCTTTTAACTCACCCTTTCCCAGTGATCTTCAGTGTTTCACTTCATTAAATTCAAAGAAGTTTTAGAAAACCCCGAGCTTCAGGTTCCCTCCCTGACTTTGGAGAAAAAAATCTGTTTTTTGTTTCGTATTTTAAAAGTTAGTTTCAGACAGCTGATAGCTTTCTGTTTCTTGGAGAAAACACAGTCATCTTACACAGTGATATTCTGTCCTTTTACATGTTCACAGTTCCCACAGACTCTGCCGTGGTTCCTCACACCAATATGGATGCAGGGGAAGACAGAAGTTCTGGAAGGCAATCCACCCAGATCTTCCCTTCATATGAGAAAAGAGCCACTCCTCAAGACCAAACAATACAAGGGCAGCAAGATCCAAACAACTTCTGGGGGCTAGGTGGAAATTCTACCATGTGTGACCTGGAGCTGGGGAAAGAAATGAGGGCTGCCTGGCCTGCCGCTGCATGAGGAGGGCTGCCAGCCTAAGGACTTCAAGTCCTCCTCCACAGACTTCCAGCCCTTGACCTGCTGGTAACAGGAAGATAGTTCGTGAAACAGCTCAGCGCTGGTCTACATCCACCATGTACACTGGATCTTTGGAAAGTTGTGATTTTTAGAATCTCTGAAGATAATCCAATTACACTTTGTTCAGATGAAAAATGATCACTGTTCTTTCATGATTATTGGTCTTCATGTAGTTGTTGTTATTATAAATAACTGAATCACTATTGAAGAAATCTGCCCACAGAATAAAATTCAGATTATCACTGTAAAGTCATCCTTTAAGAATATTGCTAATGCTTTTCTTCCTCTCAAATCAAGTCAGCTCTATATTTGGAAACAAGATTTCAAAAGCTTAGAGACATGTATATTCATTTCCAAACCTCTAATACTTTTCTCACTTTCTGAAAATCTCTGGGGTAGGAGTGTAGGAGGAAAATAAATGGAGATTAAATGTAAGCAATGTAGTACTCCAACTGGAGAGAAACATTCACATTTCATGTGACATCATGGAGAGAACAGAATATGAAAAAAGAGAGAGACCAATTTATCTGAGAGATGATGTCAAAGAGCTACTGGTGGAAGCAGGCGTATTGATATATAGGAGGTTGCATCTATTGACCAGTTGGTGGCAATTTAAACCCTCTGGAGGGGTGAGCTGACAGATTGTTATGAGATAAAGGGGTAGAAGAACCAACAAGAGCATCAATAGGTTGCCTCAGGAGGGCCTGCTGGGTGAGTAACAGGAAGTAGGTCAGCAGGTGATGGAGAAATCAAATGGACAATAGCGTCATACTTGCAAAACTGAGAAGAACATTACTTGTCAACATGAGATTTTATGGCAGATAAAAATATTCTGATTATTGGTGATAGGCAAGCTAGACCTCATGCATTTTAATAAGCTGTTTTTTCTTGCACAAATGCTTTTAAAAAAATATAGTAACTGGGTCTCCAAAGGGGGAAAAAAGATTGTATTTTCACAGTGATTATGTTGCTTGTGAATAATATGAGCTGCCCCGGCATCTCTTCTTGACTTCAATCTCATCCACCTTCTAAATATAAAAATGATATCCTCTGATATTGTTAGAAAAGGTTACAGATGTTTGTCTCACTCATGTTCAGGCTGTGTTTAAAAGAAAAAAAATGTAAAGAGAAAGCAGAGTTTAATGTAGATGACATGGGCTGTCTAGGCTGCCCAAAACCCTTGTCCTGGGTGTGCACCTCACAGTAACATGGGGCTCGGTGCCACACCAGGCTACAGAATAAAGCATGAAGTGCTGAGAAGAGACTGCATAGTGCTAACAGCTCAAGGTTTATGAGAAGACATATCAGCCATTAACCAATTATTTTCCTAAACCTTAGTTATTTGTTTAGCACCTAATATGCTCTAGGCTTGCAGTAACAATAGAAAGAAGAAAATCTGTATATATACCTATTTTTATATTCATCTATCTAGCCATCATCTATCCATGTAGAGAGATAGAATAGATAAATCATGTATAAGTGTGTGTGTCTATGTGTCATCTATCTCTATTGATTGATCTATTTGTATCTTTATCTCTATCTTTCACACACATTATCTGTAGCTATCTACCCATTTTTCCTCATCCTTTTATCTATCTAATCTATCATCTATCTATATCTGTTTATTGATCTCTATCTTCATCTCTATCTCTCTCTTTCTCACACATACATCTATTTTCTATATCTTCCTATTAATCTATCCATCCACATCTCTATATCTATTTGTCTATCTATCTATTTTGTATGCATTGACAGACTCTTGTGAGCCAGGCACTGTGAGAAGTACAATAGGTACTAAGAAAAAAGCTCCTGTCCTCAAGAGGCACTCAGGGTCTCATTTGACAGTGTTAAGGGGAAACCATCTCTGTTCACGTACTGCTTCCCCCAACTTCTCATGCAGCCGGATCCTTCTGACCTGTTTACTGGGAAGCCATGTCTAACTTTCTTCTCACTCCAGAGAATGAGTTGATGATCCACTTCTTGGATCCAATGACAGTTGTCACATTTTATTAAAATGTGTTCCTCACATCTTTTGTCAGTACTACCTATTTTCCCTGGCACAAAAGAGGCTCTCAACACATGTCAAGTCCTCACCATTCATTTGGGTAATACCTTAACTGTGCATAGTCCTGATTGAGCCTGGCCACAGCAAGAAATAATTATTTAACAATGCAAATGGCCCAATCTGAGTCACTTGCCTCTCAGTTACCCACAGTACAGAATGCTAGGGGACATTTATACTTATAGAGATTATGTGCATGTTGAAATTTCCTCATACCTAGTGTACTTCTTGGTCATTTTTTTCTACCTAGCTGATAACATATTTCAATTAAAAAAATCACATTTATCTTCACATTAGGAAATAAGACAGGGAAAACTTTATATACACATGCTTATCTATGGCAGCATTGAGCAATGGAAACATCATTGACTTCAGATTCAGATGAACTAGGTTCTAATAGCTGGCTCCTACCTGTGATGATTGTATGACTTGGGTAGTGTGACTTAATCAGTGAGCATCTGGGAAACATGGAATCAGTGTCTATCAGCAGCACTGTTTTAAGGACTGAAGGAGGTAACATGAAAACAGCTGAGTGGCACATTGTAGGTCCCAAACTAGCAAGGGTTATTAGTATTATTACTATTAACTTCAAAGCAATACATACTGCCAGATTGCCTACTATTTCATTTTCACTGGTGAGTAGTATTATAGTATTATGTATAAAATAACAACATCAGTATCAGCAATTGAAACTAGAGACCCAAAATTCCTCAAGTGAGAGGCTATTATGTTGTGGTAGAATTGCTCAAAGAAGTAATGTGCAACCTATTAAAATGATGTTTATCAAATGAAATACTGATTTCATGCTAAATGGAAAACCAAATACACAATTTAATTAAAGCATGAGAGCAACTATGATCTAAAACTGCTCTTAGAGAGAGCTGAAAGGAAAAATAATAAAATGCTAACGATGGTTTCTAAGGCTATAAGCGATCTGGAAAACCATTTCCTTCTTATATTTCATTTTTAAATTTCTACAATTAGCATATTCACACTTAAAATGAATATATTTTTATTTAAAAATTACGTATCACAATCCTAAAAATCTGTGTCTGTTTACTTTAGAAAAGTTTTTTTGTATGTGTGTTGCTCACCTGAGGCAGCAGGAAAGACGGTCCTAAAAGTTAGGAGCCTCTTCTGCCCTAAATATGCTGGGGACATCTTTGGTGTGTTACGATGTCTTCCCATCAGCAAATGAGGTCTTAGATCTGTATCAGCCCAAACAGTAAAGACAGTGGATCACAATCACAAAGGTAGAACAGAAGAATAGGCAACTCTTCTACTCTAATGCTCTTTTCCAAGATAATTGGTCCTTGGGGGAGGAAATTTAGAGTTCATATGAACAGAGGAACTGAAACTCAAACACCGAAAGAGACACCCCTGGTGGTGAATGCAAATATGGGGACAGGAGGGAAGAGATTTCTTACAGAGCTTTCATGATAGGCTCTGTTTGGCATAGAATAACTCCATTTATATCCGTTCATATGAACTCTACGTTTCCTCCCCAAAAACCAATTATCCTGGAAAAGAGCACTAGAATAGAAGTCTTGCCTATTCTTCTGTTCTATCTTTGTGATTGTGATCCACTGTTTTTACTGTTTGGGCTGATACAGACGTAAGACCTCATTTACTGATGAGGAGACACCACAACACACCAAAGATGTCCCCAGCATATTTAGGGCAGAGGAGGCTCCTAAGTGCGAGGGTATACGTGAGAAATTCTTAACCCTAATAGAATGCTCCAGGAGTTTGAATTAGTTGTCCATTCACATCTCCTGCGTCGAGAAACCCAGTGGCAAGGAACTTGATGGAAGTTGTTAATGACTGGAGTATAAACACATATAGGACATCGAGTGGCCTGGGCAACTCCTAAAAACACCAGATTCATGGGAAGACAGAGGCATCTTTTGAGAAAATCATCATACCTCAAGAAATCAAGCCCAGAGTGTCAGATGGGGCCACAGGCACGTGGTTTGAGAAACGGAATCAGGAATAATGGAAGACTATGCCTGGCTGTATCCCTACCTCTCTAGGACTATAGTTAAACAAAAGGTGGGGAGAAGACTCCTTTCTCTGAAAGAATTGCTCAAAGCTCAAAGGAATTCTCCTGCTGGGCCCTGAGGAAGAAACACACTAGCATTCGCGTTTGCAACCTGGTGGCCAGCAGAGGTCAGCCCAGCATCGTGACCATCTGTACTGTCAACTACTAAGAAAGAGTGCTGATGGGTGCAGCAAGCCGCCGTGGTATGTGTATACCTATGCAATAAACCTGCACGTTCTGCACATGTATCCCAGAACTGAAAGTACAATAAAATTAAGGGAAAGAGCACTGTTGCTACAGCCGAGGACTGAGAATAATCAGCATAGCTGAGAATTTAGAGCGCTGCTGGAAGCAGCCCTATCTCGAGGCCCCTAAAAGAAACTGGATAGAGACATATTCTGAGGGTAGATGGGTAAGTTCTTAGGTCACTAGCATTTATAGGAGCTTGAGATACATCAATGAACACAATTGACAAAGTGTCTTCAAGGAGTTTATATTCTACTAGTGGAGAGATAACATGGGCAAATAAAAATATGTAATACAGTGTAAGGTTGCAGAAGAATGAATGAACCAGGGGTGCTATTTTGGGAGGGAGGTTAGGGAAAGTACCACTAAAACAGAGACCTGCCATTCAACTACCCTGACAAGCTCATCATTTAAGAGAATCCCATGATAAATTTACATCATAAAGAAACCTAGAGCAAATTTTCACCTCATTCCCAAAAATTTCTGTTATAGTGTAAAAGATATTCAATATGATAATTTAAAATACATTGTTACCACCAAATACTTTGTTTCATTGTAAGGCATCAAAAACATAGTAAAAGTCATCAATTACTAGTAGAAATGGTATAAAATATTTATGGCACATTTAATAAATACCACAATGATTGTAATACACAAAATCTCCTTAATTTTATATGTTAGTTTAGGAAAATTTGAAGGTTTTTGCTTTGGGTTTTGTTTTTGTTTTGTTTTGTTTTGCTTTTTGGTTGTTTATGAAATGTGTAAGCCTGTCATCTAAGAAGCTTATATTCAGTACTTACTTACATATTGAGTCCCTGAAAAATGCCTGCACTTTCCTAGATTTGGGGATGAACAATAAGGGAGTGAGGCACGGTTGCTGTGTTCAAGTACTTCACGATAGAGTATTGGATTTGAAATCCCAGCAGTTTATTTCTGTGAGGCCATTCTTAATAATGTGAGCAAGAAAAAAATAAACAAATAAAATAAACAGAGCCTTCTAATAGCAACGTTAATCTATCTTTCTCTGTCACTAAGAATCTTATTGAAAGTATCATGCTCTGTGAAATCAAGTTAAAGGATTAGAGAGTGGCTAATTCTTTGTGGACATGGGCACTAGTTCATACAGGCATATGCTTCTGCTGACTGAAGACTATGACTGGGAGGGGTCTTGCTGAATAAGGATGTTCAGCTTCTATGGATGCTGCCAAAGTTTTCTAAAGGTTTTTCATCAGTTTGCTCTTCCACTATCCATGTACAAGAACTCCTGTTGCTCAGCAATCTCATCAACTTTTAGGATTTTGCTAATCTTGTGGTCATGTTTTACTATTCTCCTCTTTCCCTGTCTTCCCCTCCCTACACTTGTAGTGACTAAAGCCTGCATCGTTGTCCATTAGGCCACTTTCTTTTTTCTTCTCCCTACTAGAACCTGTTTCCTGCCGTCTTTGAGTAGGAAAGGATCTGATAACCAAATGTTTTTTAAATATCCACAATTAAAAGTTGCTTAATGTGTTTCTTTCTGTCTTCAGCTCTCATGCTGCCCAGCCAGTGTAGTTGAAGTCAGATGCCAGGCGGGCCAGTATAGACACAAAATATTCCAGGACCCCTACTCCTATCAGTAGTCACTAATAAGATCATTGATCTCAGCCTTCACATTGTAGTCCTTCCAATGGCTGGTGACAGGAAAAAAAAAGTCACTAAGAATAAAAATGTTTCTATTTCTATTTCCTGCAACTAAATAAAAACACATAATCCTTTGCATCCCAAAACCGTCTTTGCAGTTGTTATTTTAGCAGGAAAATCTTACTGCCATCTCTACATCAGAGACAGCTACTAAGTTCTATAGTAAGTTTAGCTCTAAAAAGTCTGTAATTTTATTGAATAGTTTGTGGCCCTTTTATTGCTATGTAAATTTTTATTTATGTGTACTAAATGTAAATTGTCAGGTTTTTTATTTTGTTGTTGTTGTTCTTTCTTTCTTTCTTTCTTTTTTTTTTTTGGACATTTTCCTTATGTCCCATATGGCTTTGCTGAATTTCTTACTTAAAGAAATGCCTAAAGAAATGTAAATATTTACATATTTCTTATTTTAAAAAGTACCTACTTAATTTAACACTGTTGATGTCCTGTGATAAAGAACTATATATAAAACCCCGAAATAGAAGTTATAAGTTATTATAAATAAAATTGAAAGCAAGAAGCAATTTAGAATGTAATATTTGCAACAAATGACTAGAATCTTTGTTTTATGAATCTCTCTCAAAACTCATTAGGAGAAAAAGTTTTATGGTAGGACATGGGTAAAGGATTTTAAAAGGCAACTTAGTTTTAAAAATAAAAAATTAGAATAGCTAATGTAAAAAACACTTCAGGCACAACAGTAATCTAAGAAACATATTAAAAAGCAGTGAGAATAGATTTTTTAAAATCTATTATATTAGCAAATATTAAATAAAATAAACCAGTATTGGCAAAAATGTAGAGACTTGTTATTAATGAAGCAGATATTGATAAACAGCTGAAGAAAAATTAAAACTTTGCTTTCTGACAAGGATGCTGAGCTTTGACCTTGCCTTCATCCCCTCTTTTCTTGAATTGTTCGTAGAGGACATACTCTTTGCCCTGACACATTTTTTCCGCTGGACAGCTCCACATCTTGGTACTATTTGGAGGAAAGTTTGACTGAGAGTGTAGAGTTGATTCAAACTCCTCTTGGCTAATTTTTGTATTACAGCTTTATTGAAATATAATTCACATACCATAAAATTCACCTCTTTATAGTATGAAAATTAGCAGTTTTTAGTATACTCAAGAGTTATGCAAACACCGCTACTATCTAACTTTAAATAATTTTTCTCCCCCAAACACAACCCCACCAAAAAAAACCCCACTCTCATCAGAAGTCACTCCCACTACTTTCTAGGTTGATTGCACCGGGAAAAATAAAA
This sequence comes from Homo sapiens, assembly GCF_000001405.40. Lineage (NCBI taxonomy): Eukaryota > Metazoa > Chordata > Mammalia > Primates > Hominidae > Homo > Homo sapiens. Next base: position 48,872,441 of record NC_000007.14, on the reverse strand, counting down.
TACAGATTCTCTTTAGACAAACATACCCTCAATCCAGGCTCTTGATATTCCCAAAGATTCAGATGAGTCAGAATTAAATAAAAACTAAAAAGTTAATAAAACAAAACAAGCAACTGTGAGAAAGAATAAGCACACACAATGAAAACCAGATTTAGAGCTCAAATAATTCAGATATTAGGATGAACAAAAACAAACTAGAAAAGGAATATGTCCAAAATGCTTAAAACATAAGAAAAGTAATTGAATACTACAGGAATGAATAAGAGATTATTATAAATATTATGACTGTTTAAAAAATTTTTTGAAATAAAATATAAACATTAAAATAAAAATATAGCTGGGTTGAAAAGTACATTAGCCATAACTGAAAAAATAATTATTGAATTAGAATATGTATTAGAAAAAAATCAACAAAATTACAACACAGAAAAATGAATTTTTTAAATATAAAGGAGGAATTAATATCTATGAACAAGTGAGCAGTTCTAATACATATCTCATTGAATTTCAGAAGAATTAATAGAATATAAGTGAAAGAGGCAATTCTCAATTTTCTAGAATTTGATGAGGACACTTCTTGAAATTCTAAACAGGATAAATTAACAATGTTAATTCTGAGACTTCAGTGGTCAATAATTGTAAGAATAACATAATAACCAGAAATCCACAGAAGCACAGTCATAGTGAAACTGTAGAACTCCAAAGCAAAAGCTACTCAAGAACAAAAATTACATGGACCATAGATGCTTTTAGTAGCAGCAATGGAAAACTGGAACTTAGTAAAATAATATCATCAGAATGGTGTGAGAAAACCAGAAGCCTGTAATCCTGTACCCAATTGTCACTCAAGCATAGTCCAAGCAAAATGCAATTCACAGGCTTGTTAATTCATCACCATCCCTCTGATAAGGCAGCAGAATATTTGATCTGGGTGGTATACATTGTTGCTTTCAACTGAATTGATAATGTTTTATTTCTTAAGGACTGTATTGGGCAAATAAATTACTTTACACAATTGCTATAGAGTAGTTGAAAAAAATAAACTAAATTGAAATACACTCATGTAGTAAGAGCTCAAAATATATTGCTGATTATAAAAAGTTTCAGACTATTATAGACAAAATATCCATGTTTATATGGAAAATAAATATTATTCTCTATAGTTATATTTGTATTAAATGCTCTGAAAAATGACTGGAAGAATATATAGAAAATTTGATGATGGTGGTTATCTGAGGCAAAAGAAAAGGGAACAAGTGAAGCTGAAAGGTATTTTATATTTTCCTGTGTTTTTTTTTAAAAGACAATATATGCAAAGATGACATATATACCTAAAATATAATCTCAAAGAACAGAAGAAAAGAAAAAAGACTGGTATAGCAGGGAGGCTTTGAAGTGAGGAAAAAAATTAAAGAAAATTAAAAATAAATAGGCTTACATTTTTCATCCTCTGCTGCTAGATAACTGATATCATAGGTATTATTTAACTCTACAAGAGGGAGTAAGTATATTGCACTCACGTCTATGTCCCCAGCTCCCTAGCACCTAACATGAAGTCAGGTATATAGCAGGCAAGCAAGAAATGTTTGTTGAATGCTTAAATCTAAAAATTTTATTTACCTGCCATGAGAATTAAATAAAACAGAATAAGAAATAGGTTTGATACACACAGAGTAGGGACCTCCCCAAATGTTAATTCCATCCATCTTTTATGCAGATGAACTGTCAAGTCTCTCTGTAGCTGTTTTCTCATTTGTCAGTTCCAAAAGGAATTGAAAACTGGAGGTTTCTGCCTAGTTTCCTTCCTCATTCTCACAGCCTTGGTTATTGTCTCCACCAACTCGGTTCATTGACCTACAAATGCCAGCTTCTCTTGAATGTTTTCCATCTCTTTCCCAGACCATCCACAGCTGGCAGCCAAGCTTTGCAAGTTTTATTTCCGAAATGCTTCTCAACTTCTTTCTAGGTACAGAAGACCACCTGCACCATCTCTTGCTGGGTGAGAGCTACTCTCTGCAGACGTAGTCACAGCTGGTATTTCACCAGCAGATGCCATGATTCAATTCCACCATAATGACATTGGGTAGTCTTTGTCAACTCTCCTCCTTGTGAGGAGGATGTAAAAACACTTCAGAAACATACTGGAAATCTTCATGAGTAGGTAGGTTGTTTCTCATTGTTTATCATTTAAAATGAAGGCACAATGAAAAGTTTTATAAATATTTGATGGAAACTTACAATTCTCATTATCAGGATTATAGGGTTAAAGGAGTTGCATGTTATTGAGACTCCTAATACCAAACTGCACCTAGAATGCCTCTACTAATTTATACACTCTCTCACATTAGTGTCTGAGTATGCTAATCTTTACATACCATTGCTAGCACTGAAAAACTACCATGAATGTTATTTTCATTCGCTCTCTTTAACTCAAAAATCAAAATCAAATCAAAACAAAACAAAGCCTTTCATATGTTTATTAGCCATTTGAATTTAGTCATTTGTGGATTATTTTTGTGTCTCCTTTGCCCTTTTCACTTCTGGACATTAGTACATTAGTGCTTTCCTATTCATGTATATAAATTCTATGTATTTTTAGAATACTCTCCCAATGCTTGTATTTGTCCTCTGCATGAATTTTAATTATCTTTATGTTGCTTTTCATGTACAGTGCTTTTTAATTTTTTTAATCATCCATTTCTTTAATTTATTTTATAATTTTCATCATTTGAATGTTATCCCATCTGCCAAAGCAAATAAATATTATTCTCAGTTTTATCTCAATTGTTTTGTGACTACTTTTTAAAAAATACATTTTGACTTTTCTCTCCCAGCCAGTATTTATTCTGGTGGCAAATTAACCAAATTCTCCTGATAGATTATTTCCTCAAGAAAATTCATTAAATAGTTTCATACATTCACTATCGATTTAAATGTTCATTTATCAGTTATTAATTTTAATTTACGTTAGTTTGTTTTCCTGGGCTTCACATTCTGAGCAATTGATCTATTTGTCTCTTCTTGAAAAATGACCTCAGTGTTATAAATATTGTTAAGATTAAAATACATTTATTATCTTATAATTTAAGTTCTCTCTTCACTTTTCTACATCAAAATTTCTTAGCTATTTTTGTCTCTTTATGCATACAAAGATTAAAAACTACAGAAAGAGAAAAAAGGAGTAAAAAGTCGGAGAACAAGACAAGAAACTGTTAGAATACTAAAGAAGATGTAGTATTCTCCCGCACAGTCTGGACTCCAGCACTGCCATTTTCTGACCTACTTCCAATCACTGCTGAGCCAAGCTGGATCAGTTACAATTCTGAGGCTGTCCAGCATCACCCTTCTGCTCTGATTTGTAGCTGAAGCTCAAAGCTGTCTTTCATCTCTGCTACCTTACTCTGTGCATGCAAAAGAGGAGAAGATTGCTCCAGAGAATCGGCAACTCACCCAAGGGCAAATAAATGCTTTGTGGAAGTTTTCAGCCTCTGTGCGAATCTTGCAATTATAGAGCTGAACTCAAGATAGAAGATGGATTTCTTTTCCTTTATTCCAAATCTTACTGAGAAATCTAGGTAATATTATGCAAATTGCTTAGGATAAAAGACAACTTGAAAGCCAGTGGTTTGGGAGAGGGTATAGCCAGGGAAAGTGCTGGTATTAGAGAGAGTGATTGATCGGGACCAAGTCCTCTGAAGTGTTCTAAGGCAGTCAAACCCATCACTCTCCCTTTTAGTGCTTTCAAATATCCAGTCACTGGGTCTCAGCAATTTGGGTATTTTCAAATACTTGTCATGGAAACCTATGTTTTGCAGAAAAGGCCACAGAGAGAAAAATTCATTCTTTCATACAGCAAATACTTACAATATTCAAAAACAAAAATTATGATTCCATATAGGAACTATGAAGTAGGTTAGTAGTCAAATGTTGTCACAACGTGGAATATAGGGTAGTAAGAGTTAGCTCATGTGAGTCAGCTGGCAGAACTAGGCTGTCATTATGAACAGATAGGCATAATGCCACAGCCAAAGGCAAGGCAGGGCGAATGTGTAGAGTGTGTTTAACAGATCTATAGATCAGAGGAAACTGAGTAACTCTGAGAAAGCACATAGCATAATCAGAGGATCCAGTTAGAAAGAATGCCCTAACAGGTTTGCATCAGGATTGCAGGAGCAGGGAAACCAGAGGCTGAGACAGCTCCAAGATGGATAGAATCCACAGAGATAGCCATGGTGCTTCAGTCTGAGTTTTAAGACCCTCCTAGAATATTGGTCACTCCATTAGGCTGAGCATCAGTGTCTCCTTCTGAGGCTTCTATAACTGCAGACCCTTGGACTTTCTCCTGAAACTCCTGATTCAGAAAGTCTATGATAAAGCCTAAGGAGCTACACTTTGAAAATCAAACTCTCCAAATAATTCTGAAGTTCAGCCGTGTGCAGGTGTACTGGTGTGGACCAAGTGTTCATTGTTCACATTGCTGTTCGAGGAATGGACTCACACTGCCCTATTAGATTAATGTCTTCTCATTTGTCTATATTAGAGCACAGATTGAAGAACCATGTTTTAAACTCTGCCTTTAGATGCTAACAAATAGTTGTCCTGAAAAGATGGTGTTTCATCAGACTATCGTGGCTTTCTTCTTTGATATTTTATTATGTGGAGACACTACAAATTGATCAGCTAAGTGAGGGACTAAGGTGTTGGTTATATATGATCAATCATATGAAAATAATGAAGTGAAAGACAAGGGCACTTGGAGGCTGGTGGAGGATGGGAAGCTCAGTGACTACTTCCGTTCTTTACCGCAGCTGCTAAACTAGCTCTTCTCTCCTTGGTGTTTCCACACTCTGTACATCACAGCTCCTTTGACACATGCACGGTATTTGTATGGTCTCCCTCTTCTCCCCCCTCATGTAAACACACACATTGGATGGTAAGCCAGCAATTGTGACTAGTTTTTCTGTCTTTCTAGAACTGGGTATATTGCCTGATATACTGAAATGTTTTAGCCAATCAGAAATGTTACATGAATAATAAAATGCAGCATGTGAGCAATGTAGCTGGCTTTCCTATTAATGCTTTATTCATGGTAGTTTTTAAAAATTGAGATGCTGTGATGACACAATAAAGCCATTGATTCTTATTCACTCTCTCTATTTAATAGCAATCTGTACTCTGGTGTATATCAAACTAAAACCATGCTTACCTCCACACCTACAATCTACAACTGAGGGTTACTGCCAGACATGCACTGACTATGATGGTCTGGTTTGCACTTTTCCACTCAACTTGATCTCCTGCAAATGAGTTCCCTAAGCACTGGGCCTTATCGCTCTATGCTCTCATGGTCTCTACCTCTTACTTTAGTAACCTGTTTGAAGGGTGATGCTTTGAAGCTCTGTTCCCCAAAATGCTTAACAGTTGAAGTTCTAAACTTATTTTAGAACCTAATTCCTTCTGACATAATCTCAGGTTTTTTCTTCTCCCATGTCCTCATTCCCTATAAATATAAATATGTTTGTTCTTTTTTTTTTTTTTTTGAGATGGAGTCTCATTCTTTCACCCAGGCTGGAGTGCAGTGGCATGATCTCAGCTCACTGCAAGCTCCACCTCCCAGGTTCACACCATTCTCCTGCCTCAGCCTCCCAAGTAGTTGGGACTACAGGCACCCGCCACCACGCCTGGCTAATTTTTTGTATTTTTTTAGTAGAGACAGGGTTTCACCGTGTTAGCCAGGATGGTCTCGATCTCCTGACCTCATGATCTGCCAGCCTTGGCCTCCCAAAGTGCTGGGATTACAGGCGTAAGCCACCACGCCTGGCCCGAATACGTTTGTTCTTAATCATTGCCATAATCTCCAATTTCTGCCTTCCTTACCATTATAAGCATAATCATGATAAAATATTATCATTTCCTAGACCAATAGTGTCCTTCTGACTTATTTTCCTTTCTCCAGAGTCCAGATAAACTCTTCAAAACTCAATTGCTGCCTCGGTTCCCTTGTCTTCTTACCCTCTGCCTAAGGCATCCTAGGAATGTTTATCTTGGCTCTACCTTTATCCTGTACTTCTGCTTTCCTGTAAGTAGACTAGTCCTACCTGTGAAGCACCATTTTTCATTCTCAGTACATTGTTGACTATGCATATCAAAGAACTATATGATAAAGTACACCATGATTTTATTACTAGTATGGTTTCTGATTGTGTTCTAGCCACACATCATTAGTCCTGCTATTAAGAAAACTAGTACCATTCATTTCCAAGACAAATAGGTGTCCCTACCTAAGGCATTGAGAGATAAGGCCATGCATATTCATAAGGAAAATTTTCTCCTCCCAAAGATTTAACTGATTTTTCTCTTTAAGCTTCTATAGTAAAAATGACCAGAAGTTCAGGGAATAAGATCAAGCCCAGAATCACATCATTCCTGACTGTGAAAAACAGATCTTTGGTATCTATATAACCCAAGAACATGGCTTGGTTTCATACGTGAACTGAGAATATTAATATTTATATAGTAGTCATAAAAACAAAATGATATCACTTGCATATAATTCGATGATGTTCAACACTGTATCTTGCATATGGTAAGTGCTTAGTGCACAGTTTTCTTTCCCCTAAGATAGTGCATCTCAAGTGATGTTTGTTTCATAAAATTGGAGAAGGGAATTTAAGTCATTTTATTGTTTCATATATGAAGTATTTAAGCTTTGTGTTCCAAATACGTCATTGGTAAGACCTATCCTTTGTGCAAGGAACCCTGAAAGATTAACTTAAGAGGACCTTACTTTAGCAATGAATTCCCATAGACAGATGGCACCCCTGATGGATCACTGTATATGCCACTAAGTCCCACTTTGGTCAGGAGAGTTCATTACAGAAGGCTCACTCTCACCCATTCTGCTGTTTGCTGCACATTCAAACTTCTAAGATTATTCAATGCTTTCTCATTTTAATTAAAGTAATTTCATCCAAATGAAGCCATATAGTATGTCCAATTTTACAATGTGCTGATATTTTGCAACTACATGCAACATTTGTGTTTATATTACATTTGTACACCTATTTCTTTGTGTTTTGATTGCAAATTAAAAGGTGAGCTTGGAAAGATGACATTAAATTTTGGTAATGAATATATGCAGTTATATCAAGTTCAGCTAGTTCATCTTATAAATAAAGTACTTTTAAGCAGAAATCCAGACAATCTTTCATGGGAGCATTTCAGAGGTAAACGTTAGTCCCTCTCTGCACCTCTGCCTCCTTCCGTCTCCAGCATGCAGCCCCCAGGCAGCTGTCCTGACAGATGTCTACTCCACAAGGGCTAGGCTGGACTTTGGGCATAAAATAACTTAAAAGAGGGTACAGCTAGACCCTAGCTGTTCTCCAAATCAAAGTTTCCCCAAAAGCAGGTATTGGATTAGGAGATATGAGAACTATTTTCCACCCCTAAGCCAAAACTGCCCATTTTAGAATGTTATCACTTCTGTATATAAGTCGCTATAGACTTTTCTAGCTAGCACTTTCTGTGGCTACTTAATGAAAACACCCAAGGGACCCAGAAAGTTATTCTTTATTGTTCCTTAAAACTAGGGGATGATGGGAAGGGTATTTAAGCTCCTCAGAGAAAACAAATGGACAGTGCTGCTGTCTCTCCTTCCCACCCCCACCCCCAAATCCCTTTAATTTTTTTCTTTCTGTGAACCAGGTCACATGATGATCAACTCTGTGGTTGGAAGTCAGGAATCTTCAAAGGAGTGGGATGATTCTGCAAGAACTCCCACATTCTTAGTGATTGCACAGTACAGTCTGGTCAACCCTCCTGAAAAGGACAGCTGCTTCATCTCGATAAACCCATCGTCATAAATCACACGATGGAATATTACACAGCAATGACAAGGAATGAACAACGGGCCATAAAACCACATGAGTAAAGTTCAAAAACATTCTGTGGAGTTGAAAAGTACATGGTGTAGGAGTCAATTTATGAAATTCAAGAACATGTAGAGCATGGTATGACAGAAGTCAGCATAATGAATACTTCTGCTGTGAAGATTGACTGGGGAAAAGGATGGAAAGACTTTCTGAGTGACAGAAACAGTTTGTATCTTTATCTCATTGAAAGTCAGACAGCTAAAAATTGACCTGGATGCACACTTCAGATTTCCACATTGCACTGTATTTACATAACACTTCAATTTTTAAAGGCAAAGGAAAGAAGATGGTGACCCCTGTGGTAGTAGTGGATGTCTCTCAGTGGTCTGAATTCTAGAGATTTTCCTGGCATTAGGAAAAAAATGCAGGATTTTTAACACATACGGCCAAGAGAAGTTGAAAAACATAGCTAAAATGCGCTTAAAACAAAACAACACTAAACATTAGCATAGGTTTTGTACATCCTAGTTCCTCTCCCTCTCCTTCTCTTTCTCTCTTTTGTTCAAATGCTGGAAGTGAACAACAATTGTTTTGATATTAAAATAACTACACAGTGTCAACAATGTTTCCTTCATTGAGTTTTGAGGCTACAGCAATGACAAGAAAAAATGGACTTTCACGTTAAGAATCTCACCAACTAAAAGGGAGCTATAGCATCTTTTATAATATTAAGTTGCATTTGCTGACTGCTACCTATTTACACTCAACTATACACTTACAAAGTTCTACCTGCTTTTTTGTATTAACTATTTTAACACTCACAACCAACATTGAAGGAGTTAAATATCTTGCCTCAAATCAAAGAATTAATAAATGGTAAAGGCAATATTTGAAGCAGACAGTGTATTTCTGGAGACTATTCTCTCACCCACTACATGCTATTAACATTCAACCATGCTATGAGATAAACAAAGAAGTTCTCTCCTGGTTTGACTTCTGTGGCATCTGTTTCTTTTCTTTTTTTTTTTTAACCTTTCCCCTTCTCTTCTCTACTTTTTACTTTCCTCTCCTGATTCACTTTCATCTGCCTGCCTGTTGAATATCAATGTTCCACAGTTTATTTCCTCGGCCTTAGTTTCTTCAAATTCTGGAATTCCATCCAGAAAGAAACATCATTTATTGCCAGTTTCAGTCACCATATGTCTTTCTTTCTGGGGAACACATCTACCTGCATTTCCAGAGGCAATTTCAACTTATCTGGTCTGTCATTTAACTCTATATCTTTCTTCCAAAGCTTGTTTCTCCTACCACGAAAGTTGGACCTTTCACTCAACTTGAAGTCTTGTCAGCACCTTTGACCAGCTTTACACCCTAATCCTCCACAACAAATGCACAGTGACCTCCTGTCTCTCATACCCTTCCCCTCCACTCCCCTAACATTACCTTGGCTCAGCTCTCATCTCTTACCTGAATTGTTGTAACATCCCCCAGTTTCACCCATCCAAATACATTTCCACACTGTGGAGAACACACAGGAAGCTTTCTAAATTTCAAATGTGTTCATTCTACTCCCTTGCTTTAAAACCTACATTTCCCACAGGATAAAGTCCACATTTTATGGCATGAAAACCTTTGCCATCGTGCCCAGATGTTAATGGTGGAAGTGCCAGCCTAGGCAAACCTAGGCAGGTACACTAGGTTGGAAACCGTGTCAGGAGCAATGTAGGAATGAGGATTAAAGCCACAGGTAAAGTCAAGTCAGAGGTCTTTGGAAAGTCTTTATGAAAATGGATGAGGTGGAGGCTTGGTACTGACACTTTGAAATGTTTACTTGCATCGTTCGTTCATCATTCTCAGGAAAAGCGGCAACCTGCAGCTGGGTTCTAAATAAGATTTCCAGTTTCGTCCAGTCCATCCCAGATGCAACCAGGTGCTCTCTACCTTCAGAGGAAAGAAATATCTAGTCCATCAATCACTGCCCCCCTTCCAATATTCTAGGGTATGCCCTATTTTCCCATTAGTTCTTGGTTTAGGCTACTTCTTTCCCCTGCCCTTGGCTTCCTTTGTGTCGGGAGAATTGGCTCACCAAATTCCACTTTTCCTACTGTGATTTTATTATAAAGATAGAAAAAGCTAAGTGTTCATGTTCCCAGCCTTCAGTGTAGCTTCTGACAGTCACGTAACATAAATGTGCTCAGTCCAGCATTCACAGAACTCTGCTGATGCCTCTCTTTCTATTCCTTCTTCCTGCTTGGAATGCAGATGTGATGTTAGAATTGGATCGGAGAAATTGTGACTCTTGGGGCCATGAACCCACCCACTTCACTCAGAGTTATGGGAAGCTTAGTATGAATGTGCTACATTGACCCTGGCTCAGCTGCCTCTGGGCTCCCTGGGAAGTGAGGGAAGCAAAGCCATATTTGTTAAGGGGAAAGTTGGAGTCGCTCTCGGCTCCACACAGCTGAAAGCATTATTAACTGATACAGCCTTTTTCATTCATAAATTATAAGGAAGGCATAATTGTCCTTACTTCACAGACATCTCATAGAATAGAAAAGCTAAGTAAACTAGTTTATCTTGGAACAAGATTGGAAACTTCTTATCTGAAACTAAAGAGGTCATTTTCCAATCTAAGGTCAGTCCCAGTGCAAAGACCAGCAGTTGTTTTTGTTCTCTCTTTTGGAGATAAGGAAATTGTGGCACACAGAAGCTTTGAGTCTTGCAAGTATCATAAACCACGTTCTTTCTCTGCCTCTCTTCTTAATCTACTTATTTGCCGTACCATTCTACTCAACACAGCCAATCAGAATAAAGTCTTTGTCACTCTTTTAAATCAAGAATGTATCTTAGATATCAGTGGGAATATTTTATTAAAAATACAGCACTAACAGTTATAGATTTTATCTATCTTTGAGGATTCTTTTGTGTATTATTTCTAAGGTATCAAAGAATAATGGGCCATTTCCCTAAAGGATATTTAGTATTTATTCTACTGTAAAAATTGCTAACACTGTTATTAAATATATCAGAAAATGTTTCCCTGTTTGACCACTGTTTTTGAATTGTGGCCATAGAATCATTAATTAGTTTTTATTTAGGTACTCAATATTTTATAATCTGTTCACTGAGCATGATAAAGTAATTAAAATCAATCAGACTGAAAAGCTACAGAGCAACAGATGTTAATACCGATTGTAAATGACTGAAAGAAGCTGAGGAGCAATCTGAGGAATTAAAGATAATTCTTTGATATGCATTTAGGATATGCCACTTCTATAACCTCATTGAAGGGGATTCCACTCCTTTATGCAAACGTGTCATTAAGAAGAGACCCCCTCGTCTCTGGAAACCTCCAAGATCTCAATACCTCCCTGCATCCACATTTATTTTCCTTTTTTTACTCTAGTATTCCTGTCTCTGTGACATCCTATTGTTTCCCAATTTAATTTCCATCTTGAATACTATTTCCTGATTTGATCTCTCATCTCTGCTGCCAATCCCCTGGATTCATGACTGCAGCTCATGCAAAAGCTCTCATCTCTTACCTGGAATTAGAAGAGGCACCCAAGCTAGTGCTGAGATCAGAGAGTGGGCCTTCTGTTACATATTAGAGACTAGAACAAGCAGGGATCTTGCCCTATGCTGACAGAGATCACATTTATTTTTAAATTTTGTGTCTGTATGTTTGTGATTCCATTTTATTCCCATTTCTTTTAGGACATATCTGCTAGCCATGAATTCCCTTAGTTTTCTTTGACTGAGAAAGCCTTCATTATTTCTTTTTCACTTTTGCAGAATATTTTTGCTCTATGTATGACAGATTTTTGTGTTTATCTTTCTGTTTTATCTTTCTACACTTTAAGTATGCCATGCCATTGTCTCTTTGCTTGCATAATTTATGATGAGAAGTCTGCTGTAATTCTTATCCTTGTTCCTCTGTGACTAGCATGATTTTTTTTTCCCACTTTCTTTGGAGATTTGCTTTTTGTCCTGGCTTCAGGGGAGTTTGAATAGGATATGGGGTGTGTGTTTGTGAGTGTGTGTGTGTGTGTGTGTGTGTGTGTGTGTTTTCAGTATTAATTCTGTTTTTTTTCCTCTAAACTCCTTAGGCCTGTAGTTTTGTTTATTGGTTTTAGAAAATTCTCAGCCATTATTTCTTCAATTTTTTTTATACTCCCTTCTCCTTTTCTTATTCTCAGAATGCAACTATGCATATGTTACACTATTTGATTGTGTCCCACAGTGTTGGGATGTTCTATTAGTGTTCTGGTTTTGTTTTTCATTTTTTTTCTCTTTGCTTCCAGTTTAGTAAGTTTCTATAAACCTATGTTTAAGTTTACTGATTCTTTCCTCAGCCATGTCCAGTCTACTAATGAGTCCATCAAAGGAATTTGTCATTTCCATTGCTATATTTTTATTTCCAGTATTTCAATTTGATTTTTTCTTATAATTTCCATCTCTCTATTCAAATTATCCACCTGGCACTGAGTGTTGTCATTTTGTCTAGCATTTCCATTGAAGCCGTTAACATGTTAAGCAGAGTTTTCTTTTTCAAATTCCTTGTCTGATAATTCCAACCTCTGTGTCATGGCTCTGTCTAGTTCTAACAATTGCTTTGTCACTTTGAATGACTTTTTTTCTTGCTTTTTAATATTCCTTATAATTTTTTGGTTATAGCTAGACATGAAAAGAACAGCAGATATTAGATAAATTTTATATGTTGGGAGAAAAGCACAAGTTTCCTTGTGTGAGGCCTTAAATGTGGAGATGGATGTTCATCTGGTCAGAAGACAAGCTGCATTTGAAACTGTTTGTGCCATGGGCACCAGCGCTTTCTGGCCACTCCATTGGTGCCCTTTTTTGGCTCCCACTTGACTGAGTCTCCCCATGTGCCTCTTCACAGTTGTATTCCACTGCTACTTTTACTGCTGTTTTTTACAGTGGTGGTGGTCCTGGCTAAGAAGAAGGTTATCTGATGTTCACATTTAGCTAAAGATTTTGGCACGTATCAAAACCTAAGTCCTGGACATGTAGCCTTCACAGCTATTCCTGTCCCTTTTCCTGGGATAAAAATTCTTCCTCATCTTATTGCTCCTCTTCTTTTTCCCAAATTGCAGTGGTTTTGAAGCCTTTTCTCCTGCAGATTGAGACTTTGGTTGCTTAGGGGAAACTGGGATTATGCTTCTGGTTAGAGATTTGGTGGTGATCTCTATTTCCATCTTTCAGTTTAATAAATTAAAACAGTGTCTCAGGGTTAACTTTGATAATTTTCCCTCCAGATTAAGCCTTTTATCCATGAAGTACATAGTTGGAAATAGTCTGGGTAGATTTGGCAGTGGCTGCTTCTTCCACCAACCCCAGCCAGCACTACAGTGTGTGTGGGGAAAGGAGTGAGGGATGAACTTTTTCTAGGTTCTTCTTTGTTCCCCTTTGTAAATGTTGGGTGAGTTCCTGGACAAAAAGGGACTGGAACCTCCCATATTCTCTTTTTTGTTGTTGTTGTTGTTGTTGAGACAGAGTTTTGCTCCTGTTGCTCAGGCTGGAGTACAATGGTATGATCTCAGCTCACTGCAACTTCTGTCTCCCTGGTTCAAGTGATTCTCCTGCCTCAGTCTCCCAAGTAGCTGAGATTACAGGCATGCACCACCATGCTAGGCAGGGTGGCTCACGCCTGTAATCCCAGCACTTTGGGAGGCTGAGGGGGGCAGATCCCTTAGGTCAGGAGTTTGAGACCAGCCTGACAAACATGGTGAAACCCTGCCTCTACTAAAAACACAAAATTAGCCCCTTTTCTCTTGCTCCCTCTCTTGACACATGACAATGGCTCCCCTTCACCTTCTGCCGTGATTGTAAGCTTCCTGAGGCCCTCATCAGAAGCAGATCACCACACTTCCCATGCAGCCTGCAGAAGTATGAGCCAAAATATACCAACTAACTTTATAAATTACCCGGTCTCAAGTATTCCTTCATAGCAATGCAGACTAACAAACGCTACAAACTCAGTTTTCTGATGGGTCCAAGAAAAGTCATTGATTTTCATTTTGCTCAGATTTCTTGTTGCTGTGGGGCAGATATAACGACTTCCCAGGTCTTTTACATGTCTGAGCTGAAACTGGAGTCCTTATATCAGTGGTAAAAATAAATACTCTACTTAATGTTATTCCATTTTACATTCAACGCAATCAAGGAAATTAATTTCTTATACAAGGAGCCTGACCATGTTCCCATTGGAAAGAGATTTATCTAGTAATTTCACTCTACGTAGGTGATTAAATCACATGGGGACAAAGTGAGTGGGCTTATGCTGCACAGTGAATTAGTAAAAGAGCTTCAGATGAGCTGGATTTACATGGACTATTCCTATAACTTACAGCTTGGACACTTTTAGGCCAAACAAAGACTACAACTCATATTCCACTTTCAAGTTGTTATATTTTCCACAAATCAATTACTATCTAAATAATCATCTGCATATAAAATTGTTTACTTTAGCCCTCTCAAAATAGATAATTTGAAGCTAAAATATGAATTATCATCCTCTGTAATTTAGAGAGCATTTTATGTGACAATTAAATGCTGAGCATGGTTAGATGCTTTTGAGAATACACTGTACCATCCTGGTGGCTTATGAGCTTTAGGGGAGAATGATGCATAAATATGAAAGAATATCAAGAACTAAGAGATTCATAGAAGTGCTAAGTGCAGGCCCATTATGGAACATATCAGCTTACAGGCCAGACACTGAAATAATGGGATTATGATAGGTAAGAGTGTCCAGTCCAGGCCAGGTTATTTTAGAGGAATCATGAGAAGAGCCCACTCTGTCCTGGAGCCTACATGGATGGAATTTTTCTGAAACATTTCAAATAAAAGTAAAATAAGCAATCTATCAATTGCCATTAAGTAACAGAAAATTTCTTTATATTATTCCAAAAGTATATCATTAGAGCTGGAATTTAGTAGGTGACCTATAATACTGGTGTTTCTGGTCAGCTATCCTGGCCAACCCCCAGTCTGCTTTTCTAACATGTAACATTAGCAGAGACCATCATTTATCCGGATCTGTGAAGCCTCCCAGAAGAGACTGCAAGGTGAACAGCAGCCAAAAATCAGTGCTGTGGAAAAATGTGAGCTTCTACCTCACATGCCTCCTTTCCTGTTTCCCGCAGTGTTCAGAGATGGCTACTCAAGGTCATGGTTACCCTCACACACAGATTCTGAAGGCTACTCTTGGCTACAATTCAGGTAATGTCCAACAGGGCAAAGTGAGAGACTAGTTTCTTGTCAATAATGATAATCTTTTTTAATACCTAACACCAAAACAGCAATCAATACCATATTGGACTTACTCACTCGTTGGGAATGTTCAGCTAACTAAAGAGGGGTCTGGAATGAAGATTCAGAACAGTTTCAGGAACATATTTATTGGAGTGGCATTCAAATTATAAAACATTGTAAGTATTTGGAGGAGAAAACTTCAAGTTGTATGTGTGTGTGTGTGTGTGTGTGTGTGTGTGTGTGTGTATTGGAATTGAGGGAACATTAGAAATTCCTAACTTAGTAATTAAGCTTCTTGTTATTTTCACTGAAAAAGGAAATCTCAGCCTTATAATTTTCAGCAGATCTAACCCCTAATTTAAATTCTTTGTCTACTTTTCTTCATTTTTTTTTTTTTTGATGAATGCCAGCCAAATCAATAGCACCCAAGCCAATCTCACTGGTAATGTTCTTAAAGGAAATATATACCCAGAATACTTGCCAGGCGTGGCCTAAACAGCTACTATATGCATATTATTTCCAGATTCTTAATGTGTCCCTAGCCCAGAGAAAGGCCTACTTTAGCCTTGTTACAGCTTATATCAAGGCCCAGTCTCAGAAATATTTCTTCATCTCAGAAATACTTTCATGACTCTGATTCTATGAGGAAAGACATCATGCAACATTCAGCCATTGTTAATATCACTTTTTTCTCTTTTTCTTGAACTTACGCAATGACGTTCATAAATATCCATTTTCAATGTATCTATTGATCCATGAATACATTTCTGAAAGGTCATAGAAACTTGAAACTAACTTCTAAGGCTTTAGAACTTTCTTCTTTGCAAAGAACCAAATCTTGTTTATTTTTCATTCACATTAGATATTATAACACAGTCACATGAAATAAAGCAAAATGAGATGAAAAACAGTGTGCTAGTTACTATCATTCTATCATTTAATACTCAGCATAACTCTAGCACATAGGCTATGCTATTTATAATTTCAAAATGAGGAGACAATTTCAAGTAGATTTAGTACATTGAAGTCACATGGTAAAGAGCAGAGGATTTGGGATTTATATGAAGATCTGTTAGCCTTAGAGCAGGGTATTCAGATTTTGCCTTCCTCGGCCACATTATAAGAAGAAGAATTGTCTTGGGCCACATATAAAATACACTAATCATAGCTAGTGACCTTTAAAAAAGATTGCAAAAAATGTCATAATGTTTTAAGAAATTTATGAATCTGTGTTGGGCCGCATTCAAAGCTGTCCTGGCCCACATGCGGCCCGCGGGTTGTAGGTTGGACAAGCTTGCCTTAGAGCCTACATATGTGAAGTAAATTATATTCCATTAAAATCTTAAAGGAGTTTATCATAACCACCAGAAAAAATATTTCTAAAGAATCATATTTTCATAGATAAAACACTTAGTGCCATAGGAAGACCTGCTCATGATGACTAGACACTTCAGAGGCAAAGGAAACAAGCCTTGGTGTAGCCTTGTGCCCTTTCAGAGTGAGCCTTTCCACCCTCTTCTGCTGGAAAAACTTCCACTCAAGCTTAACATCTAGGCTTAACTAAAGCTTAACTTCCACTCAAGCTTAACTAAAGCATTACCTTTCCCCTGAAGACAGACAGGTGGTGGCTCTTTCCTCCGTGTCCTCAGGATTTGGACTGCTTGTAGAATATTTCTGCACCCCCAACACCTAGCTCAGACACTAGAACACAAAAGAAATGTGATAAGTATGTGAAAGAAGAAAAAAGGTGAGATGCTGATCACTGCAAGCCTTGACAACAGTAGCCATATGCCATGACATCCATTTGTCAACAATTTATTTTCCTATTATTTTCTTATTTAAATTCCCCCCCGTTAATGAGAAGCACTTCAGTTAAGTGCTTAATAAACAAGCAATTACTAAATAGACATTAATGGCCTGTTGTATTATTGCCTGTAACATAAAGGGATAGTGAGAGGTACAAATAAAACCCCAACATTCATACATCATCTTAAGGTATTAGAGAGTATTTTATAATATAGGCATTACTTGTTAAGCAATTGCGCACTTTGCTAATTGACTTGGGGTGATGGATGAAAGATTAGCATAAATAACCCCTTTTTGAAGTAAACTAACATTAGCAAGGAAGCCACATGGCACTGGATTTTGACTAATTTGATCAAGAAACGGTCTTCCTTTGTTCATTTATATATAAGTTTGTTAATTTGCCCAAACTAAGCTCAAGTCTAGAAAACAGTACTTCATAGTTGCAAGTAAACCTGAGCGGGGCCTTCTTATCGTAATTGTTTCATTTTGCTTCACAGCTGAGTGTCTTTTCTTCTACTCAGGTGACCAGTTAATCCTGACAGAAGCTCCCAGCCCTCTGTAATTCAGCCCTGTCATCCTTGTGACGTGGATTACCTTTCTGGCTACAAATTGAATCATGGTGGCTTATCACAGTGTTGTTCTCCAAGCCTGGAAGGTATCCTCTGAACAGACAGCATGCCAACCCATGTCACCCTTGCCTTCTTCCCCCACCTCTCATTAAGGTATTGCACAGAGATTGGACTGGAAGTCAGACAGATGTGGCCTGAAGCCCTGGCTCCCCTAACTGTGGAATGGTGCTGTTTTCTCAGTCTCTCTGGTCCTCAACTTCTCTTTATAAAATCGGTGGACAGTGGGAACATATAATAATCTCAAGTACTTAAAAAAGTTTTAACTTCTTCTAAGCTCCTAGTAATTGCTTTTATTTCTCTTACAACATTTTAATTTTTATCAAAATAACACATGTATGGAATTCAAAATGGAAACAAAACTAAAAAGGCAAAAAGACTTTTTCCATTCCACTTTTCCCAATGCCAATGACAGACTGTGATCAATCTTCAGAAAATCTCAAATTAGACTGTAACTTGGATAGCAAACAATGAAGAAGCTTAAAAGAAAGAGAAAAGAGAAAATATAAGGTAAGGTGGTAATTTAAGAAATGCATATAGGAAGTAATTTAACTCAAAATATATTCCACTACTCAGAAGCAGATAATATACATTTTATCCTAGAAATGTAACATAGGATATTGCTCTAATCCAAAACTACCCTGGGAAAATGAAAGGAGGTGGTGAGTGTGTGTGTGTTCAACAATGGTATCCTCATTTTGCATAGCAGCAAGTCAACAGACAATTCTTAAAACTGAAAAACAGGGCCAGGCACAGTGGTTCATGCCCGTAATCCAAGCACTTTGGGAAGCTGAGGTGGGTGGATCACCTGAGGTGAGGAGTTCGAGACCAGCCTGACCAACATGGCAAAACCCTGTCTCTACTAAAAATACAAACATTAATTGGGCATGGTGGCAGGTGCCGGTAATCTCAGCTACTCGGGAGGCTGAGGCAGGAGAATTGCTTGAACCCAGGAGGCGGAGGTTGCAGTGAGCCGAGATCATTCAATTGCACTCCAGCCTGAGCGACAGAGAAAGACTGCATCTCAAAAAACAAAACAAAACAAAAATCTGAAAAACAAGAAATTATGACATAAGCCAATTGTTTTAGAAATACAGGTGGACATCATACTCAGGAGAAAAATGATTAAAGTGATTGTCCCTAGCAAACTAATGTAACCACAAATAAAAAAGTAAAATTACCTAGTTTTTCAAAGCTGTTTATCACATTACAGCAGCTGTGCCCAACTGGTCTCCTCTTTTCTCTCAAAGTCTTTATGTTTTTGTGTCTTTGCTGAATTGTTTAATTCTTTGCTGACGCTTTCTAGTTTTTGTTTTGTTTTGTTTTTTTTGCTGTGTACAGTCATTCCTCTGTATCCATGGGTGATTGATTGGTTCCAGGACCCCTCTTGAATATCAACATATGAGGATGCTCAAGATTCTGACAAAAAAATGGTGTAGTATTTGCATATAACTTATGCACATCTTCCTGTATACTTTAAATCATCTCTAGGTTACTTAGAATACCTAATACAATGTAAATAGTTGTTATACTATACTGGTTTCTTATTTGTATTATTTTTATCGTATTGCTGTTTATTAATTTTTAATATTTTTCATCTGTGGTTGGTTGTTTGTTGGAGCATTTTCAATTCACCTGCCTTAAAATCTTTGTTAGATAATTTTAACATTTGGTTCACCTTAAAGTTGGTATATATTGATTATCTTTTTTTCATTCAGGTTGAGATATCCAAATTTCCTTTTTGTATGGGGACCCAAGTCATATAAGATGATGGGCCCAACCTACTCCGGTATTCTCATACAGTCACATTCTGAAGTTCTGAGGATCAAGACTGCAACACAGAAATCTGGAAGGAGGAACACAATTCAATTCCTAACAGCAGTATAAATGGATCCCCTCTTTAGTATGATTTTTAGACTTTATAGGAAACATTCTCATTATTTCTCAGTTATTTCTGGCATAATGAATGAAGTTTCTTCTGAATGTGGCAAGAAGTGTGAACCACTTGGCTGCTCAAGCACAAATGGGGATTTGCAGGGAGAAGCTGGTGCTGTGGTCTCCATTTTCCTAAGAATGGTGCCAAGAATAAAAAGCAATGAAGGGTTTGTGATAAAAGAGTAAATAGTGTAAAGATGTTCAAACACTTCTACGTAATAAATCTGTATTAAAATGAATATTTGTATTTCCTTAATTTCATTAATAATGAAACAAATGAAGAAAATTAGCCATATGTTGAGTTCATACAATTTTTTAAAAAACACATATTTTGTTTTATTTTATTTTAAAACTTATTTGTATTTATTTATTTTTAAAGACAAGGTCTCACTATGTTGCCCAGGATGGTCTTGAATTCCTGGGCTGAAGTGATTCTTCTACCTCAGTCTCTCAGATAGCTGGGACTACAAACATGTGCCCGGCAAAGATATACAATGTTTTCTACCAATTCTTCTCTATCCCTTCTTCCTGATAGAATACAAGCTTGAAGGCTAGAAGTGCGATGGTCCTCAGCTCATATTAAATTGACAAACATTCCTGAAGTAGTAGTCATAGACTTAGCTCTTAGCTAAAACAAAAAACAAAAGCAGAAACAGCAGCACATGCGTATGTGTTATATTTATTAACTGTGCAGTTTTAAAAGGTAGAGTTTTCTAATTAGTTGAAAAATTTCTTACTATATCAACAATACAAATGTGTTTAGAATTCATATTATGTCATTGTTATCATAATTGGACCTCAGGAATGTAAACAGAAATGTATTTGGGAGAGGTGCATATCGCTGCTGACCCTGTTGGGCTATTACATTCTTTTAGACTAGAAAATGTACAGGTGACACTAAGCCAGTGGCAGAGAAATTGGAAGATTTGTCGAGTGCTGTGACCCTACTCAATTCTTCATAATTTTTCTAGCAGCTCTCACGTTATTTTTAAAATTTAAAGTCCAGTTTTCACTACCAGATAATTTTGATTGACACTGGAGTGACAATGTCTGTTTTCTCAATGACACCTACTAGTTCTTACTCATTACTTGTCACTGGCATGAAGGGCAAGCAACTTAGTTAAACTGTTCATAGGCCTTACAAAGCTTGTCTTTTATTTTTATATGGAGGGGAAAAACAATCCTGGAGTGAAAATATGCCTTAATTTAAAGACGAATTAAGTGTCATAAACGGCTCATAAGCACAAACCTCCTGAATTGTTCTAACGCAAGAGGAGCAAATGAAAGAACCACATGAAATCCCCACCTTAATCATTTTATTTTATGACAAATATCTTGCTTGAATTCTTGCATTTTCTTATATGCCAAATAATTTCCAGCTTGAAAAATAACTAGAAGCCATAAAATCATTTACTGTTGTATTATTTAATTAGTCATTTTACAACTCTTGTATTTCCCAAATCCAATAGCCCTAATTTTTTTGTATTTTAAGTTATTTAAACTTCACAGCCATACAAGCAGATGTATCAGGTAAGCATGTGAGATGGTATGTTGAATATATTACCATACAGTATTTCTTTATGCAGAATTACACACGGCAAATTCTCAGGTGCAGTGACCAAACAATCAAATAAGATGCAAGTACTCTGGGAACCACCAAGTTTGGACAGAGGATTATAAGCTACAAAGTTAGGAAATGTAGGAGAATATTTACTTTACATAGAGGGAACAGAATGAGTATAAGCGCCAAAGCAAGTATAGCTTCTGGGAACGAGCTTATAGCTGGAGCTCAAACGAAAGGGAAGGGAGAAAGCCAGGCTGCAGAGGTGACTCCATGACTGATGCCATAGTTTCTCTTTCCCCAGGAGCATAAACAAGCAGCTGTGAGGAGCTGGGGATAATAATCTCACCATAAAATTCAGAGGAGATTCGGGATTGGATATGTATTTAGGGAAGAGTAACTAAAATAGACAAAAAATGAGGACTAGAATTTAGGATGGGGGAAAGACTTAAAAGAATAAGACTAAGGGAAGAATAAGAGGTTTTAGAAAGAGATAAAGAATGGAGGCGACCCATTGAACAACTGGGTCACCTAAAACACATCCATCTAAGGCATCCATAATGTTGATCTGAAATAAAAGTCTAAGGCAAAATTAGCATAAGTAAAGAATTTGTTTTGGCCAAATTTGAGGAGTGTAACCCGGGAAACACATATGCAAACTACGTCAGAGAAGTGCTTTCAGCTGGGGAGTTTACAAGCAGATTTTTAAGGACAAAACGAAGAGGTATACCAAGGTGGTCTCAGCCTGTTCATCCAGAAATACCATTGGTCAACAGAAAGGAGCTAACAGATGATTGGCTAAAGGCTACAGCACTTCTTGGAATAGTCATTATCAGTTTGTGATGAAACCAGCTCCTGGAATTCTTATAAGTAAAAAGGTACAGGAATTTCAGGCGAGTAACTGTGGCATCATGACAACCCTGTTTGGTCATTGTAATTTAGTTATCCTCATTTGTTGGGTTTTGTTTTCAATAAGCATGACCAGTGAGAATCTCCCCTTTTGTTTGATCCAACATTACAGAATAGCTTACTTTTCCACACAGCCTTGACTCTGTAAAGTTTAGATGATCTTGGAGGCAATTAGTAGACTGCTCTTTAAACCTTCCTCTAGTTGTCTGTATATCCCAACTTATGCAGAAATGGTGGTCAAAATGGTAGCTAATATGGGTGAGAAAATAAAACTTTCTCCATGCCCAACACCCTCCACACACATTGGAGTTCAACAGTAAAGGTAGAAGGAGCAAAAGGGATTCAACAATGAAAAATAAATAACCTCTCTGAGAAAAGTAGAGCCCTTTACTTTCCTCCCACAGAGAAGCGGCCATGGACATATCTTTTCAGATGTGTCAAAAGAGTCTATTCCTGTGGCTACCTGAATAACAAAGACCTAGGCAGAAATCATTGAGTTGTAGATACAAACACTCTCAGACTAGCCAGACAATTGCAGGAGGACTGGGGAAGGAAGAATAAGATAGTATCTCCGGAACTTAAGGAGAAGATCTCTTGAGAAGCAGATGCCAATAACTAGAGGGAAACCACCTCAGGCTGAAAGGGTAGATAACAGTCTCCATCGTCTCTGGTGCCACGTGGTCAATCATTGTTGTTTCTCTCTAGGAGTCTGCTTTATTACTTTTTCTTAGAAGCATGGCCTTCTCAGCCTACCTTTCACTTATTTCAGATATGGCTACCCAGATTAAATTTTACATGAGCATTTCACTCGGGGACCCCAAAGAGAATAAGGAGGGGCTCTGGGACTCAAGTTTACCTCATAGAAGAAGGGATCTGAGTGGCCCAACCTGGATGAAGTGACTTTTCTAATCAGTTGTCTTTAGGATTTTTAAAATTATTATAAACAGGGGTCTAAGTGTTCATGGATAGTGTGGTGACTATACAAGCAAATTCCAAGAGCAAGACTGTCTCATATGAAAGGTTGCATTTCTTAGCAAGAACCAGGTCTCTAGCAAAGAGCAAACATTCAGTAAATTGTTTCTGAATCTATTAATAAATGATAAGAAAAGGCAAGGGAAATCAACATCCTCACTGCATGCCTTCAGACGTGTGTTTCCTATCAGATACGGGTATTCCAACAGAAACTGGAGAAAAGAAAATACAATGCATTCACTGGACAGAAATATTGTGGATGGGGGGCAAGCATTGGGACAGTGGTGAGCAAAATTATTCTTGAGGTCCCCATTAATCAAAATATTTGTGGCATCCAGAAGCTTGAATCTTTAAGGACAAATATGAATCTTTACCTATCTTCTTTTACTCTTCTCTCCTTTCTCCTAAACTAATTCTAATATATACATTTACTTTTAAAATTTCATAAAGCCTATCTAATTGGGAATTTAGGTCTCCTTGTGGACACCAGAAGGATATAAATGATTAGGGGAAATCCCACCAAACAGAAAGGGCAAGAAGATGTATGAATGAGTAGTAAGCTCAAGAACAACCCATCAGTCCTCTTCTTTATTTTACCCCCAACCCAAAACTTAGGGATGAAGCTTCACGAAGCTCTCTTTTGTGAAGGAGAGAGGCCTGTTCCGTTGCCGAGGAGTGCGAAGCTGCATATTGGCTTTGGGATGACACTGGGTATAAAATTTATCACTTGTGATATCCCTGTGTGATCTTCTACACACATTGTTTAGCTTCTCCAAGACTTTTCTTTGGAAAGCCCACATAGAACAGAAAAAAGAAATGCCATCTTTTAAACTATCTATTTAACTATCTTGTGCTCCCATGTTTCCAAGGTTGGGGTATTGGGAGAGTTGGTGAAAAAGCAATATGTCAACATTAACTTGTCTCCAAGCAGGCATGACTTTCAATATCAAATGGTCAAAACCTCCAACTTTTAATGGATCCTAAATGAGTGCTTCAAAAATACTGTCATTTGGTAATAAAGTCATACTCGAAGTAACACTTATTTGGCTGAATTTCCAGAGACTGGAGAGAAGGTTAAGATCCAGGTGGTTGCTATGACAAGAGCATGATGACTTATTCATCTAACACTTTGTTGATGTCAGTATGATATAGCCCTTCAGTTCATGGTTTAAAAAAGCAAAGGGAGGGCGGTTGCGGGAGGGAGCGGGGCAGGCGCTGTGGGCCAGGCCCCTCCTCTGGCTCCTGCACCACCTCCTCCTTCCGGGCTCCGCTGGCTCCGGCCATCCCCGCAAGGCCGCTCTGTGCCCGCCGTCCTGAGAGCCCGCGCGGCGCTGGCGCGAGCCTCGGCGGGCGCGCGCGGGGCCGTGGTCGTTGCTCCCTGACCGGCTGCGGCCGCCTCCAGGAAGCGGAAAAGCAAGCGGCGGTCGAGCTGGGCCGCCGCGCCCCTCTGCTGGCAGCGCTGCTCTTTGACCTTGCAGGGTGTGAAGAAGATGCGCAGCTCCACGCTGCAGGACCCGCGCCGCTGGGACCCCCAGGACGACGTGTACCTGGACATCACCGATCGCCTTCGTTTTGCCATTCTCTACAGCAGACCAAAGAGTGCATCAAATGTACATTATTTCAGCATAGATAATGAACTCGAATATGAGAACTTCTCCGAAGACTTTGGACCACTCAATCTGGCAAATGGTTTACAGATATTGTTGCAAGATAAATAAGAAATTAAAGTCCATTACAATGTTAAGGAAGAAAATTGTTCATTTTACTGGCTCTGATCAGAGAAAACAAGCAAATGCTGCCTTCCTTGTTGGATGCTACATGGTTATATACTTGGGGAGAACCCCAGAAGCAGCATATAGAATATTAATCTTTGGAGATACATCCTATATTCCTTTCAGAGATGCTGCCTATGGAAGCTGCAATTTGTACATTACACTTCTTTTTATTTTCTTTTTCTTTTTTTAAATATTTTTTTCTTTTATTATTATACTTTAAGTTTTAGGGTACATGTGCACATTGTGCAGGTTAGTTACATATGTATACATGTGCCATGCTGGTGCGCTGCACCCACTAACTTGTCATCTAGCATTAGGTATATCTCCCAGTGCTCTCTCTCCCCCCTCCCTCCACCCCACAACAGTCCCCAGAGTGTGACGTTCCCCTTCCTGTGTCCTGTTTTCATGCAGTAAAGAAGGCAATGCAGTATGGCTTCCTTAATTTCAACTCATTTAACCTTGATGAATATGAACACTATGAAAAAGCAGAAAACGGAGATTTAAATTGGCTAATACCAGACCGATTTATTGCCTTCTGTGGACCTCATTCAAGAGCCAGACTTGAAAGTGGTTACCACCAACATTCTCCCGAGACTTATATTCAATATTTTAAGAATCACAATGTTACTACCATTATTCGTCTGAATAAAAGGATACATGATGCCAAACGCTTTACGGATGCTGGCTTCGATCACCATGATCTTTTCTTTGCAGATGGCAGCACCCCTACTGATGCCATTGTCAAAAGATTTCTGGATATCTGTGAAAATGCTGAGGGTGCCATTGCAGTACATTGTAAAGCTGGCCTTGGTCGCACAGGCACTCTGATAGCCTGCTACATCATGAAGCATTACAGGATGACAGCAGCCGAGACCATTGCGTGGGTAAGGATCTGCAGACCTGGCTTGGTGATCGGGCCTCCGCAGCAGTTTTTGGTGATGAAGCAAACAAGCCTCTGGCTGGAAGGGGACTATTTTCGTCAGAAGTTAAAGGGGCAGGAGAATGGACAACACAGAGCAGCCTTCTCCAAACTTCTCTCTGGTGTTGATGACATTTCCATAAATGGGGTCGAGAATCAAGACCAGCAAGAACCCAAACCTTACGGTGATGACGACGAAATCAATGGAGTGACACAAGGTGATAGAAGTCGGGCCCTGAAAAGGCAAAGACAATCAAAAACAAACGATATTCTTCTCCCATCTCCCCTGGCTGTGCTGACCTTTACACTGTGTAGTGTTGTCATCTGGTGGATTGTTTGTGACTACATTCTTCCCATCCTGCTATCCTGACTCGAAGATTTCAGAACATAGTAGCCATCAGGACCCCCTGACAGATAGCTGCTTCTCTCCATTTCAAGGACTAAAACTGTTTTGCATTAAGTAAAAACCTGTGACCAGAACTGAAGGAAGACTCTAGGAACTGAAAACTGCAACAGAAATTAGCACAATTTGAAAACAAAACAAAATTGCAAAAGACTTAGTTGCTTTCCACCTAAGAAGCTAATCAATGGAGAAAATGTCCACTGGGGTTTCAGTAATGAACTTTTGAGTTTGGGTGCAAGCAAATGTACCAAGACCAGCTCAGTCAGGGAGACCCTAACCCAGTGGTGCTAGAGGAATTAAAGACACACACACAGAAATACAGAGGTGTAAAGTGGGAAATCAGGGGTCTCACAGCCTTCAGAGCTGAGAGACCCGAACAGAGATTTACCCACATATTGATTAACAGCAAACCAGTCATTAGCATTGTTTCTATAGATATTAAATAAACTAAAAGTATCCCTTATGGGAAACGAAGGGATGGGCCTAATTAAAGGCATAGGTTGGGCTAGTTAACTGCGGCAGGAGCACGTCCTTAAGGCACAGATCGCTCATGCTATTGTTTGTGGCTTAAGAATGCCTTTAAGCAGTTTTCCACTCTGGGCTGGGTGGGCCAGGTGTTCCTTGCCCTCATTCCGGTAAACCCACACCCTTCCAGCGTGGGCATTAGGGCCATTATGAACATGTTACAGTGCTGCAGAGATTTTGTTTATGGCCAGTTTTGGGGCCAGTTTATGGCTGGATTTTGGGGGCTTGCTCCCAAAAAGAATGACTCAAAGAAAGGCCCAGCTCTCAAGCTGAATGACAAAAATGCTGTTGTAAATTTAGTCTCAGGTGTAAATACCCAAGCCCTCTGGTACCCAGGGAGCTGGCTGGTCTGTGGTGCATGTGTGTCCTTGTGATGGCAAGCATTGTAGTTGCTGGCCTTCAGAAGAATTGAGGATCTGATGGAGGTTTTTTATGTATTTATTTTCTGTTCAGCTTGCGACCCTGTGTCAAAATTTGTAAAGATACAAAAGGCATTACTGAAATGGTACTTTCTGTAATTTGATACTATTTGGCTTTATCATCTTCACTTGACTGTTTGTAATACTGTAGTAATATTAACTCTGATAAGTACCCAAGCTGCTTGTCTTCCACCAAAGAGTGCTTTATTAACAAGAATCTGTGAAAACCACATTTAAACACTGTTGCATGTTGTAATATCAGGTGATACCTTGGTAACCTAAAACTTGCAAGAGAATATTAATGGTAGCTTTAGAAGACTCAGGAGGAGAAACTGACTTCAGAGTTGGAAGATGTTGCAAGTCATTCCTTTTTCTGTCCTTTAGGGACTGAAGAACTGGGAGGTTGCCCATTGTTTGGTTGCCAGTCATACAAATTAAAATCATATTTCCTTCCATGCATGGAAAAAACACACTATTGGTTTTTCGCCTTGGAAACAGCAATCTCAAATAATGTCGGCTTTAAAAAAAAAAGTTACCGCTTTTTTAGAGTCCTTCTCTGTAACATTGGATTTTTTTTTCCTTATGAGATCAGCCTAAGGCCATTGATAAGGCCTGTGATCTCAGTAACAATGATCTGCTTCTGAATCTCACTGCTGCCTTTGGCTAGGGAACACAACTAGTAACTCTGCAGAGTGCCTTCTCCCGCAACCCTACTGGAACACAGCAGAGTCTGTGCCATGAAGAAATTAGAGAAACAGAATTGTTTTGCTGCTAAAAAAAAAAAAAAATGGGGCCCAAAATAAAAGAATATTTAGTACTCACCTCAGTTCCTTCCATAAGAGGTGGGTGGTTTAATGATTGTAAACCCATTTTTGCCTGTGCTGGGAGCATGGAGGGCTGAGATGTTGACAGGCAGTGGGAAACAAATGCCCTCCTAAGTCACAAGGCGTGCGCCAGATCAGGAGGCAACTCCATTTTAAGAAGCTGCCTTTTTCACAAAACTGTAAGAAATCAAAGCAGTTGGAATAAACAAGTTAAAGTCTTTAATGCAAAAGGTAATTGAAAGGCAGTGCCTCCATTTTGGTGTACTTTCTTGGAAGAAAGCATGAAACTGACCGGCATCACGAGAGACGGAAGATGCCGTATTCTCAGCCAAACAAGTGACTCTTTCCCTGCCAAGCACTATGTGGTGGGGTCAGGCTAGCTTTTAAACACTGGGGACTGGATCACAGAAAAACAGTGGTTTTCTGTCCCTGGAAATGAATAGGCACAAAGACCCACTTGGCTGTGGGAAGACCACTCTTCAATAAGATTTTGGTGGGAGGAGGAACATTACTTTTGCTATTTTAAGCTGAGACAATATAAATATTTAAACTGTGCCATGCATAAAGCATTGAATTCTCAGGGCACCACTTCTTCCCCTTACCCGTTTTAAGGCCATCCCCTTCATAAATAGTAATCCAGGTAGTTGTGAAAATTGTGCTTCCATCTGATTCCTTCTTAGTTTGGCTTTTCATCCCATCAGAACAAGTAAATGTGGGTGCCACAGCTTTTGTGAGTACTGTCTCCCTCACGGTGAACAAGCCTCCTGGTGTTTTGTCTGAGAAAAGGAAGGGTGTTGGCGGAACAACAGTCCTTTTTCATTTTATAAACTGCCTCTTCATGTTGCCTGCTCAAGTTTCCACCTAGAATTGCTATCACTGTGACTCTTTCTAAAAATCCTTCTGTTTAACTGGCTCACTGAAATTAGTCATAGAAAATTTGTGATTTGGTGAAGAAACATTCCTTGTAATAATCAAATGACTTGGGATGGTGTGCATAGCAACAGTGTTACACTTACGGGGACCGTCTCTAGACTTATGGGGACCATCTCTAGAATCCAAGAAGTCTCTGGGTCTGAGGGATGGAAAGTTCTTCCTGCTATGAATGAGAGTGGACTCTTCCCCTCACCCCCAACTAAAACCACAAACACCCAGAATCTTCTGGGATTAGAGTCCTTGTTATAGAAGACCTTGTTGCTATGGAACATGAAACTGTGTCTGTCAGATAGATTCCCTTAAGAGCCTTAAATAGCCCTGAAAGTACACCGGGACAGTTTGCGATGGAATTAAAATTAGAAGTGAATATTTTTAGGTGCCCTTGAAGCTTTCTGGGGACTCAAAATTATCAAGAGTCAATGACAGTCTGGAGGAAGAGTATCTGCAAAACTGGGTTCCTGGAAGTAGGGACGGACGTGGCTTTTTGTAGAACTTGGTGGAGAGCAGCTCCTCATGAGAGCAGAATGGCCTGGCGTGGCCAGTGCTTCCCGGCAGCACGCGGGTCTGCCGGCCTCCAGGATTTCCCCGTTCTGACCTTGATGCCCCTAGCCTGTCCCCTACCTACTTCCTCCCCTCCCCTCTAGCCCTCTCACAGGGGTGATTGCTACCTCTCTCTTTTCTTGGGCCTAGGCAAGTTTTAGAGGAGTTCCCAAGCATTGTCATGAGGCCAGTGTGCTCGAGGCCAGTGTGCTCGCTGGGGCTGGGCCGGATGTCCTGGGCTTGTGCATGGCCTGAGGGCTCTCCTGGAGCCCTCCCTTTTCCCAGTCACCATCTGAGCCACAGAAGCAGTGCACTCATTGGATGTCTGTTGTTAACATAGCTTCTCTTTCTACATTTAAAAAAAAATCATTATTGCATTTTGGAAAGCAGTGCTCATCACAAGCAACTTTTAAGACCTATTTTATTGTTCCTTTAAATGTTCTCTCCCGCTGACACTGCCCTGGAGAGGCTAGCTGCTGTTCTTCCATTTCCCCACATCAGGGTATTCTCCTCGTCACTGAGTAGAGATGACTCCGGATGTGTTTAAAGACTGGACAATTCACCTATACCGTGTAGGAAATTACCTCCTTAATTACCTGGTAAAATTGTCAACAGACATGTTCATCCGGTGATAGTACTGCAGTTTTCTATTAACAATTTGCAGACTTTTATCTAACCTGCACTCATGTACAGATTAAAAGTTTTAAAATGTAACTGATCAGTATTGATCAATCATTGTCTTGATTATTTTTTACAGTGTATATTTCTAATCATATTTTTTAAAGCCAAGAGAACTGGTTGAATGAATGTTTATTTTCCTGAAGGTATTTTTAAGATAAAGCTTCCTAATGGCCTGTAAACTTTGCGTATGTGTGTAGTTTGATACATATTGTCACGTTTGAAAATCTTGTGGGTTGTAACTGGTTTTATACAAAACATCGAATAGTGGAAATTGTATAATTACAATCATGTAATTAAAAGTATTAACCCCCCCAAAAAAATAATAAATAAATAAAAAATAAAAAAGCAAAGGGAAAATCTGCAAAGCAGATACCAGACAAGCCTTTGAAAATTCACTTGTCAGTAAAATCACAGCAAAGTTGGAAAATTCATCCGTCATTCCTAGTGCTTTTGAAATCCTCACAGGGGACACCTGCCTCCACAGTCAGCCTCTCTGTGACAAATGATGTCTCTCATGAGGCTTCTTGAATTCAGGCTGCTATCTATGTGACACTAACAAGAGAAATACTGTGTTTATTCAGATCCATTGATGTGACAGAGGACAAAACGTATTAGAAGAATGGAAAAGTTTATTGAGTACATGCTATTTACCAGGCTCTATGCTAAGAGCTACTTTACTTAGCCTGTTAAGAAGGGTACGCGGTGGCTCATCCCTGTAATCCCAGCACTTTGGGAGGCCGAGGTGGGTGGATCATGAGGTCAAGAGATTGAGACCATCCTGGCCAACATAGTGAAACCCCATCTTTACTAAAAATACAAAAATTAGCTGGGTGTGGGCACCTATAGTCTCAGCTACTCAGGAAGCTGAGGCAGGAGAATCGCTTGAACCCGGGAGGCAGAGGTTGCAATGAGCTGAGATTGCACCACTGCACTCCACCTGGCAACAGAGCAAGACTCCGTCTTTAAAAAAAAAAAAAAAAAAAAAAGGGAAGGCTAAGTATGCTAAGCCTGTCTACGGCAAATGATGTCTCTCATGAGACTTCTTGAATTCAGGCTACTACTTGTATGACACTAACAAGAGAAATACTATGTGCATTCAGATCCATTGATGTACAGAGGACATAAATGTATTAGAAGAATGGACAAGTTTATTGAGCACATGCTATTTACCAAGCTCTATGCTAAGAGCTACTTTACTTAGCCTGTTAGGAAGGCTAAGTAAAGCTTGTTAGGAAGGCTAAGTAAAGTAGCTCTTAGCATAGAGCTGGGTAAGAAGCATGTATTCAATAAACAAATGTCAGGTGAGTAGAAGCAAAAATGAACTGATATGTCTTATTCTGGTTCTACTAAAGTAGCAGTTGCCAAACTTTCTGGCACCAAGGACCAGTTTCATGGAAGATGATTTTTCCATGGACAGGGTAGGGGAGTAGTTTGGGATGAAACTGTTCCACTTCATATCATCAGGCATTAGATTCTCATAAGGCTCAGGCAACCTAGATCCCTCGCATGCACAGTTCACAATAGGGTTCCTGCTCCTATGGGAATCTAATGCTGCCACTGATCTGACAGGAGGTAGAGCTCAAGCGATAATGCTCACTCACCAGCCACTCACCTGTGTGGCCTGGTTCTTAAGCAGTACTGGTCTGTGTCCCAGGAACTGGGGACCCCTGTACTAAAGCATTTTGAACTGAGAGTTCACAGCATTTAAATAAAGTGTTAAAAGAAACAGAGGGGCCAGGCACAGTGGCTCATACCTGTAATCCCAGCACTTTGGGAGGCTGAGAAGGGTGGATCACAAGGTCAAGAGATCAAGACCATCCTGCTCAATATGGTGAAACCATGTCTCTACTAAAATACAAAAATGAGCTGGGCGTGGTGGTGCATGCCTGTAGTCCCAGCTACTTGGAGGCTGAGGCAGGAGAATGGCATGAATACGGGAAGCGGAGGTTTCAGTGAGCCGAGATCATGCCACTGCACTCCAGCCTGGTGACAGAGTGAGACTCCATCTTAAAAAATAAATAAATAAATAAATAAAAAATAAATTAGCCAGGCGTGGTGGTGGGCACCTGTAATCCCAGTTACTCGGGAGGCTGATGCAGGAGAATCGCTTGAACCTGGGAGGTAGAGGTTGCAGTGAGCTGAGATCGTAGCACTGCAGTCCAGCCTGGGCGACAGAGTGAGACTCCTTCTCAAAAAAAAAAAAAAAAGAAGAAGAAGAAGAAGAAACAGATGAATGGTTTTCCATTTCCCAAGCCCAGCAGAGGAGTAAATGGTATAAATATGTGGGATATGACACCAATAAGGAATGCTTTATTTACAAGTATCAGAATGCCTGATCAAAAATGGCATTACTGCTCTCCTATAGCAAGACATC
This sequence comes from Homo sapiens, assembly GCF_000001405.40. Lineage (NCBI taxonomy): Eukaryota > Metazoa > Chordata > Mammalia > Primates > Hominidae > Homo > Homo sapiens. The sequence continues at coordinate 48,840,090 of NC_000007.14, read as the reverse complement.
TATGAGAAGGTAGCTGCTGCTGTTTGATGGCCTGTGCTCTGGGTTGGCATTTAGGTGATATGAGCATTTATGATTACCAAGTCTTTCCATAAATTTGGGCTTCATGTCCACAATCACATTCAAAGACAGGAGACTAGGAAGAGTGCAGGACAGAAGTGTTCTTCCCTGGGCTGCTGCTGCTTTTTTTTTTTTGCAAGAAAGAATCTTTGGAGGAACTCCAAACTCCGCTCCACCCCAGAAGACTCCCTTGCCAATCATTTGCCTCATCTCTCCTCATCAGTTGCAAGGAGATTGCTGTCTGGCTTTGCTCACCTTCACAGAGGAGGACAGCCAAGGGAGAAAGAGGGTGAGGGCAGCCTGTGGTAGACATTGTGGCAACAACATGTGTCCCAGACTGGTTAACACTAATTACAGAAATTTACATTTCACCTCCATGTAGGCAGATTTTGGGCCTCATGAAGAATCACACTGCTTGTGAAGATAATAAACTTCTCCATTGGTATTCACAGACATCCCTACTATGTGGCAGACTCTGAATTATGCACAGGGAATGCCAAATTTATAAGATCAATGTATGTCCTGGAGTAGAATTTACAGTCTAGTGAAATATGGTTAGAGACCAATGGCTCTAGGAGTTAGCCAACAAGGGACTCAATCATGGTGCCCCTCCCACTACACAACCAGGACACTCCATGAGGGAGGGACTTCGGAAGATTTTATTCACAGGACCTCTGTGACCTCGTCTCATACACATACAAGAGGAGCTTTACTCTTCTCTCTCTTACACAATGCGTGTGACTCAGACAAAGGTTACTACTCTAATTTAACCCTTACCCTCTCCCATCTGAGCTACTAATGACTATTTTGCGGCTGGGCATGGAGGCTCATGCCTGTAATCCTAGCAGCTTGGGAGGCCAAGGTGGGTGAATTGCTTGAGGTCAGGAATTCAAAACCAGCCTGGCCAACATGCAAAACCCCGTCTCCACTAAAAATACAAAAATTAGCCAGGCATGATGGCACATGCCTGTAATCTCAGCGACTTGGGAGGCTGAGGTGGAGAATTGCTTGAACCCATAAGGCAGAGGTTGCAGTGAGCTGAGATCGTGTCACTACACTCCAGGCTGGGTGACAGATTAAGCAAGACTCTGTCTCAAAAAAAAAAAAAGAAAGAAAGAAAGAAAGGAAAAAAAAAAAAGAAAATGCCATTTTGATAAACATGTATGCTGTGGTTATAGTTTTAATTATTTGAATATTAGCAGGTTTAAATTTTAATACATTTATTAATCACTTTTCCTTTTTATCCTATATGTTTCCTTTTGTCATATAGAACTTTGCTGGAGCTCTATAGTTTCCTTACTGATATCAATTTTGATCTATTTATTAATCTAATGTCTGAGGGAGTTTAAATGGTGAGTAACCAAAGACAGGAGAGGTCTAGTAACCACACTATATACCGAAGATGCAGAGTTACTGACCTTGTTTTGTGTAAGACTTGCTGTAAATTTCAGTCTTGGAGTTACTATAGCTGAAAGACATTTCTTCACGTCTATATATCTGCCCATTGCCGAGGTATTTCTGCATGGGTCCCTCACTGAACCCTGATGAGTCTAACCAGTACAAGGTCCAGTGCATGGAAAAGCTACAGGAGGGCATCTATAAGTAGGATTTTATAGAAGTTTTAAAATGCAGTTGGAGAGCCCCAAGCAAGAGCCAGAGGGCATGGGATAGTGTCAACCTCACTGTTTTACCAGGATTCATTATGGTACTTTGCTCACAGACAGAGTGACCTTGTTCAACTAACAATCATATTAACATATAAAATGATAAATGAAATTTGAGGAAATGCATTCACTTATACCTTATTTTCCCTTAAAGTGAATGCCAGGGCACATAGATGGTTCCTTTTGCTCTTCCTTTGTGCTTTTCTTTCCATCCTTACTCCCCAACAAGGAGATGTCTGCATCATAGTACAGAGTGGTTCTGGCATTCTGGTGAGTTTTTGTTCAGAAGGTACCCCAGTCTAAGGATGTGAAGACTCCCCATCCCAGGCTTCAACGGTGAGAGGCAAGGACAGCACATCTTCTCCGCTTTGGCTTAACGGTCCATTGTGACTCCTGGGGAGCATAAAGAGCATTCTAGGAGGGACTAGAAATGGATGCAAAGGCAGTGGGGTCTAAACAAAGGGAGGTGAGTAGGACAGGCACTTTCATACCAGCAGCAAATGCTTTATGTGTTAAGGAGAAACCAGGTCTGGATATCCTGTTTGGCCATAAATCTGATTGCATTTGTTTTGGTAATGAACTCTGCTTGAACCTTCATACAGAGATTTCAGAGGAAGGGGGGAGGATCCAGATGCATGTGGTGGGCATTTCTTTCACTGACCAAATTCAGTCCGTCACTAATTCTTGGACCTTCTGCTCATTTACTTGATGTTGAGTAGACATGAGACCTGCTTTGGCCAATGAAACAGGAGCAGAAGTGATGTGTCTCCCTTCTATATAGAAGCATTTAATCCTGGTACTCACCTTATTAACTTGATTTATCCCTGCTAGAGAAATATGTTGACACAGAGGCATGTGAAGTGGAAGGAGGCTGGACAGCGTGGCTGGCAACTACAAAGAGCTGCCCAGTACACTTGGCAGTGTTCACTGGACTTTGACAGAGCAAAATGAGCAGGTGCCCATGTGCTGCTGCACTGAGATTTAGGGTGACTTGGGGTTATCACACATCTTCTTAAGATACCAATTTTTTCCCCAAAGTAGGGAAATAGCTGTACTAACTATATTGTACACAGGCTAGAAAGCAAATTCTGCAGTAATGTGTGCTCTAAAGCAAGAGATTCCCAACAGACTTTAAGCTGCTTGTCAAGCTTGGTTCCCACACCTTCCTGGTCCACAGCATCCCTCATCTGTTTGTGGAGGAGGTGCTCTGGTGCCAAGTGCTGGGGGCCACTGAAAAACCCTGTGGTGTGACATGGCAGGGATTACTATGTCTACTTCACAGATGCGGAAACTAAGGCTCAAACGTTTAGGTCAAAAGACTGGCCCCAAATCATTAGCTCAATGTGTGATGGAGATGAGTTTTGAATAGGGCTTGAGACACCATGGCATCATGATGAAAAAGTTATGTATCCTGGATTTTTGCTAGCTGTTCACCAGTCTCATTACAGTAAAAAAAAAAAAAAGATCAAAAATACACTTTTTTCAAAAGTTTATGTCCCTGTGGTATATTTTAAGAAAAAATAGGTTACCTTTGAACATAAGAATACTTGTCATGCTGCATTTTTCTTCTGAATCATGTTGTGAGTCTTCACATTATTCTCATTAATCCTTTCAGAGTTCTCAATGGATACCAAGCAAACCTGACACTTTGTAGCTGAAAATCCTGCTTGGCCATGTGGCTTCACAGCATCTCAGGACCAGGAATAGACCCTTTGTCTCTGAAGTCTTGACCCTGGATTTCAAAACCTAAAACCCAATCCCACATTGGGAAGTTAGATACATCACACAGAGAGCACCCATGTTTGAGAGATAAAGTGGGAAGGGACCCAGTTTGCATTTTGGGAAGTGGAATCAAGCCAGATTGGGTGAGGTCAAGTCAGGAAGAAGTTTCCCAAAAAGTCCTTGTAGGTCGTCTTTCCCATTACAACATAAGGCCTCTGAGGGAGGGACCGTCTTATCTCACTTTCACATAGCGTATGGTACACGCTACACAATTTGCCTTGTTCAGTGAATAAATTGATGAATTTTCCAAGTCCTTGAATTTATTAGATAAATTAGAGCATGAAGGATAATGTACTGTATTAATGTTCTCTTGCTGCATAACAAATTACCCAAAAACTTTGTTCCTTATAACAAAAAGCATTTAATCCACAGTTTCTGTAGGTCAGTCAGGAACCCGGGAGTTCTATGAGCTGGGTGCCTCTGCTCAAGGTCTCTTGCAAACCTACAGTCAAGGTTTCAACAGGGGCTGCAGGATCATCTGAAAACTGGAATGGGGGAACATCTGCTTCTGACCTCACTCAAGTAATTTTCAGCAGGATTCGGTTCCTAGATGGCTGTCCCAGTTCCCCCAACATGGGCCTCCCAAGGCATGCCACATGGGCCTCCCCACATGGCAACCGCCACCATCCACTCATGCATGCAAGACAGAGGCCTCCTGAGGCAGAAGCCTGGGTATTTTGTAACCTCATCATGAAAGCAACATCTCATCACTTCCAGCGTGTTCTATTCATAAGTGAGTCACTGAATTCAGTTCACACTCTCTTTTAATATCTTTCTTTTTTAGCTTCCATAATGTTACTATGATATGGAATAATTGGCCATTTGCCAGGAAGTGGGGTCATTAAGGAGGTGGAGTCATTAAGGACCTTCTTCAAGGCTGCTCGCCACGGGTATTCTTCTGTTTTCCTTTTTCTCATATGGTATTTTCACATGGAGATTTTAGGTAGGAATAATCTTTTATTTTTGAGCTATCTTTTCTAGTTTTTGCTACTAAGAATTTTTGTTCTTGTTATAAAATTGAGGTCTCTCACTCTTTTCCTTTCCCCCCATTCTCTCTCATTCCTTTTTTTTTTTTTTTTTTTTTTTGAGACGGAGTCTCGCTCTGTCACCAGGCCAGAGTGCACTGGCATGATCTTGGCTCACTGCAAGCTCCACCTCCCAGGTTCACGCCATTCTCCTGCCTCAGCCTCCCGAGTAGCTGGGACTACAGGCGCCCGCTACCACACCTGGATATATTTTTTTTTTTTTTGTAATTTTAGTAGAGGTGGGGTTTCACCGTGTTAGTCAGGATGGTCTGATCTCCTGACCTTGTGATCCACCCTCCTCGGCCTTCCAAAGTGCTGGGATTACAGGTGTGAGCCACTGCGCCCAGCCTCTCTCACTCTTTTAATACCATTTTCTTTTCCAGCTTCCATAATGTTATTATTATATAAAGTAATTGGCCATTTAAAAATTTAAAATGAGTAAATATAGCACTTTTTGGCTTTGCTATATGAGCTTTTTAGGACTTCAAAGTTTTTAGATGTGGTGGATAAGGGTTTCCTACATAACACAGTCCAAAGTATATTTAATGCCATCACTTGTGTGTCAGGCAGGGTCACTTAAGCCAAAACCCTCACTACAGTTTTCAAATGACAAAGAAGCAGGAGAAGCATATTGTAGTGCATGTAAGACTGAGGGCAGGATGATTAGGTTGGACCAGTCCCAGCCTCCCTGAGGCCAGATAGCTGTGTAATGGGATTGTACAAAGCAGGTGCCTCAGCACTGGGGCTCCAGGCCTCTGGGAATCCCTTTTTTGCTCATATTCCAATTCGAAATAAAATATCTTTCCTATCAGCACACAGACACAGAAACACGCACATAAAACTAGAGCTCCAAATTATTTCATTAGAAAATTTACAGGTGCAAATAAACAGAAGTGAGAATTAATATAAATTGGAAGCATTTTGCTGAGGTAATTTACTGTAAACAAAAATCTCCGGGTATGAACTTAGAAAGATGATAACTAAAATGAGCATTGGACAAGTCCTTATGTAATAAGTGGATTAAAATTTTCAGCAGAGACAAACGCACATCCACATCCACCTTCCCACACCCCCGACACCCAGACACACATGCACACACACATAAACACAGAGAAACACACCCTTACACACAAACACACATATATACATACACACAAATACCCAGACATACATATATACATGCACCCACACAGACACACACCTAGACACGTCCAGGCATACATATACATACAGACACACCCATTCACAAAGAGACACATGCAGGCATGCACACACAAACACAGGCACACACCTACTCCCCAACACATACACAGGAACCTTGAGCAGACTTGTGTACATGACAACAATATGGGACATTGAGATAAGAAGCTGCAGAAAGTAAAACATGCTCAAGTAAAGAGAATCCGCAGTGTGGATGAGCCTCTGCCCACAGCCATCCTGGAGAGAGATTCTGTCCAGCTGAGAAGCAGTGATGAGGAACTGTACCTGATTTTTTCTAAAAAAAAATTCTGACTCCGTGTTCTTTGTAGTTTGATGTAAATATTTTGCTCAAGGTAATGGTTTAATAAAATGAATATTGTTAACATCCCAGTGTAAGATTATTCACTCCTGAGAACCCCAGCTGTTAGTTTCTTACATGTTAAAGGAACCCTTCAGATTTTTTTTCCATATAGGTAAATGAGGCAAATGGACCCACTCTGGCCCATTCAGTCAGAGTGTGCTGTTTTGAGAGAGCAAAATGAACTAAGCATCCTTTATTTCAGAATTCTCCCTCTCCTGGGTGCAGTGTGTCTATGTGTGCTACTCGTTACACATGCATACTCACAAATCCCATTACTTGCCAACTGGATTTTCAGCCCATCTTAAAATTTAATTTTATGCATAGTCCTTAGTTAAAATTACCATACTGTATTCTTAGAATTAATAAAGTGCCAGAGAAGAACACTTGCATTTTAAATAAATACTATTAAGGTGACATGGTTACAGATAATTTCATTTTCAATTGCATCTCTGATATGCGACATGACACAGCAAGAAATGAAAATGCAACAAAATTGCTTTGAAACTGGTGTGATCCCCTGGTTAGATAAATAAACTCACTACAGTCTAATGGTTTCATTTCAGTTCCCTGGTGTAATTTTGATTAAAATATCCCACAATGGAAAAATTGTATTTTAATGGAAAAAACCAGTGATATGAAAGTATTTTTTTTTTGCATTTCTAATTTCTACTTCTTATTTTGTCAAAGGTTTTCACATCTCTTATTTTTACACCTTAATTTCTGGCTGTATTAGTCCTCCAAAATTCACAAAATAGTTTTAAAACAGTAGAGTGTTGCGTTTTTCTTACTTGTCTTTGCATACCTTTCTAAATTCAAGAAATTGTAGCGCTCATGATACGTTACCCATTCATTTTTTCTTAAATGGACAGATTGAGCCCAAGGGGGCAAGGAGGAAACTAAGCATATTTAATGTCCACATCATCTGTGTAGAGCCTAGGAAGACAGTATGCCAAGGTCTTACCAGCACAAAAGGAGAGACCTACAAGAGTATCCTTCAACACTTACTTATTCACATACAGCAGTACAAGAAACCACCCTCCAAATTATTTCTCTTATTGTGCATGTCCTTATGATAAATCTTCATGAAAAAATGCAACCCTTCCATTTGCAAACAGAAAAAAAGAACATTGGTCAAATTGAGCAGAGGCTGTGTTATGGAGTGAATGTTTGTTTTATATGTTGAAATCCTAATCCCCAATGTGAAGAAATGTGGGTCCTTCAAGAGATGATTAGGACAACAGGGCAGAGCCCTCATGCCTGGGACAAGTGCCCTTATAAGAAGAGACACAACAGCTCACTTTCTCTCTGCGTCTGTCTCTGCCATGTGAGGAAACAGCAAGAAGCATTGTCTGAAAATCATGAAGTGGGCCGTTATCCAACACTAGATCAGCTGGTGCCTTGATGAATTTCCAGCCTCCAGAACTGTGAGAAATAAATGTCTGTTGTTCAAGCTGCCCAAAGTGACTAAGATAAGCTACACCTACGTGGTGCCCATTGGATGGAGGAATCATTGTGGGGAGAGCTGGGAGCAATCATGGCCTGGGTAGTGCTGTGCATTGTGTGATTCTTATAAAAATAGAGAGAGGAGAACACTTTAGAAGCTGCTGGGATGACACAGCTGGTCAGTTGGTGCTGTCCTTGGAGTGTAAGAAAAGGAGGAAGACAGGGATGCTGCTTTCAGCTCAGCCTTCGCTGCTATGTCTCTCTTTTCTTTTTTCTTCCCTCCTTGGCAGGCTTCAACCCTCTGGGGCCAAATCTTCTTTATGTTCTGTTCAGCAAACTGTTCAAATTCAGTGGAAATATCCACTTCTAGCAAGCCCTGCAGTGTAAACTGTCATAATATATTTCACATAATCTCAGGATCCTACAGCCAAATCCTGCAGCTTCATTTGAACTCCCTCCACGGCATTTTCTAAGAGGGCATTAGCGAGTTCTGGGTGTCCTCCGCTGATGGAGTCATGTGCACTCATCTGTCTTTTCAGGGCAGCCTGTCTCCTGGAGCTTCTCCCTGTTGCATTGCCGAAGCCCAGCACAACTCATGAGATTGAGATGAGTATCTTCTCTCCCACCATATTGTCCAGTGTATCCTGCTCCCAGCTTACATACTGTCAGGCTGCCGTAACAGAATACTACAGGTTGGGTGGCTAAAACAACAATTGTTTACAATTCTGGAGGCTGGAAGTCCAAGATCCAGGTGCTAGCCTGGTCCCATTCTTGGTGAAGCCTCTCTTCCTGGCTTACCTATGGCCTCTTTCTTCTTATGTCCTCACATGGTGGCCAGTGGGGAGATGGGCTGAGGGATACAGAAATCTTCTTAAAGGGCACCAACCCTATCATGGATGCCCCACACCCATGACCTCATGAAAACCGAATCGCCTCCCAAAGACCACACCTTCAAATAATATCACCTTGGGGATGAGGGCTTCAACATAAGAACATTTTTAGGCAGGGCAGGGGCACAAACATTTAACCCATAGCATGTACTAGGATTGTCTACTCAATCTGCCTCACACCCCAGACCATTTTTAGGGTTTCTGCTCATAGCAATATTGTGCATGTCCAGCTTCTCCTTTACTCTTCCTTTCCCTTGGGCAGAATTCCACACGATACCATCAAAGTTTCTGTTTTAAATAGATGTTTAATTTTAAGTTATTATCCTCCACTAACACATCTCAAAAACTTCCTCTTTTCAGTCTACCCATGTATTTCATTTCCCAGTGGCATTTCACTTTTTCTACTTGGCAAGCAGTGGTTTGTGCATTATTCATAGAGAGGAACTTGTTCAACAAGAAAAACATCAGTACTGTCTATACCCCTACATCAAAGTCTCTGATGTGTCTTAACATTGGGATTCATTTTCCTGACTCAATAATCCCACTTCAAAGAATTTGTCTTAAATAATCAGTGATGCAACCAAAGATATATACAGCTACTCAACATGGATTATTTAAACCTATTAAAATTTATCAACATATTGTGCTCAAAGGTAATGTTTAGAATCCTTCCACTTAATGTAGTCCTTGCATGGATAACAGTGAAATCTATGGGACAATAGCAAAATTTCCTGGAATACAGAAAAAAGCACAAATACAGAATGTAAAATTAAAAATGATTAAAGAGTAGAAATACTAATTATAGATGTTTAAAAACAGTAATTTTGGCAGGGCACGGTGGCTCTCACCTGTAATCCCAGTACTTTGGGGGGTAGAGGTGGGCGGATCAGAAGGTCAAGAGAACGAGACCATCCTGGCCAACATGGTGAAACCCCATCTCTACTAAAAATACAAAATGACTGGGCATGGTGCCACATGCCTGTAGTCCCAGCTACTTGGGAGGCTGAGGCAGGAGAATCGCTAGAACCCGGAAGGCGGAGTTTGCAGTGAGCCGAGATCGCCCCACTGCATTCCAGCCTGAGACTCCTTCTAAAAAAATAAATAAATACTATATTTGCAGTGATGATACTTTTTGGTTTTTGGAAAAATTATATTGAATTATTTCTTGGTGATGTGTTCAAATTACTCGGGCCAGCAGGTTTTAATCTTAGAAAGGGAGAAGATATATTTAAAAACAACTAACCATGTTTTCCTGAAAATGTGTGAATGTTAAAAATCACTTAACTAGAAAATCTATTCTGTTTTAAAGACAATGTGATACTGAATATGACTGGATTGGGCAGCTCTAAATCTATGTCTGTAATTATGCTGACCCAAAGACAAACATAATATATATGTTAGAAACATATCTTTTAAGATCTGACATTAAGTGAGGAAAACAAGTGTGCATAGTATAATAATGTTTACTAAACAGACAATAAATGTGTGTGAACATATATAAGTATATAAACAAATGCCTATTTATATAAATATGGATATGTGCTTATGAAAGAAGTAATGGAAAAATCTATTGTCAGTGTTTAGATTTGGAAAGAGGTCTTAGGTATGAGGTAGATTAAATAATTTCCCTTGCAATTTTGCATTTTTCTGTATTGTTTGCATTTTCTAACTTTATTTCTTTTACTTTAAATGTGTGTACTGTATCATTGAGGGCTACTTAGAAGAGATATTAAGAACTATATTTCTTTTAGTGTCTGTGTGTGTGCACACTCACATGTGTGTCACGTGTGTGCGAGAGTATCAAAAAAGGCCTACTGAATAATATGACGAAATTATGTTCCCTTGTGATAAACTGGAAGCTGACTTGATTTTAGTGATTTTTGTGATTAGAGCTTAATGTCACTATATTAAGAATGAATTATAGAAGGGTAGTTGTTTGCCACTACAGTGGCGTGTATTAGCTGATTTTTATTTGACAGCCAGAGTTAGGAGATACATAATAGGTGTCTTGACCTTAACATGAGAGAATAATTTAATACCATAGTGTAGTGAGAATATGGGTTTTAGATTTGATTCCTCTTTGTGGCTCTATTTCTTCACCTGTAATATGAGGTAATATCTATGATTGTTTTGAGCTCATGTATATAAAAATTTTAGAAATTACAAGTAAGCCACTAATTCCCTTTTAATGATCTTTATTAAAGGTGAAGAAATTCAACAGATATGAAGCTCATGCCACAGTGCACGGGTAATTAACTTTTGGAATGATAAGAATACTGCTAAAATGAATTTTCTAATTAGAAAAACAATCCCACAAAAGTAGAAGGAGAGTCCATAAGGGAAATGGTCATGTGGACAAAAGAGCTTTCAAACAGGAACTAGATGGAATTGTGCAGTCCTCATTCTTCTGTTGAACTCGACACAGTCGCATACCCTCTTTGGATGTCGTTTTTCTTTTTCTACAGTGATAATTAAAACAAATTCACATGATTAAAAGCTAGTAAAATTACTTGCCAGCACTGGAAAATAACAAGTTTTGTAGATGTCAGTATAGTTATCAACTATAAAACATTTTATATGAACCATATTTTTATTATTAAATCGAATTTTTAAAAACCAGGTAATTTCCAGAATACATTTAAAAAAGTGATTGATGGATTTCCCTCAGCAGAGCTTTAGAATTCTTAAATATGCCAAACATCTTTTTCTTCAAGTATCACAAATTCTGGTTACCACAGATCAAATCCTGCATCTTCTTCCTTAAATCTCTTCTTCTGCCTACCTTCACGGACATGCCCTTCAACATTACCAAAAGTTACACTGGAGAGAAATCTGAGAGCAATCCAGTCATCATTTAATTCCTTCTCACTTCCTCCCTTAAGTTCATCACAAAATCCATTGAATTTCCCTGCCCAGGCTTGTCTGTATTCTATCACTCTCTCAGCTGCAATTTCACCATCCTTTCAATTCTCATCACTGTCTACTTGCATTATGCAGTGTAATGCTCAATGATTCTCTATTTTCTGTTCTCCATCCCACCACTGAATCTATCCTTCACTTTTTTTTTTTTTTTTTTTTTTTGAGACGGAGTCTCGCTCTGTCGCCCAGGCTGGAGTGCAGTGGAGGGATCTCGGCTCACTGCAAGCTCCGCCTCCCGGGTTCACGCCATTCTCCTGCCTCAGCCTCCCAAGTAGCTGGGACTACAGGCGCCCGCCACTACGCCCGGCTAATTTTTTGTATTTTCAGTAGAGACAGGGTTTCACCGTTTTAGCCGGGATGATCTCGATCTCCTGACCTCGTGATCCGCCCGCCTCGGCCTCCCAAAGTGCTGGATTACAGGCGTGAGCCACCGCGCCCGGCCGATCTATCCTTCACTTTATCCAGGGAGTTGTACATCTTAACCACACACAGAACAACATGACTATCTTGCTTAATATGGCCATTGATTAAGAGTAAAATATACCATTCCAATATCTTTCTCAAAGAAAATATTTACTTCTGTAGTTCCAATGTCTAGTAAGTGTTAGGTGCTTAATAAATGTTTTTGGAAATATGACACTCAATAATATCATCCTATTACACCTCTTTAGTCTCATCTCCCACCATGCTAAAGGGAAAGTTAATTCCCCCATACCTTCTATAATTTTAACCTCCCTCAATGTGAGATTTATCACATTACATTATATCGGAGATGAGAATATTCAAAGTTCAAAGAAATGTTTTTGTGGATAAATGAGATGGCCTTTCCTGTTTGTGGCCAGAGAAGCAATTTATGGTTCAGGGAAAGTAATTTGGTCAAATTCAGTCTCTTTAAATGTAACAAGGTGAGGGAAGGAGGGATGTTTGTGTTTCATTAATGGCAGAATATGACTCCCATCAAGCCTAGATGAGAGGTTTTCTTCGAGACATTAAGCATTTTGCATTTTAAAGATTTAAGAAAGAATACATTCATAGTGAGATGCCCCCGCTATCCTTCTTTCTTCTTTCCATACCAACAGATCCATGCACACTTGTCCCCTCTGCAGACCCAGCAGAAAAGAAAATCATGAAGGAAAGACTCATTAGTCAATGGATGCCAGAGATGATGAAATTAATAAAACTCATAAGGAGGCATCCACATGATAAAGACGGGATGGAGCATTCTTGAAAATCAACCATTGGACAGAAAAAAAAGCATTCAGAAAAATGCTTGGAGGTTTGGTTTACTGTGGAGAGGCTGTGGATGAGGAATATCCCTAAGTAAACCTGATTAGCAAGTTCCTGCTCTTTGGATAGTGCTCTTTTATGAGATTCATGACTTTAGCCCATGGCATTAATACTGAGAACATTTGAATATGTAATTTCCACAACAACAGGGTTCATGTCATTGATAGATGCTTTGGTGCTCTATGCTTCACCATCGGGGATACCCATTCTCCGCTGCTTTAACATCTGAGTGCTAACAGTAGTCCTAGCTACTGGTCCCTCTCTGGAGAATTGACCAGGGGTTAGCTGGGAGGAGAGGCTATAATCCTCAGCAGCAACCCACTGAAGAGGATGTGTGCTCAGCTACTAACTGATATACATTGGCTAAAAGTGTCTGCCCCTTTTCTGAAGGCAGGTGGGGATGTGAGTTATGGTCCAGAGCCTTACCTTGGATGAGTTAAGTCAACTCCTATTTAAGTCTCACCTTTGACTAACACTGCATCCTTCTTAGTGTCCTCTCTTTCCCTCTCCTCCTTCACTGCTTTCCTTGAAGAGCTCTGTCTCAATGAATCACACACAACCAGGCTCTGCTTCCAGGGAACACACCCCAAATAGGTCTATTTATACATGTAGCTTCACAAAGATGACCACAAGTCAAAAATAATGAAGACTGTCCACAATCCAGAAACTCCATTCATGCCTCTTCCTTGGCTCCATCACCAGTTGCCTTCCCAAAGATACCCTCTATCTTGATTCCCTACCTATTCTGACCTGTATATAAATGGAATTAAATACATGCAATTATTTGTGTACAGCTACTTCCACCCAACCTTACGTTTGTGATACATATCTTTATTGTTGCATAGAGTTACAATTTATTTCATTGCATATATTATACTCGATTTTGTGAATGCTTATATACATTCTACAGTTGATGGATGTTAGAATTTTTCTAGATTTGGGCTAATATAATTTGTGCCATTAACAACATTCTTATCCATCAGGGCGTATGCATGCATACATTCATGTCAAATGCACATTTTTAATTGCATTGTTGTGTTAGTAAGATTTATTTATATATTTTTAAATACAAATTATTTGACTGTTGTATATGTTGCAGGTATTTACTCCCACTCTCTTGGTCACATTTTCACTATCCCAGTCGTGTCTTTTAATGTAAAGAAATTTCAAATGTTGGTGTAGACCAATCATTATTCCCTTTATAATTAATAGGGCCTTTCGTGTGTATTGTTTAACAAATATTCCCCTTTCTCAACGTCACAAAGATATTCTCCTATAATATCTATGCCTTATTGGTTTGCTTTTTACTTTTATATCTAGAATTTACTGGGATTTAATATTTGTATTTGGTATGAGGTAGGGGTTTTCTTTTTTTCTCTTTTTTTGTTCGATTTTGATAGCTAGTTGACTCAGCACCATAACTATGTGTGTGTGTATGTGTGTTTGTATATATGTATGTATACATACATACACATATATATTCCATTGATATTATATAGTTCCAGTTTTATCATAAATAAAGTGTTCATACCAGTATGAATCTGACTTTGGAGTCTCTCTTCTTTGTTTCATTGGTCCAATTCCCACTTATTATATTATTACCACACTGAATTATTTATGTGGATTCATAATAGTTCTTGATATTTGGTAGAGTATGTCTTCTCACTTTGTTCTCCTTAAAAATGTTTTGTCTATTCTTGTCCTTTTGAAATTTCATGTAAATTGTAGAATCAGTTATTTTGCACATATGCTTTCTTTCTCTCTCTGTCTCACTCTCTCTTGCACACACACACACATATGCTCAAAGACATAAATGGTTGAACAATTATTATGGTTATGTTAATTTATTGATTTGAAGAAAATTTACATATTTGAAATATTTGCTCTTCCCATGTATAAATATGGTTTTCCTTCTATCTAATGTAAACCTCCAGTTTATTAATTATAATATTTTTACAATGCAGTATAATGCAAATGTTCTTTAACATCTTTTGTTACATTTATTTTTACATAAATGTGACTTTGTTGCTAATGTAAACTATATCTTTTTGAACTTCATTTCAATAGCTGCTTGTTGTTCACATAAGGGAATACATTTGACGTTGCTTGTTCATCTTGAATCCAGAGGCTTATTTTTAACTATCATTATCTGTGGACATAAATTATTTTTTCAATCCACCCTGTGTTAATGAGCTTTATTTTTCTCTTCGATTATTATGCACATTACTTGTATCACATAAATTTCATACTACAGAGATCCTCCAGTACAAATTTGAATAGAAGAGGTGGTAGCCCCCTCTCAATCCCAGACACATTAGCTTTCAATACTTTACCATTTCATGTAATGTTTGAAATAGATAAATTGGAGATAAACATAATCAGATTAAAGCTATTATTTTCTAAGTATGCAAACAGTTTTTTAATTTTATATAGATGCTATTTTATAAAATGCGTTAGCTTGATCTATTAATATGATCATTTTTTTCTCCTCAATTCTGTTGTTAATACAGTGAATTACCGTGATTAATTTTTTACAGTTAAGCTGAAATTAAATTTCTAGGTTGAGGAGCAACTTGGTTGTGATTTATTTATCCTATAACTTATATTTTTAATTTATATTTACACCTAAATTTAAAACTAAATTTATATTCATAGATAGCTAGATACAGTTTAGTAATTTCTGTAGGAATTTTCGTCTATATTCATGGGTGAGATGTCTTATGATTTCCAAGGTTATGCTAACCTCATAAGTGATTTTGATAAACTGTAGTTTAGCTTTTGGAATTAATTTTTATCTTTGGTAGATCATTGCTTATGAGTTCAGTGTCATTAATATATAATAAACACTTCAAATTTTTCCATTTTTCTGTGTTGATTTTAATAAGCTATATTTTTCTACGAACCTGTCCATGCCATTCAAACGTTTAAATTTGCTTGCATAAATTTGTTCAAAATCTTTTTATATTTTTAATATCTACTAGATCCTCATGTTGCCCTTTTACCATTCACGGTATTGATTATTGCTTTTCTTTTTCTTATTTTCCTCAACATCTCTGTGTAGGTTACTTTTCTCTGATTTCCTTTCTATGGTATTATTTCCTTCTTTCTGCCTCCTTTGCATGTATTAACTATTCTTTTACTTGTTTCTTAGGATGAATACTTAAAAATAGATCTTCAGCCTCTGTCTTTTCTAAAATATATGTTTCTGACCATTATTGCCTCTGTAACTGTGGCTTAATTATGCGTCACTTATTTCATTTTTAGCATTTGTAATACAATTAAAATATTCTCTAATTTTACTGATTTCTTTTTAATGAATTATTTCAAGTGAATTTCTTAATGTCTTATTTGTAGGAAATTTCCAATGTTAATTTAGACATTAATTTCTAGCTTAATAGCACTGTGCCCATATAATAATTTTGTGTTTTGAAAAGAGTAAGTATCCTGGTGTAGTTTATTGGATGATTTCACTGTACTAAATGCAGTTAAATGGTATCAAATGTGTTGAAAATGTTTAAAGAATCTCTGATGTCCTTGATCCAATAGTAACTGGAAAATGTATATTTAAAATTTTCACTATAATTAGGAATTTTTCTGCACTTTTATTTTAATCATTTTTTCTTCATGCATTTTAGAGTTACTTTAACAAGTCAACACAAATCTAAAAATGTCACATCATCTTGATGATTTTAAACTTTTGATTATAAAATAAAATTATATAAATATATACTAAATATGCAATATATAAAATATATAACATTGCTATGCCTTGAACATTTATATTTCCCAAATTCATATGCTGGAATTCTAACCCTTAAGGTGATGGTATTAGGATGTGGGGCCTTCGGGAGGTAACTAGATCATCAGAACTCTAACAGACCCCAGAGAGAGGCATTCTAGGAAGCAGGCCCTCACCAGCGCCTGAATCTGCTGGCACCCCACAGTGATCTTCAATGTCTCATTCTCCAGAGCTTAAAATTTTAATTTCTGTAGTTCATAAGCCACCAAGCCTATGGTATTTTGTTATAACAGCCAAGACTAAGACAAATATGTAATAAAATCTATATAATATATAGTAAAATATGAAACACTGTCAAATACTCTTCATCTCTGGTATCCACGTTTATTTGAAGTTTATTTTGTGAGTTATTAAAATAACTACATTAGCTTCCTTTTGGTTAGAATTAACATGCTATATTTTTTACACCCTTTCTCTTTTCATTTATTTGATATTCCTATATTTACATGTGTGTTTTTTTCACAAACATATTGTATTTTTTGGTAATTTTATCTGATCTGGAAAGATGTGTCATTGAGTATGAAATCCATTCATATTTAATGTAATTTCTGAAATATTTGGATTTTAGTCTATTACCTTAATATTTGTTTAAATTTGTCCTGCCTTTTTAATGTTCTTCTTGTTGTTTTATTGTGTTCGATTTTTTTATTAATTTAATACATATTTTTAAATTATTTTCTTTCCCCTCTGTTTGATAGGTATATGGATTAGTTCACTCTCACACTGCTAATAAAGACATACCCAAGACTGGGTAATTTATAAAGGAAAGAGGTTTAATTGACTCACAGTTCCTCATGGCTGGGAAGGCCTCAGGAAACTTACAATCGTGGCAAAACAGAAAACAAATACATCCTTCCTTCAGCAGCAAAGAGAAGTGCAGATCTCATGAGAACTCACTCACTATTATGGGGAACAGCATGGCGGTAACAGCCCCCATGATTCAATTACTTCCCACCAGGCCCTCCCAGGACATATGGGGATTATGGGAACTACAGTTCAAGATGAGATTTGGGTGGAGATACAGCTAAACCATATCAGTATATATTCCTTTACAATTCTTTTGTGATTTTTCAAAGAATACAGCATGTATCCTTAACTTTTACTGTGTTTACTCTTAAACACACCTACAGACAGACACACACACACAAACACATACACATACCACAGGGATGAGACAAAGACATTAACTATGTTAACTACTTTAGCTTTTCCTAACTCTATATTCTTGTTGTTTTATATATTAATTACCTTTATTACAATTGCACTGTATATTATAAAAATAGATATTATATATATTTAAGTCCTGAAATAATACATATATAAATACATTAAATTAATATTAATTTACTCACATATATATATTAATTGTTTAATAAACCTTCCATTTTAATCTGAGATTATTTCCTTCTGAAGGAAGAATGTTTTTATTTCTTCAACTGAAGGTTTGTTGATGACAAACTTTCAGGTTTCGTTTGGCTGAAAATGTATTTATTTCAATGTATTATTAACATATATCTTTTTCTTGGATATTGATATTTTTAGTTTGATGGTTTCTTATTCCCCAGCTTTCCAGAATTTTTAGATATTTCATCATCTGGCTGGGCACGGTGGCTCATGCCTGTAATCCCAGCACTTTGGGAGGCCAAGGCGGGAGGATCACGAGGTCAGGAGTTTGAGACCAGTCTGGCCAACATAGTGAAACCCTGTCTATACTAAAAATACAAAAAAAAAATTAGCCGGGCGTGGTGGTGTGCACCTGTAATCTCATCAACTATTCAGGAGGCTGAGACAGGAGAATCGCATGAACCCGGGAGGCAGAGGTTGCAGTGAGCTGAGATTGTGCCAGCCTGGGAAACAGAATGAGACTGTCTCAGAAAAAAAAAAAAGATATTTCATTATCTTCTGTCTTCATTAATCTTGCAGAGAAGTTAGCTTCATTTCTTATTGTTGCTTTTTGGAAGGTCTCGGTTTTATTTTATTTTCTCTCTCTCTTAAGGATCTTCTCTTAGTCTGAACTTTTCAACTTTTTAACATGGTGTTATTAGGCGTATTTTTTGGAATGTATTCTTCCTAAACCTCTAGTACTTTTTAAATCTGTGGCTTGATAACTTTAAACAATCTTAGAAAATTATCAACCATTATCCCTTCGATTATTATTTCTTTGTCACTATCATTGTCCTCCTGGGATCCCAAATATATGTAATCATTTGCACTGTATCTGACATACATCATTTTTTTCTGGGTGTCTCATCCTTTTGTCTTTTCATACATCAGTCTGGATAATTTGTTCTGACTCATCTTCTAGTTCACTAATTTTTTTTTGGTCAGCTACTTATAATCTGCACCTTCTATTTCCTTTATCTATCCATCTCTCTATTATTTATATTGTCTGTACTTTCTTTTATTTTCTGCCACATGTTCTTGTCTTTTCAAATCACTGATCATTTTTTAGTGCTAGATATTGTATATGAAATGCTATCCAAGTGGTTTGAAGCATTACATGATGCTATCTTCCTGCAGGGGTACTTAGGATCCCTGATCACCTTAATCCAATCAGAGATCAAAATGATTCTAAGCTGAGCTTCAGTCTTGTGAGGCATGGTCTGTTTAATGTTCACTCTTACTCTTGGCTTGTAGCTTTGTAGAGCCCAAGAGAAAAGCTGGGAGTTGATCCGTGCCCTTCCTCCCTTGTGGTCCTTGAACTCCAGTTTTTTTGGCCTGTTTCCATGATGTTGTTGATAGCTGTTTTTGGCTCCTCAGCATTTCTATCAAACTTTTTGAAAACAGCAAATACCTCTAAGCTAAAAGAGTTCCAAATGGCTTATTTAACTTTTGGTATCCCTATTCTCCCAGATTTTAGGTCACAAATTTTCAATGCCTCGAAACTCCTCAATGCCTTTAACTTTATTATTATTTTGTCCAACTTTCAATTTGATCTCAGTGTTAATATTTGTCTGAATACCCTAACTCAAACTTGACACTAGTAGAACTCCTCACAATAATATTTTAATCTCTGAGTCAGAAATCTGCCATCAGATCAGATGTTAGCTCTTCAAAACTACCTAGAACATATATATGTTAAACGAGTTTCTCATTTTATTTTGTGTCTTTGTTGTTGATTAAATACAGACAGCAGTAGCAATCAAAATTTTTTCAAGTTTAAATTTCATTTAAAAATATATTATGTATAAAA
Source organism: Homo sapiens (assembly GCF_000001405.40). Classification (NCBI taxonomy): domain Eukaryota; kingdom Metazoa; phylum Chordata; class Mammalia; order Primates; family Hominidae; genus Homo; species Homo sapiens. The sequence continues at coordinate 48,820,470 of NC_000007.14, read as the reverse complement.
TATAAATGACAAGAAATGTAAATAATATAGGAGGTACAAAAAAAATCACAATGAAAGCGTCTACATATTTGACATTTCTTCCCTCTAGGGTAAATTTTATATCTTGACACCTTTCAAAGCCAAGAGAACAGGATAAAAGTGTTTCTCTAGACTTTATTGGAATCATGTAGTCATAATTTATCTAATGGAAAAAGAATAAAATATTTTGCCTCATATAATATGGGAATTAATATAAAATTTATTAAATGAGAATTAGTAAGAAAGTATTATTAATTTTAACCTCTTTTTTCATGTGTCTCTATGGCATTTTTAACATAGAGACAACACCATAGAACTGTTTTGTAGCAGGTGCACTGCCACAGTTTAAGGAATTTGTGAGGTGTTAAATTCTTTCAGTAATCTCTAAGGAAGTTACTACTGTATTTTCTGCTTTTTAATGATGAAGACCCTAAGGCCCAGAGTTTGTTCAAGTTGCCCAATATATCCCAGGTAAATAGAGTAGAGTTAAAATTAGCATCACTGCTTCCCCAACATCAAGCACATATGCTTTCAAAACTCTAATTTTTTCCACTACATTTCCTAGAGCTGTGGGTCCCCTCCAGGATTTGGGGCACTATTATAGGATGCTAAGATGGCCCAAGTATTTCTTTGTTGGTTCTACTACACTCCACACCCAACAGCAATGACTCTTCTGCAATCCTTTATGATTTTGTGGTTTCTGTAATACTGTATGATTTTTAAATTTATTGCAAATTATTGATGTCACTGTATAGCAGCTTAGTGCTTTCAGACACTTGTGTGTCCTCTTGAAACAGAAGAGTTTGCTTGCTTACAGAGCAATGTAAACTAATGGAGAGAATCGCAGCTCGGTCAAAATTGAGATATATGCCCTCAGAGAAAGACATCCTTCCCCTCATAAATCTCCTGGCCAAAAGTGTTTACTCTGGGTAATTCCTTTTCTTATATCTGCATACATTTTTTGGTCTTAAAGGAAAGCCTCATAAGTCCTTGCCTTGAAGACATTTTTGCTAGATTGGTATGTAGGTGAAAATATTAGAGTGTCCCTTGAAATTACAGCGTATGTGTGTAATTTTGCTTTTTACAGGTAGATGCTGAACAAGTGAAAAGGAATTTTTGCAATGAAAAATGTGTTGTTTCAAATACTAATAACTCAGCTATTTGTAAAATTTTTGCTACCTAATTGTTAATGATATAGATTATAAAATTCCAAAACCCCATCAAAAAATAAATTAATTAAGATGAGGTTCCTGAAGACAAACTTTTAAAATTGAGACCTAAGAACTCATTTTTGAGCTTGCTTATTTCAGTCCTCTAATAATCCCCCAGCTCCACATTTTGGTGTGTGGATTCTCAAAATAATGGATTCTTTTGAGCTAGGTGTGCAATTTATGTAGGGCTCCCATGAGTCTATAAACCAAACTAGCTGTGTCGTATCATTTAGCAACTGTGTAATTCAGCAGCTACTTATTGGCACAGCTTTATGCTAAAAAATTTTTTAGGCACTGGGAATAGTCATGATAAAAACAAAATTATTGATATTATGGAGATTAAAATCTAGTGTGAGAAGAAAATAACGTATAGGCAAACAAACAAAATGACATACTTTTAGATAGATGGGCTTTGAAGAGAATAACCATCCTCTACAGGTTCAAGAGTGTTTGAGAGTTTCCTCTGAGTCTGAAAGGTCAGAGATACACCCTGTGAGAAGGTGACATTGTCTATATTGTTTGGGGATATTATATGCTCATGACTGCAAAAACAGAGAGTTCCTCGTGGCAGTAGTAGTGGTATTTTAGTGCATCCTTTGTTGACTCAGAAACAAAAGTTTCAAATGGTTGTGAATCACTTCTCTTAGCAGATCCAGGGCATTCATATTTGGTAGCCATTTTTTCTTTCTTTTCTCTTATTTTTGAGACAGAGTCTCACTCTATCTGTCACCCAAATTGGGGTGCCGTGGCCTGTTCATGGCTCACTACAGCTTCTACCTCCTGGGCTCATTTGATCCCCCCACCTCAGCCTCCCTAGTAGCTGGGACTACAGGTGCACACCACCATTCGGGCTAATTTTTCTATTTTTTGTGGAGACAGGGTTTTGTCATGTTGTCCAGGCTGGTCTCAAACTCCTGGGCTCAAGTGATCCACCCACCTCAACCTTTCAAAGTGCTGGGATTACAGATGTCAGCCACCTTCCTCAGCCTGGGTAGGCATAATTTTCTATCCTGTTTAGTATTTGTGGGCTATTGCTGGGAGAATGGTTTCAATGACATAATATTCATTGAGTATTTAAGAAAGTGTTTGGGTTTCTTTAGTTAAGAGAGCTGGAGGTTCCATTCAGTAGCTGTAATTATTCTCTCAATGCTCCTGCAGTTGGAATATGCTATGATAGCACTATTAACACCAAAGTTCTAATCCAGCAATTATTCTCTCAATGTTCCTGCAGTTAAAATATGCTATGACAGCACTATTACCACCATGGTTCTAATCCAGCCTATCCCTTCAAATACATCAGTGCCAGACTAATGAGTAATATTCATTATTTCATAAATAAACTCATAATCACAACTCCCTCCAGAATCACTCTGACGTTAAATTGGTATTTATACTGACATACCAAAGGGTTCCTTCTTCACAAAAGCATAACATCACTGCAAAATGTATTCAACAAACCAGGAAAATCACTCAGCTGAGGCTGGGAGAAAAGGTCAAGGCAATAAAATAAATTTGAGGAGAATATGGAAGTACTCATCAAGTCGCACTTGGGATGTCTTGTTGACCTTTATGTGCAAGGCCACATTGTTTCTAACATTTCAAAGCAATTACTTTTTTAAAAATTTAAATTTATATGTGACAAAAGCAAGAATGTGGCATACTATGAATAGCGTTTGAATGAGAGGTCAAGAAACTTTGAATTTAACCTGAGTCTGTCAATTTCTGTATCTTCCTCTGGGTTTTCGATAGTAAATGAAGCTAAGATTTATTGAATCATATGCCAAACACTGTTTAATACCCTTTATACATACACACTTTTACTTTTAACAGCCCTATGAAGAAGGTTTTATTTTATCATCGCCATTTTACAGAAGAGAAAATACAGAAAAGGAAATTCAATTATACACTAACTTTAAGGATCATCAGTGGTAAGAATTACATTTCTATAAATTAAATGGTAAATAATGTTTTAAAAATTATGATAGAAAGGTAATGGGAGGGGATAGTGTGAGGTTGGTTTATGAGTGTATGATCATTATCTTCTATGAAAGTACATAGATAAAATTTTTCATAAGAAATAGTGATACAGAATGTTTAGTAATTATGCAAATAAATATCAGAAGAGAGAGCTACAAAAGTTAGTTTGGGGAAGGAAACTCCAGAGTGGGATAATATGGAGCATGAATTACAGTTCATATTTTATCACAACGTGGTGGTACTCTGTTTTAGCATTTGAATACAAAACTTGCAACCAAATTAAGTTAACAAAGTACCTTCATCCCTCTGTCCCCACTCCGACCTCTTTCTTTGGTCTGCACCCATGCCCACGTGCCTTCCTGCTGCCTGAGTGGCACAGCTGTTTTTTCTGATCATGCACCTGCCCCCTCAGGACTGCACTCCATGGATCCCCTCCTTTCCCTTTGTCATTCTCAAGATGTGTTTTCCCACTGATCCTTGTATGTTAATATGCACATCTGCGCAAGCTGGGTTAGTATACCGTTGAGCAGCTGCACCCTTCTGTTAGAGGCCTTGAATTCAAGTCCTGTTTGTTCCACTCATGTGGGGCAAGGTATATGAACCTTCCAGGAATCCGTATACATGTGTGGCTTTTTCCACTCAACAAAGGTGTGTGATACTCATCTTCTTTCCTGTTTTTGGCAGAATTCATTTCTGCTGCTGTGGGGCAATCCATTGAGAAAATACGCCACAATTTATTTATCCATATGTGTGTTTATGTACCTTTCATCTGCTTTATTTACTTATTTCTTGCCATTGTAAATGCTGCTACTATTAGCCCTCATAAATATGTAAGCATTCAGGTAATATAATGTGCTATGACTGGAGATGTTGCATCTCTGGCTACATACATTTTAAAATTGAAAAGATAATGCCAAAAATACTTCTAAAGTGATTGTAACAAATGTGTCTCCTATACAAACTCTAAATAAGAGTTCATACATCTTTTTAACATTGACTAGTACTTTCTCCCAAACAAACAGAGTGTGAAATGGTGTCTGGTGGTTTTAATTTGTAATTCCAAACATTTCATTATACAAACTTCATTTGCAATTAAGAGTGAGAAAAAGGTTACTCCATATGATCTTACTGTGACATGCTTATGATCTTATTGTTTTCCATGCTTACATGTCTTCTGTATAGAGACAACCATGAAAGAAAGCTGGGAAGTACAAGCAGGGTGGCAGTAGACACAGGCCATTCAGTTCCACTGTTTGTTTGTGGTCAGAGAAAGCAGTGAAATCCTGTGAAGCACATCACACATTATAAAAAATTGAAAGCGAAAAGTGGAGTGCCATTTTCTCTCCTGGATGGAAATTCTTTATGAACATAAATTGCTGCTGGAGGCCAAATGGTAGAGATAACAGCATTTACCATGAATAAAGGAGGGAAAATATGATGTGTTTTAGGTTTAATTTAGCTTTCAGATGAATTATTCTGTAACTTTACTTGTGGCAGTCCTCTTAATAACTCTGTTGGTGTAGGTGATAAATGGCACATAGGCAGTAAGTGGGAATATTAACTGGATATGAAAATCTTCACAGTTATTATTACATGAAAGAAAGTGGGTTATAAACACAATGTACTATGTGACCCCAATTCTGGGAAAAGATACATATACAAATGAAAATGTGTAAATAGATTTCTAGAAGTAAATACTAAAAATTTTTCAAGAAATAGATGTCATTTTGACTTTTGGAATTACATGTGATGTTTCTGCCTTTATAGATGCCTTTATATATTCACATCTTTAAAATTCTCAATATTGAACACTGATGACTCCATAATAAGATATATTGCCAAAAGTGTGAATGTCAAGGGCCATCAAAGGAGGCTTGCCCTGGCCAACGGCGACAATTCCCCACAGCCTCTACAGCACTGGTATTAGATTTGAGGTGTCAGGAACAGTTCTGAAAAAGGAGGGAAAAGACTTAGGAATAATGTGAACAAACAAAACAATCGCAATTTTGTGAATGTTGGGGTGGGTGTGTACACTCAAATGGTAACATTTATTGAGCTAGGTAATTTATGGGTGATCACTGTTTTGCACTCTTTTCTTTTTCCTGTTTTTCTAATTCCCTTCCTCAATTTTGATAATATGTTAACGTACATATGCTAGGATTTTTTTTGGTAATATTCATATAGTCATGGAAACTGTCAATGCAGCATGGGTTAGAAAAATTTCAGAAGTCTTCAGTATGAACTGTAGCAAATGCATCCATCATAGGTTAACAAAGGTCAATTATAAAAATCACCAGAATGACTTAATAATCCCTGGAAGAATCTGGTTAATTTACAGATTAAAAAGGGTAAGGAGTTTTCTGGTATTCAGAAAGGTAAGTTTCATAGTTGAACTGTATAATAAATTAAAAATTTAACAGATTATAGCAAAGAGTTGCAGATACAAAGATTCTTCCCTACATCATTTATTCATTTATCTAATAAATGAATAATGACTACTTAGTATGTGCACCAGGCACTCTCCTAAGTGTTGAAGATACATTAAAAAACACAATAAGGGAGAAATAAGTCATTCTGAACATTGCAGACAAGGGCAAATAAACAAAATACATGGGTAAATGATATAATAGAAGGTGATAGATGCTCTGAAGAAATACAAAGCCTGGAAAAAGGAAGAGGATTTGGAGGCAGAAAGTTGCAATTTTAAGCAGAGTATTCAGAAAAGGCCTTAAGGAGAAAATTGTATTTGAGCAAAGTCTTGAAGGAAGAGAATAAATGAGTCGTGCAGATAGTTGAACAAAGGGCATTGAAGGCAGAGTAAAGAGCAAGTGCAAAGGCCCTGCAGCGGGAAGGAAAATGCATGACCTTTTAGCAAGCGGACAGGGGGGTGGGAGCAGGAGGCTGCGGAGGACTTCACAGATAGGCTCTGCATTTTAAGACTTTAGATCTCAAATAAGGTGGGAAATCATTTTGCATGGATTTTCACCCAGTTGAAAAGCAAAGCATAAAACAAGCTATACTATCGCATGCTTATTATTTTGCTAAAAATAGACACAGTATAATAATAATTGTGTCTTCTTCTCATTAGGAGGAATGGGGGTCCTTGAGAACTCGCCTTTATGTTGCACTATCATATTGACCGATTTCTGTGTCCGTGTGAACACTTCAACAGATTTCTGTCTTCTAAGATCCTTGGAATTCTCAAATGCAGTAACTTTCACCTCCCAATTTTTTCAGCATCTCACTCTCAGGTCACAGCCTGTTTCTTCTCACATGTGACCCTGGCCCACCCACTGCTGATCATTTATCCCTGATAATCCTGTGTTCACCTGCATGGAAGCCACAAGGACAGCTCAGAGGATCTCAGAAATGGCATGGGCTCTGGAACAGTAGGAAGACAGGGAGGCATCCAAGAGTGAAGATGAAACTGCCTTCACGAGGACCGGAAGTGGAGGGTGGCAACAAACCATGTGTCCAGGGACAAAACTGCTGAATCTGGACAGACTGCACAGAACATTGTTTGAGTGACATGAAAAGAAAGGCGGTGAGCTGGGCTTCAATACAGGAAACTCAGTCACAGTCCACGAGTGGCCACAACTATGTTAAGAGGCCAATATCTATCTCTAGATGCCTGAGTTCCAAAGGACTTGGGCTTGTTTTAAAAAGGTCAAGAAAAATTACTGTGGGAGAGTCACTGGACAGCCCAGATAATACTGACTTTGTCATAGACACAGGGTGGGGAAAGAGAAAAGGATGGAAAAAGAGAAGAGTCCATGTAAGAGAATTGGAAGAGCCCTGAGGAATAAAGTGGTCAGCAGCAAGAAACACAAATGGGGAAACTCTAAGAAATGTTTTAAGTGTATCAGCAACCAGGTTTGATAAAGCACCAAAGTTCTTAGCACAGTGCCTGCCACAATCTTATAGTTAAATCAATTTGATATTAATGTCAGGAGGTGCTAACAGAAAATAGCAAAGAGTGTAGCCTTTGAACTCAGACTGTGGTTTTAGCATCTGCTCCACCACAGACTAGACTGTGACCTTTTCAAGATTCTGTCTTCCCATCTGTAAAACTGAGATGATAACAGTATCTATGTTAGTTTTCTCAGACTGCCATAACAAAATACCACACACTGGGTGGCATAAATAGCAAAAATTTATTTTGTCAGAATTTTGGAGTCTAGAAATCCAAGATCAGGGTGCTGGCAGGGTAGATGACCTCTGAGACCCCTTTCCTTATCTTACAGATGGCCACCCTCTTACTGTCTCTTCACATGGTCAGCTTTCTGTGCACCAGGGACAATGTCCTAATAAGGACACCAGTCAGATTGGATTAGGTCCAGCCCAAAGGGCTCCATTTTAACTCAGTGACCTCTTTAATGGCCCTATCTCTAAATACAGCCACATTCTAAAGTATGGGAATTAGGACCTCAACATATGATCTTGGGGGGAACATATTTTAGCCCATCACATTATACAGTCCTTGGCAATGTGTACTCAATGAGATACTGTATATAAAACAAATGTTAGAAACATGGTACATAATGAATCTTCAATATATGTTAGCAATTATTACCATTTTTTCTAATAAATATCAGTCAAATAGATGAAAGAAATCAATGTTCAGATATCTGTTTCCTCATTTGATGGTCATCAACACAAGACAGGGGAAAGCAAAGAACTTTAGCCATCTTGAACTAACACATGTGCAATGAAAGGAATATTGGAGAAAGCAAACCACAGTCTTGTTTAAAACATGTTACTTATTTGAGGAAAGAGTTCTGAATAAATTTAGAACTGATGAAGTATTTAGTAAGTAAGACCTGTTTTCTGCTTTGAACATTTTAATAAAAGCATTATCATATATTGATTGGCAGTGCTTTATTCTCTAAAGGTGCAGAACAGATGTGATTACTAACACTAAAAAACAGTTCAGGGCTAAGAAGCTAGTAAATTACACATCACTGGAATTACATCAGATATTAAATTAGATGATCATTCCTTTTTATTTTATAACTCTCTTAGGAAGATGAATCAAAGTATTATTAGCTTTGTAGAGAAACATGGGAAATACCTTGAATAAAGGCTGTGGTTATAAGACTTCTGTTGCAACACAGTCTTTCTACTGCTTATATTTTCAAAGTTTCAATCCATAATGGCGCTTATTATTTCTACTCCTGTAAAGGGAAATGCTATAATAACTCTCTTCCTTAATTCACTCCTTCAGCTCTATTCACTCACTCATTCATTCACTGAACAAATATTTATTGAGCACCGTCTGCTGTAGCAGGAAATTTGGTGTATAAAATATGGCTCTAAGCTTAGAGAGTTTTGCAACATAGGTAGAATAGTAAAACTATGATAGAAACGGATGAGAAAACATACAGAATTTAAAGGAGATAAAAAATACATTTGGGCTGTGAGAATGAGAGGAGGCTTCATGGTAGATGGTGGTTTTTGAATTAAGTTTTGGCAGCAAGATATTAACTTCATGAGTAGAAGGAGCATTTCAGGCCAAGAGACTGAAGCAGTGATGCAGGAGGCTTTTTTAACAGAGCAGTCAGCAGTCTTGTTCAGATTTTCATCCATGGTCCATTGCATAGTGGCAATAGGAGGCAAGGATGTATGTCTAAACTAGAACTGGATAGCTGAGGATCCCAGGAAGCCTGATCATTAGGAATCATGGCTTCTAAAAATGGTTGCTACTAGGGGTGTTATTTTGGGTGCTACTCTGTGTGTTATTTTGATGGAATACTTTCCAGGGAATATAGAAATTCTTAATTTCTTCTCCAGAATTACTTCCCTTGCTGTGAGTTGCCTAATGGAAAGAACATTGAAAAACAGATGATGTGGCAATTTATATGAGAAATTCTGACCCAAAATCACAATCCCGATGCCTATTTAGGTAGGCAGAACAATACCAATTGTTCCCTTTTCTCTCTGCTAGTAACAGCCTGCCCTTGTGTGGGCCTCACTTGCAGGATGCAATCCTGAAGCAACTTGATTTGATCTTGCACTGCTCTTTTAACCCACTGTGTGGGATGGGGCTTCTTGGGTGAAACCTCCCATAGGCTCCGGAGATTTCTGTTCCCTCTTAGGGTACACACACCTGACTCTGTTCACTTCAGGCACATTTCCAGTTTAGTTTAGTTTAGTTTTGTAGTAGTCAATACTTAATTCTTGCTTTAAAGGAAATACATCTCTCCATCCCTCAACAGAAGCCTGACTTGGGGAGGGGAGTGGGAGATGGCAGTCAGTTGAGGGGACAAAGTCTCATCCAGTGCCTCTAGTTGCTCTCCAAAAAACATGTTAACCCCGTTTGCAATCATCTTGGAAAGTTCCTGTTTGGTGGGTGCTATTGGGCTGATCTAACTGCAGGGCTCTGTGGACCCAGCAGCTATCTGAACCCAGCTCTTTTTCTTGGAGGTGCTGAGGACATCCCTGTGGTGTTCCTTTGCCACAGGGGACAGTAACCATATTCCAGCTGGTTGCCTATGTATGCTGAGAGAGTAGACAGCCCTGCCTTTTCCCCTTATTTTGGAGGGAAGCACTCCATCTTTCAGCGTTAAGGTGTTAGCGATAGGATGTTCTCAGATGCCCTTTATGCAGCTATAGGAGTTCCCTCCTGTTACTATTTTGCTGAAAGTTTTTCAGAAATGGATGTTGGATTTTGCCCAATGATGTTTCCACTTTTATTAGAGATAACAATGTGATTTTTCTTCTGCCTTTTCAAGGTGTTTATATACTAAATCATGCTTAGCATTTTCTGAGGCAAAATACACATTATACACAATTAACTATTTCAAATAGCACATTTGGTACAGTTACAATCCTGTAAACCACCACTTTTCTTTAGTTTCAAAATTTTTCATCACCCCGGAAAAATACTCCACACTGTTTAAATAGTGACTCTCCCTTCCTCCCTCTCACCCACATCCCCTGGCAATCACTAATCTGCTGTTTGTCTCTATGGGTTTACCTATTCTGGATATTTCACAGGAAAGAAATTATGCAATCTGAGACCTTTTGTGCTGAATTCTTTCACTTAGCATATTATTTTCTAGGTTCATTCGAACTATAGCATATAGAACTACTCGGGGTGGTGGAAGAAAAAAATAAGTTAAAGTACGGAATTGAAAACTTTACAAAACACATAATCATGTAAATAGATTGCTAAAGCCACTCCACAGCCTTGGAAAGACATGGACAATGAACGTTCAAGTTTCAAAACTTACAATAGTAAGTCCTATTTTGGTTATAAATAAGTTAATTATTTCAATCTATTCAAGTGTGAAGTATAGCTCCTTGGATATTTTCATTTTCACTTTCCAATTAAATGCTTAAGCAGTTTTTACCTGTTCAGAATGGTACAACAGTATTTCCTCTTTGCATCCTAGCATATTCTTTTTCTGTATGCTGAAAAGCAGGCACATTGCTTTGACCCAAGCAAGAGCACTGACTCTGCTCTGATATCCTCTCTTAAAGCCTAGAAATCCCTCCAGTCTCAAGCAAAGACAGGAATATAGCATATTATTTTCTAGGTTCATTCGAACTATAGCATGTGTTGGTGCTTCGTTCCTTTTTATGGCTTAATAACATTTCATCGTGTGTATATACAAGCATTTGTTTATCCATTCCTCCCTTGCTGAACAGTTGTTTCACCTTTGTGCTATCATGAATAATGCTGCTACAAGCATTGCTGTACAAGTTTTTGTGTGAGCATAGTAACTTGACGTATGTTTTTATTTCCCTTGGGCATCTATCTAGGAGTAGAATTGCAGTGTCAAATGGTAATTCTATGTTTAGCTTTTAGCAGGGTGCCAAACTGCACTATGTTTTTACCCCCAAAGCAATGTATGAGGGTGCCTATTTTGCTTGATTTTTGTGAACACTTGTTAATTTCAGCTGTTTTTCTTTTCAATTTCTTTTCTTTTCTTTCTTTCCTTTTTTTGTTGTTATTGTTATCTCACCATCCTAGTATATGTGATATGGTACTTCTATTTTGGAAACTAAATTTTTACCCGAAATATGATTTGCAATTTTTTTCCATTTTATAGGTTGTCTTTTTACTTTCTTGCTAATGTGTTTTGATACATAATTTTTTAATTTTAATGAAGAATAATTTATCTGTTATTTTTGTTGCCTTTGATTTTGTTGTAAAATTTGAGAACCTATTAACAAATCGAAGGCCATAAAGAATTATCCCTATGTTTTTCTCTAGTAGTTTCATTGTTTTTCTCCTATATTTAGGTCATTGATCCATTTTGAGTTAATTCATCTTGCTCTGAGAATTCTATGTAATTATCACTGCGCTTCACACAAAGTAAAGGCTTAAAGAACACTAGGTTTCATATTATTATTATGACTCAATTTCTGACTTTATGCTTTACAAATTAAGCAAACGGAATACCATAAATTTGAACTGACTTATTTAGGTTGATAAGAGAGAATTATTTTCAGTTGTATTTCTGTAGTCCAAGTTGAAAGTCTTTCCAGAGTGTCATTATGTACCCAAGTGTCTAGCTCTGAGTCAAGTTCCCTCTGTTCTTCCAAATAGTCTCTCCCTGAGCAAACAACAACCACAACAAATCTCCTTAAAATCTTGGTTGTTCTCCTCAGAATGTGGTCATTATTGCCCTGAAAATACATGTCCAAGGGAAAGCCTCATAGCCCAGCAGCCATGTGCCCACACAGCACGGAGGGTCTTGAGTGTCTTGACATTTTCCTGCTTGAAGTAATGATGTACCCAGTCTCCAAGTGGAACTTCTCTGGATAATCCAGCAGGTTGAAACAAAAAAGTGAGGAAAACATGGGCCCAAATACCTAAACTACTCGGGGTAGTGGAAGAAAAAAAATAAATTACACTACGGAATTGAAAACTTTACAAAACAGATAATCACGTAAAGAGATTGCTAGAGCCACTCCACAGCCTTGGAAAGGACCTGGACAATGAACGTTCAAGTTCCAAAACTTACTTACAATAGTAAGTCCTATTTTGGTTATAAATACGTTAATTATTTCAGTCTATTCAAGTGTGAAGTATAGCTCCTTGGATATTTTCATTTTCACTTTCCAATTAAATGCTTAAGCAGGATTTACCTGTTCAGAATGGTACAACAATATTTCCTCTTTGCAACCTAGCATATTCTTTTTCTGTATGCTGAAAAGCAGGCACATTGCTTTGACCGAAGCAAGAGCACTGACTCTGCTCTGATATCCTCTCTTAAAGCCTAGAAATTCCTCCAGTCTCAAGTAAAGACAGGAATTTATCTTTTTCTCTCATTCCTGGCTATCTATATTCAGGTCTTGGGTTTAACTTTTTCTACAAAATTTTCTTCTACACTGTCTAATTCCAGCAGGTGACACCAGCAATAATTCAGGCAATAAGTTTAAAAATGTGTGTCATTGTTCATAAGTTTGGTGAGCAAGTTTCTTAGGAATGATTGTCATGGATTTAACACATGTAAGGGAGCTAAGAAAAGAGGAAACTAACTTACTGAGAAAATGTTAAGCATTTACTAAGTCCATTAAACTGAGCTAGGTGCCAGGTACACATGGCTACATAAGAAAGGTATGATTTTAGCACTTTTGAAATTTAAAGTTAGGTAAACATAGTGAACAATAATTAATTACAGCTATTAATAAATGTTGTGAAATAAAGGAAGGCAGGGCCTTCTTTAGACCAGATGGTCAGAGATTCAGAACTAGTACTTGTTGAATCTCTGCTATAATTCTGGTGAGCTAAATATGTAGTAATATCATTCTACTCAAAGTGTCAGATATCTCCACTTTATATGAAAAAAGAGGCTTGTATAATTTGCCCAGAGTTAAACAAACAAACAAAATCTTAGTGGTAGAGCCCTGTCTTATTCTATTTGGGCTGATGTAACAAAATATCCCAAACTAGGTGGCTTGTCAACAATAGAAATGTATTTCTCAAAGATCCAGAGTCTGGGAATTCCAAGATCAAGGTGCTAACAGATTTGGTGTTCTGTAGGGGGACTGTTTTTTGTTTTATAGATGGCTGTCCTTTTGCTGTGTCCTCACATGGTGAAGGGGCAAGGCAGCTCCTTGGGGCCTCTTTTATCAAAGCACTAATCCCATTCATGAGGTTCCACCCTCATGACCTAATCACCTCCCAAAGGCTTCACCGCCTAACACCATCACGTTGGTGATTGGATTTCTAGCATATAAATTTTGGAGGCCATAACAAGTCACAAATGGGAAAGGGCTTGTCTCAAAGCAAAGCACCAGCCCTGTGAGAGCCAGCACAGCCTGGTGGGCTTTTGATCCAGGGTTTGTTTATTTGTCTTCCTGACAGCCACAGTTAGAATATTTGACAATCATCCAATGTGGCAGTTGTGGCCACACTAAAATAGCTCTGTGGGGCCTAAAATTGACCTGTAATGAGAGTTGAAAGATGTGAATAATCAGGCGGTGGGATTTCTGTTATCTGTTGCTGGGTCATTTCTCAGCTGTGTGATGATGACTTTTTGAAATGCTGCGGAGCATGACCTGGCTTTAATGACTTGCATGGTGGAAAGAGCCAAGATCTTCAAGCACATTAAATGCACAAAGGATAAACCATAGGTCAGAATTTTGGGGGGAAACCCAAAAGTCATTTATTTTAATGAAAATTTAAATTGAATACATCACTTTTTTTGTAACTAAAGATGTTAATTGTTACCTTTCAAAAGGTTCTGTTAAGGTTCCGTTCAATAGCATAGGAAAATATATCATAGATGATATTTGAAAGAAGTGGGTTGAAAAATTACCTCTCTATATATATGATACCAAGCTTAAGAAAAACACATTAAAAACGTATTGACAGAAAAGAAGTGTCAAAATGTTAACAATGATAATTCTTAATTTATCTTTGAAAATTATTGGACTTTGGAAAAAGGGACATTTGCAGATGTAGTTAAGGACCTTGAGAAGAAGAGATTATTCTAGATTATTCACGTGGGCTTAATCTAACGACATGGATCTGTAAAGTTGAGGAACCTATTCCAGCAGAGTTAATGGAAGACATAATTATGGGAGAAGGATCAGAGGAAAGCAACACTTGTCGCTTTGAGGATAAAAAAGGGGGACCATGAGCCAAGGAACAAGGGGAGCCTCTAGAAGCTGGGAAATGTAAGAGAACAGATTCTCCCCTAGAACCTTTGGAAAGGAACCGAGCCCTTCCAGCACCTTTATTTTAGCTCAGTGAGACCCATTTTGAACTTGTAATCTACAAAAATATAAGATAATATATTTGAATTGTTTTAGTCACTAGGTTTGTGGTAAATTTTTATAGCATTAATAAAAAATGAATATACTAATGATCTCTTCTGTAACTAAAACCTCATTTCTATGTGACATTCTTGAAAGTGTAAAATAAATATTTTTTTTCCCAAATAATCTCACTAGTGAAAATTTGCAACCAATGGTATTTTTTTACATGTCAAATGTCCATCTTACAAGAATCTATGAAAAAATATACTTATTGTAAGAAGAGAAACTCATAATTTTTAGCATACAGCCAGGTAATTAGAAGATTAAGATGAAAGTAACAATAAAGAAGTTTCAAGTGTTTTGTTTAAGAAAAGATAGAGATCACTAGAAATTCACCATTACAGAAAACTGGCAGGCTCAAAATTGAGTGACCCATACACGTTTTCCATATGATTCTGATAATCTTATGTTCCTTTTAAGTTAGATTTACAGATGATTTTTAAAAGATAATATCATAGCCACAATTAAGATCAATATGTGGTAGTGTACGGAAGCTCATGTCAATTGGAAAGAGTGCTGGTTTATTTTGCTGGGAACCCGAGCAGCTCTGGGGTAAAAGTGACCTCATGGGAACTTAGCACAGCTTTGCATTGTTTTCTATGCTATAAGGTTCCGTTCAATAGCATAGGAAAATATATCATAGATGATATTTGAAAGAAGTGGGTTGCAAAATTACCTCTCTCTATATATGATACCAAGCTTAAGAAAAACACATTAAAAACATATTGACAGAAAAGAAGTGTCAAAATGTTAACAATGATAATTCTTAATTTATCTTTTAAGTTAGATTTATGGAAGAATTTTTAAAGATGATGTAATAAGCCATAATTAAGATCAATATGTGGTGCTGTACAAAAGTTCATGTCAATTAGAAAGAGTGCTTGTTAATTTTGTCAGAAACTGAGCATCTCTGGGGTAACTTTTGTGTTGACCTTACTTCTTCTTTTTTTTTTTTTTTTTGAGACAGGGTTTCACTCTGTCACCCAGAGTGGAGTGCAGTGGTGAAATCTCAGCTCACTGCAACCTCTACCTCCCAGGCTCAAGTAGTTCTCCCATCTCAGCTGCCTGAGTAGTTGAGACCACAGGCATGCACCACCATCTCCTGCTATATATATATAAAAAATAGAGATGAGGTTTTATCATGTTGCCCAGGGGGTTCTTGAACTTCTGAGCTCAAGGGACTCACTCACCTTGGCCTCCTAAAATGTTGGGATTACAGGCGTGAGCCGCCGTGACAGGGCTGTGTTAACTCTATTTTTAAATTATTTCTTCTCTTTCATCTTATATGTGTCCCTTTGTCTATGACTAAATGTAAAAGAATGAAGATAAATTGGAGTAAGAAAAACCAGTTGAATTTTTTTCAGAAAGCAAAAGTCAGCTCAATATTAGAAAATCAACTTATGTAGATCAAAATATTGAAGAATGATTATATAATTGTATTTACATAATTATTGTATGTCAAGCAACATAAATCATTTCATATTCTCAAGAATTTAATGTTATAATATATGTACTATTCTGTACTTTCATATTATCATTTTACAGCTAATGGAACTGAAGCACAAGTTGTTCAATTAATTTACCTGTGGTCGCAAATCTAGGTGAGACTTATGCCATGGCTGCTCAGTTCCTGACAAAATGAACAAGCACTCTTTCCAATTGACATGAGCTTCTGTACACCACCACATATTGATCTTAATTGTGGCTATTATATCATCTTTAAAAATTCACCCATGAATCTAACTTAAAAGGAAAATAAGATTATCTGAACCGTATGCAAAGTTGGAAAAGGCAAGGCTGGAATTCAAACTAAGGTGAATTGGCTCCAGAAGCCTATGCAACAATATGATCTATATGCTCTTTTAAAAATTGTCATTGAACTATAAATAAGAGGATTACATTGTTCAAATAGGACATATAATCAATGGAGAAATATGTGTTTTTTCACTTTCTAATACTAGTAATTTATGTCTTCTCTCTTTTTTCCTGATTGGCTTGGCTAGGGATTAATACATTGTACAGATCTTTTCAAAGAAACAGCTTTTGGTTTTGTTGATTTTCTTTTCGTTTTCTATTTTCAGTTTCATTGATTTATACTTTAGGTCTTAATTTCTTTCTTCCACTTTTTACAGGTTTGTGTCATTTTTCCTTCTTTGGTTTCCTAAAATGAAAGCTTAGATTGTTGATTGTAAATCTTTCTTTTTATTCATTGAATGCTATAAATTTCCCTTTAAAGACTGCTTATGTTGTATTGCACAATTTTGATTCAGTAGTACATTGTTTAATCTCTAGATACTTTGGGGTTCATCACTAACTTTCTGGTTTTCAGTACTAGTTTAATTTCACTGCGGTCTGATAACATTCTGAATATTATTTCTATTTTTAAATTGGTTCAGATGTGTTTGCTGCCCAGCATGTAGTCTATCTTGGTGAATGTTCTATGTGAGCTTCAGAAGAATATGTATTCTGGTGTTTGTTGGATAAAGAATTCCATAAATGTCAGTTAGATCCAGTTGATTGATGGTGTTGTTCAGTTAAGCTATATCCGTACTGATTTTCTACCTGCTGAAATTGTCAGTTACTGATAAGAAATGGTGAAGCCTGTAATCATACTATTAGATTTGTCTATTTTCCTTGCAGTTCTGTTAATTTTAGCCTCATATATTTTGATGCTCTGTTGTTAGGTATATATATGTTAAGGATTTTATGTCTTCCTGGAGAATTGATCCATTATCATTTTGCAATACTCCTCTTTATCTCTGGTACTTTTCCTTGATATTAAGTTCATTTGTCTGGAATTTATATAGCTTGTCCAGTTTTCTTTTGATTGGCGGCAACATGGTATATTTTTCTCCAATTCTTTGCTTTTAAAAAATAGCTTCATTGAGAAATACAGTCCACCAATTTAAAAGGTACAATTCAATGATTTTTAATATATGCAAAGGTATGTGCAACCATCACCACTCTTGATGTTAGATCCTTTTTTAACCTCAAAAAGAAACTCCATACCCTTTAACTACTACCATTCTATCCACCTGTCATCCCAGTCCATAAGCAGCCACTAGTTTATTTTCTGTATCTATAAATTTGTCCATTAGAACAATTTCATATAAATTGAATCATATAATATGTGATCTTTTGTCACTGGATTTGTTCATTTTGCATAATGTTTTCTAGGTTCATTCATTTTTAGCATATATTAGTATTTGCCTCTTTGTTATGATTGAATAATATTCCACTGTGTGGATATTCTACTTTTGTTTATCCACTTATCAGTTGTGAGCATTTAGGTTTATTTCACCTTTTGGTTACTATTAATAAGGCTGCTATACATTTTTGTGTGCTAAGTGTTGTGTTTGTCATATGATTCTGTTTTTCTTGGATAGGTATCTATGATGAAATTGCTGGATTATATTGATAACTATGTTTAACTGTTTGAGAAACTTCAAGATCCTGTTCTTGACTTAGAGCATTACATTCCCACCAACAATGTATGAAGATTCCAATTTTTTCACTGTCACCAACACGTGTTATCAGCTGAATTTTTTATTCCATTTATCAGGTGTAAAGTGTAGGTGTAAAGTGGTATCTCATTGCAGTTTAGATTTGCATTTTCCTGATGGCTAATAATTTTGAGGATCTTTTCATGTGCTTCTTGGCCATTTATATTTCTTCTTTTAAGTAATGTCTATTCAGGCTTTTCACTTATTTCTTAAAGGGGTTACTTGTCTTTTTATTGAATTGTATGAGTTCTTTGCATGTGAGGATACACAAGATATAAGTACCTTATCAGATATATTTTGTGATTATTTTCTCCTCTATGTGAGTTTTACTTTTCAGTTTCTTTATACTGCCTGTTGAAGCAAAACGAGACTTTAACTTTGTTGATGTCCAATTTTTCTTTTTTTTTTAAATTGGCACTTTTGATGTCATATCTAAGAATCCAGAGCTGATTCCAAAGTCATAAAGATTTATCTCCTTAACTTTATTCTAACAGTTTTAAATTTCAGTACTTATATTGAGGTCTCTTATCCACTTTGAGTTAATTTCTGTATACGGTGTGAGGTAAGGGTACAAGTTCATTCCCTTGCATGTTTCTATTCAGTGCTATTTGTTGAAAAGGCTATTATTTTCCCCATTGAATTATTTTAGCACCATTCTTAAAAATAAGTTGGACATCTCTCCATTTGCCACCTATTTCTATCATTATGATCACAGTGGATTTCTCATAGACAACATAAAGTTGGTTCTTATTTTGTAATCACTCTGACAATCTCTGTCATTTAACTGGTGTATTTAGACCTTTGTATGTAAGTGATTTTTATTTAGTTGGTTTAATATCTACTGTGTTAATAATTTTTTCCATTTATTTCATTTACCCTGTGTTTCTCTTTTCCTTCTTTTTCTGTCTTCTCTGACCTTAGTTAAGCATTTTGTATAACTCAATTTTCTTTCCTATCTTACCATATTAATAATTATCTCTTTAAATTTTGTTTAGTGATTGCTATAGAGTTTGCAATACCTATTTACAACTAAATGAAGTCTTCTTTCCATTAACATTATACCACTTCATGGGCAGTGCAGATACCTTAATATACTATTCCCATTCCTCTCTCCTGTCCGCTATATCGATATGGTTAATTTCACTTACCACCTACTATAGTCACCATATACAATGCTGCCACTATTTTTTTAAATTAAGAGTTATCTGCTGGATCAGTGAAGAATAAAAAATTATTTTATTTCACCTTGGTTTCTGTTTCATATTGTGGAAGGAACATTTAACATGAAATCTACCCTCTTAACAAAAATTTTAAGTGCAAAATTCAGTATTGTTAATTATAGGCACAGTGTTGTTCAACAGATTTGTATAACTTATTAATTTTGTATAACTGAAATGTTATACACATTGAACAACAACTTCCCATTCCACCCTCTCCCTGCCTCTGGCAACCACAATTCTACTCTCTTTAGATGAGCTTGACTAACTTAGATTTCTCACATAAGTGAAACAATAGATTATTGTCCTTCTGTGACCTGCTTATTTCAATTAGCATAATGATCAACAGGTTCATCCATGTTGTCACATATGACAGGATTTCCTTTTTTTAAGGCTGAATAATATTTATTTATATGTCTATGTCACATATTTGAATCTACTCATCCATCCATGAACATTTAGTTTGCATCCATATTTTGACTATTGTGAATAACAGTGAAATAAATGTGGGAGTATTAATATCTTATCATAATATATATTTCAATTTTTAAAAAATATACCCAGAAGTGAGATTGCTGGATCATATGGTAGTTCTACTATTGCTTTTTTGACAAACTACTACAGCAGCTGTACCATTTTACATTTCCACTAACAGTGTTCCAATTTCTCCAAATTCTTGCCAACACTTATCTTTTGGTTTTTGATAACAGCCATCTAAACACAATAAGGTGATATCTCATGTGGCTTTGACTTGAATTTTCCTGATGATTAGTGATGTTGAACATATTTTTATATACTTGGTCATTTGCATGTCTTCTTTAGAGAAATATCTATTTATGTGTTTTTTGTGTGTGTGTGTGATGGAGTCTCACTCTGTCACCCAGGCTGGAGTGCACTGGCATGATCCCGGCTCACTGCAATCTCTGCCTCCTGGGTTCAAGCAATTCCCTTCCTCAGGCTCCCGAGTAGCTGGGATTACAGGCACCTGCCACCATGCCTGGCTAATTTTTTGTGTTTTTAGTAGAGACGGGATTTCACCATCTTGGCCAGGCTGGTCTTGAACTCCTAACCTCGTGATTCACCTGCCTCAGCCTCCCAAAGTCCTGAGATTACAGGCCTGAGCTACTGCGCCCGGCCTATCTTGCCAATTTTTAAATCAGGTTTGTTTTTTGTTTGTTTGTTTGTTTGTTTGCTATTGAGCTGTGAAAGATTTGTATATATTTTAAACATTAACCCCTTATCAGACATATGGTTTACAAATACTTTCTCTCATTCTGTAGGTGCCTTTTTAATCTGTTGATTATTTCCTTTGCTGTGCAGAAGTTTTCTAGTTTGATGTAATCCTATTGCCTATTTTTGCTTTTCTTGCCAGTGCTCTTGGTGCCGTATCTAAGAAACCATTGCCTAAAACAAAGATTAAGTCTTTTTTTGTTTGTTTTTCTCTGAGTTCTATAGATTCAGGTCTTACATTTAATTTTTAATCCACCTTCAGTTGATGTTTGTGTATGTGGTAAGATAAAGATCAAGTTCATTCTTTTGCACGTGGATATCCAATTTTCTCAACATCATTTGTTGAAGAGACTATCCTTTCCCCATTGTGTATTCTTGGCACCCAATGGTTGAAGATCCATTGACCACATATACCTGGGTTTATTTCTAAAGTCTATTTTCTGTTCTATTGGTCTATGTGTTTGTTTTTATGCCAGTACCATGCTATTTTGATTATTTTACATTTGTAATGTATTTTAATATCAGAAAGTGTGATGTCTCCAGCTTTGTATTTTTGCCCAACATCACTTTGAAAATTTGTGTGTGTAGTCTTTCATGTTTTCTACATATAAAATCACATCTCCTGCCAAACGATAGTTTTTGCTTCATTCTTTCTCAGTTGAATATATTTTATTTCTTTTTCTTTCCTAATTGCCTTGGCTAGAAATTTCAGTAGTATGAGGAGTACATGTGATAAAAAGTGTTCATCTTGCCTTGTTTCTGATCTTAGAGAAAATGCTTTTATTTTTTCACTGTTATAGATCATGTCATTTGTGGGCTTTTCATATACAAAAAATTCCTTCTGTATATAGTTTGTTGAGAGATTTTATCACAAAAATGTGTTGGATTTTGTCAAATGCTTTTTCTGCATCTGTTGAGACGATTGTGTAATTTTATCCTTCATTCTACTAATGTATGGTATCATATTTATTTATTAGTATATGTTAGAACACCCTGCATTCCACAAATACATCCCACTTGGTTATGGTATATGATCCTTTTAATGTGCTACAGAATTAAGTTTGCTAGTATTTTGTTGAGGTTTTTTGCATCTGTATTCATCAGGAATATTTATTGACTTGTAGTTTTCTCTTCTTGTAAAGGGTTTTTTTTTGTCTGTATTTGTTATCAGGGTGATGCTAGCCTCATAAAATAACTTTGGGAGTCCCCACTCTTCAATTTTTTTTTTTTTTTTTTGAGAGATTGAGAGGGATCACTGTTCATGCTTTAAGTGTTTGGTAGAATTCATCAGTGCATCTTTCTGGTGCTGGACTTTTCTTTATTGAGAGAGATTTTCAATGTCTTCATGATTCAGTCTTGGTACACTGTGTTTCTACATGTTGACATATAATTATTCACTGTAGTCTTTTATGATCTTTTTTATTTCTTTGCCATCAGATGTGATGACATCTCTTTCATTTCTGATTTTATTTGAGTCTTCTCTTATTTTTTTCCAGTAAGTGTGAAAGTTTGTTAATTTTACTTATCTTAAAAGAAAGCCCAAATCTTAGTTTAGTTGTTTTTTCTATTAGTTTTCTATCGGCTATATTTCATATTTCTCATCTAATTTTTAAAATCCCCTTCCTTCTGCTATCTTCAGTCTTAGGTTGTTCTTCTTTCTTTAGTTCTTTGAGGTATAAAATTAAGTTATTTACCTTTTTTTCTTTTTTCTTAATATGGACAGTTATTGCCATGTACTTCCCCTCTTAGTACTGCTTTTTCTATATCTTATCTGTTTGGGTAAGCTTTTTGCTTTCATTGACTCAAAATATTTTCTAATGTTCATTTTGATTGCTTCTTTAACCCAATGCTTGTTCAAGAGGGTGTTGTTTAATTTTCACTTATTTGTGAATTTTCCAGTTTTCCTTCTGTTACTGACTTCTAATTTCATTCTACTGCAGTCAGAAAAGATACTTGGTATGTCTCCTAATTTGTTTGGCTACTATAACAGAAGAACAAAATAAATCCAGGCATACACAGTCAAATAGTTTTCAAAATTTGTGCCAAGAGGAGAAGGTGGGGATAAAACATTATCTTCCACAAATGATGCTGGGAAAACTGGATTTCCACAGACAAAAAATAAAATTGGACCTTTATCTTATACTATATATAAAAATCAATGCAAAATGGATAAAAAAACTAAAGATAAGACATGACATCCTAAAACTCCTAGAAGAGAACATAGGGAAAAAGCTGTTGGACATTGGCCTTGGCAATGAATTTTTTGCAAATCACACGAAAAGCTCAGACTACAAAAGCAAAAATAAATAAAAGAGACTACGTCAAACTAAAAAGCCTCCACACAGCAAAGGAAACCATCAACAAAATGGAAAGGCAACCTAAGATTGGGAAAAAGAATATTTGCAAACCATATATTTGATAATGAGTTAATACCCTAAATATGTGAAAAATACTTAAAATTCAACAGCAGAAAAACAACCTGATTAAAAAATGAGCAAAAGACCTGAATAGATATTTCTCTAAAGAAGACACAAAAACTACCAGCAGAAAAACATTGCATGATCTCACATTTATGTGGAATCTAAAAAAGAGGTCAAATATACACAATATACAGAGAGAATAAAACAATGTAAAACAATGGTTTCTAGAGGATGGGAATTGGGAACAAGAAGGAAGTATAGGCCAAAGGATACAAAGCAGCAGAAGTGTACGATAAATAAGTCTAGAAATCTAATGTATAATATGAGCACTATAGTTAATAAAATTTTATAAGGGCTTTCTGTTAAATAAAATTTTAGCTGCTGTTATCACACAAAAAAGTAACATGAGGTGATAGAAGTGTTCATTTGCTTCATCTATAATAGCCATTTTACTATCAATACATATCCCATAACATCATGTTGTAGACCTCAAATATACATAATAAATTAAAAATAATAACAATTTATGATACACTTAAAAATTGCTAAGAAATTAGGTGTTTCTTATCATAAAAAATAGGTATGTGAGGTGATGAATAGGTTAATTAGCTTGATTTAATCATTACATGATATATACATTTATAAAAACTTCATATTGAAAACCATAAACATACACAATTTTTACTTGTCATTATCCCTCAACAAATTTGAGAAAATAAATAAATAAATACAATATGCCTAAGTTTCAATTATCTGGCACTTATCCACCTCAGCTTTCTCTGAGGTTTCTGGCAATATAGTGTGATGAACATCATTAATTTTGAAACCTGTTCAGCATTACTATATATTTTGAATATTTTTTTCAGCTATCTTATCTTTTTCTTTTTCTATTGTTCCAATAATTTCTAATTTAATTCATAGCTCTTGAAATTGTGCAGATGTTGGATATGTGTATTCTGCTATGTTTATATATATATATATATATAGCCTACATTTCTTATGAGAGTGCTTAATATATTAATCATAATTATTTAAATTGACTGTCTTATTATTCCAAATTCTGTGTCATATCTGAGCATGGTTACTTTTTTCTCTTCAGACATTGTTTTTTCTTGTCTCTTCGAATGTTTTGCAACTATTTGTGCAAGCCAGACATGACACATCAGATACTAGAGTTAGATAAGTGGAACCTTTGGGATGAGTTTTACATCCCTCTGGCTATGAGTTGAGGTGTGCTTCATGTCTGTGGTAGCTGTATGTTCCAGGGACTCCAATGTCCTCTGTCTACTGACTGTCTTTCTGTCTCCCTTGTTATGTTTGGGTTTTCCTAAGAATGCCTTAGAGTCTGAGCCTTGATGAAACCTGCTGTTATTCTATTGAAGCCCTGTTGATAGGGTGATTAGGAGTGGCAGAGGGGATCATTCTATATTCTTATGACTAAATCTGAAACTCTTAGTGCACCTGTTTCCCTACGCTGTGATATCATTGGAAATGTTTCACTGCTTCTTACCCTCCCTAGGTGAAACTGGAAGGCTAGATGGGGCTGGAGTTGGGAAATTGTCCTTTCTCCATGTCAGATAAGTATCTAGAAATGTCCTTTCCCTGGGAGTTCTGGCCTTTGCTACAGAGAACACTCTGAATATATTTCAGAATGGTTACTTAGAACTTGTGAAGTTCATAGAGGAAAATCAATAAAAGTGTGCTATTCTAAGACTGCAGACCCCAGAAATTACTCATACCACCTCTATCAATTGGTGGAAGTTATTATTGCTTCTTCCTACCAACTTGTGGTTATTATTGCTTCTTCCTACCAACTTTTGCTCATCATAAGATGATCTCAACTGTGATTGTCTCTAGTTATCTGTCTCTCCAATTTTGGTGGTGGCTGTTTGTCTCATGACCTCATTTCTCTAATGGGACCCAAAAAAAGCTGTTGACTTTTACTCTATGCAGTTTCATTCCTGTTTTAAGGACAGAGTGACAACTTTGACAACTTTTAAGCTCTTTACATGTGGAGCTAAAAATGAAAGTTTTTGGAGCCATGTTTTAATAAAAACAATTAAAAATAACACTGTCATCTGAAATGGAATTCACTGAAACACTGTGAAAACTTTAAATGATAATACAGAACAATCATTATGATCTGGTAATATGTTTAAAACATATGATTAAATATATCATATCACATGATTTCATAATACGTGTGTGCATACTCAAAGGAATAGGGGTGAAACAGAAAACCAGCAGTTAGTGGTTGGATCGTAAAAAGAGTTCCACTTATTCATTCATTGTTTTATTCTTTCAACTAATCTTTATGTTTAGGAGCAATAAAGGAGAATTTGCTAATTCTAAGAATTCCTAAATTTTGATGGCATTAACAGGGGCCTGTGGTGCTTTGGAAGCCCAGCATTCACATAAAACTCTAAAAAATGTGTATGGTAATAAGGAATATACTTAGCCCAGTGCCTCCTACTTCACTTAAATATGGTACCACTTTTGTGTGTAAAAGTATCTATCCCAATTAATCAAAAAATATTTTTTTAAAAGCAATAAACTGAATACCTAGTTGGAAATAACAATATGTTAAACTTGCCTGTAATCCCAGCATTTTGGGAGGCCAAGGTGGGTGGATCATGAGGTCAAGAGTTTGAGACCAGCCTGCCCAAGATGGTGAAACCCCTTCTCTACTAAAAATACAAAAAATAGCCAGGCGTGGTGGTGGGTGCCTGTAATCCCAGCTACTCAGGAGGCTGAGGCAGGAGAATCGCTTGAACCCAGGAGGCAGAGGTTGCAGTGAGCAGAGATCGCACCACTGCACTCTAGCCTGGGCGACAGAGCGAGACTCCGTCTCAAAAACAAACAAACAAATAAATAAAAAACAATACGTTAAACTAGTATGTGCCCTGTTGAATATCTCTTCTGAAATTTAATCAGGGATATGGAATTTATTCAAGAAAAGTAGATCTGAAAATCTCAAACAGATCCAGATACACAATGATTTTTTCCGTTAACATGGGCAAGTAATATCAAATCCTTTGTGATACAAGGAAGCTATAAAATCATAAATAAGCAATTACACATGTATCTCTCTCTCTCTCCTTGTAGGATGAAGGAGTACATAGAGGCCATATCAATTTCTAGAAGCTCAAATAATGACCCTCAACCTTTTCCTGGCAAAAATTCTCTTCTTGATTAAACTTTAGTCAGGCTCTGCTGAACCCTCTTCTAAATTAGGCCTTGACCTTGGCCCCTGTCCTGCTTTTGGCCTTCCTAGTCCAGTTTTAGCAAGAATCCTGCTAAGTCAGTTTAGCAAGGATCTCCCCATCCTTGATATCTAATCAAATTTGTCATCCCTCACCTTTGATGTACAAGTTCTTGACCTGCCTCTAGCAAGAATCCTGTCATGTTGGTTTAGCAAGAATCCCCATACCCTTGATGTCTCCTCCTAGTAATTTTCCACCCATGAACTCCTTCACTTTATTGGCTGTCAACCCCCACTTGTCCTTGCTGTATTTGAGTTGAGCCTGATCTCTCTCCTGTATTCTGATGGTCTTGAATAAAGCCTTCTTATTTTTTAATGAGTTTCAGAATAATTGTTTTATTTAACAGAGTTCAAATAATTACCCCCAACTTCTTCCAGTATATGTAATGATTGTCATTCTGTTGTTGATTCTCAGCTTGAGCACAATCTTCTATACCCTGCTTTGTGATGCTGGGGCTGGAACACCACAAGCTGCATTTTTGCTCTCCAATTGGCTTCTGTTATGTTCCACTAAGAGAGGGCATTCGAAGGAACTGCAAGTCTGGAGAAGTGACAGGAGTACTTTGTCCCCTTTAATTCCCATTGTAGCACAACATTAACACATCCATCTTCACTCCTGTGGCTGCAGTTCCTTTGGGAAGGTCAGGGTTGCAGCTCCTCAGCACCTTCTCTAGACCCAGAGACTGCAGCACGCAGTCCTCTCTACTCAGAGGACTGAGTTTCTCTCTGTGGCAGAATATAACCTCCACACTTCTTTTTTCCCTTTGTCCCCTTAGCTTTAGAGGTAAGCATAGCTTCCTTTAGCTGCTAACTCCCTGACAACTTAGTGTCCACTCTTTATCTATTCAGTAATTAACATCTTTATACCAAGTTAGCAGTTCTTAATAATAAATTCTTTTTCTTTAAATTACTGAAAGGATTTCCATCTTCTGACTAATATACAAAATACATTGATAAACATTAAAATATATAAAATGATTAAACTTCTATATAATTAAAAGACTATTTCTAAAAGAGACAAAAGATAGTTGGATCAGCTTACATGTTACAGAAGGTCAAGACCTCGGGAGGTAAAGGTCACAAGGAAACATGTCACCTACTACAAATACTACCACTAACAATAATAGTAACAACCTTAGTCAATAGAAAACAGGAACATCAAATTTAAACGCTTCCTGATTAAACCCAGGAGTGTCAAAATTCGTTAACATTTTTTATCTATTACATAAGCCAATTTCTAATAATTAAGATTGACAATGCTGCAATAACACACACATTCTAACATACAGATTGTGGCTATAAATTGGTACATCTCACTTAGAAAAGCAATTTGGCATAGATTTCAAGAGCTGAAAAGGTGCTCAAACTCAATCCTCTCATTCCTGAGAATCTACTGTAAGATACTTTTGCAAACAAAAATAAAAGCTAAAAACACCAATAGAAATAAAAATAATCATTATAGCACTGTCTGCTTACAAAGAATTGGAAACAAGGCAGAGCTCCAATAATAGGATGCTATTTAATGACTCAAACAGAATAGTGGTTCATTGGTCTGGTAAAATCTTGTATAGCACTAATGATATTAAAGACCATGTATTAACATGAGAAAATATTTATAAGTTAGAATAAAAGTGCCAAATGGGGATGAAAAATGTTAGCCATGCTATGGTTAAAAATATGTAAAACTTATACATGCATGTAGAAAAAGTCATTGGTGAGAATATGAAAACAGAAGAGAGAAACAAGATAATTCTGGAGTGAATCTGAAATCTGAATTTTAAAACAAAACCAGAGATATAAGAGGATTATGAAATGAGTAATTTTTTTATCTTAAGAATCTGAATCATGTGAATTGTTTTAATGTTAATGCAATAGATAAAAATATAAGCCTTTATTATAAAATTGAAAGTTTCATTTTTCTCCAAGTTACTTTGCAAATGCTCATTTTCACAACTAATACAATTTGAATTCATAAAGATGACCAAAAAACACTGAGAGAAATAACGCCGCATACCTACAACTATCTGATCTTTGACAAACCTGAGAAAAACAAGCAACGGGGAAAGGATTCCCTATTTAATAAATGGTGCTGGGAAAACTGGCTAGCCATATGTAGAAAGCTGAAACTGGATCCCTTCCTTACACCTTATACAAAAATCAATTCAAGATGGATTAAAGATTTAAACGTTAGACCTAAAACCATAAAAACCCTAGAAGAAAACCTAGGCATTACCATTCAGGACATAGGCATGGGCAAGGACTTCATGTCCAAAACACCAAAAGCAATGGCAACAAAAGACAAAATTGACAAATGGGATCTAATTAAAATAAAGAGCTTCTGCACAGCAAAAGAAACTACCATCAGAGTGAACAGGCAACCTACAAAATGGGAGAACATTTTCGCAACCTACTCATCTGACAAAGGGCTCATATCCGGAATCTACAATGAACTCAAACAAATTTACAAGAAAAAAACAAACAACCCCATCAAAAAGTGGGCGAAGGACATGAACAGACACTTCTCAAAAGAAGACATTTATGCAGCCAAAAACCACATGAAAAAATGCTCATCATCACTGGCCATCAGAGAAATGCAAATCAAAACCACTATGAGATACCATCTCACACCAGTTAGAATGGCAATCATTAAAAAGTCAGGAAACAACAGGTGCTGGAGAGGATGTGGAGAAGCAGGAACACTTTTACACTTTTGGTGGGACTGTAAACTAGTTCAACCATTGTGGAAGTCAGTGTGGCGATTCCTCAGGGATCTAGAACTAGAAATACCATTTGACCCAGCCATCCCATTACTGGGTATATACCCAAATGACTATAAATCATGCTGCTATAAAGACACATGCACACATATGTTTATTGCGGCATTATTCACAATAGCAAAGACTTGGAACCAACCCAAATGTCCAACAATGATAGACTGGATTAAGAAAATGTGGCACATATACACCATGGAATACTATGCAGCCATAAAAAATGATGAGTTCACGTCCTTTGTAGGGACATGGATGAAATTGGAAATCATCATTCTCAGTAAACTATCGCAAGAACAAAAAACCAAACACCGCATATTCTCACTCATAGGTGGGAATTGAACAATGAGATCACATGGACACAGGAAGGGGAATATCACACTCTGGGGACTGTGGTGGGGTCGGGGGAGGGGGGAGGGATAGCACTGGGAGATATACCTAATGCTAGATGATGAGTTAGTGGGTGCAGCGCACCAGCACGGCACATGTATACATATGTAACTAACCTGCACAATGTGCACATGTACCCTAAAACTTAAAGTATAATAAAAAAAAATTAAAAAAAAACACTGAGAGTTAGCCTGTGATATTATAGAAAATATTTGCAGAAGACAGAATTTCTGTTGTTAGAAAGGGGAAAGAAAATACTAAGGTCAGAAATTAAGTGGCAACTCTCAGCAAATATAGTCATTGAGAAATTTAGTCCTCACTATTCCTCAAATACAGTAAGATTCTGGACAATACAAATCACTGAAATATTAGTTCACTATCAATTGTATGTAACTTCTTGTGCATCATTTTATTCAAGAGTCTTGATGAATTTAGAAATGATTGATATTTTGAAAAGACTAAAATTTAAAAAAGTTTAGTCATCAAATAATGAACACTGCTTTTCGCTAGTGATTGGGAAAGCAAGGCCTGAATCCTAAAGGGAAATATGGCATAAATACATAAAAGAGCCGCAGAAATTCTTTTTTCTGCATTCTCTTTACATCTTGACACTGCTGTGCTTTGGATATGATTTTTACATGTGTTCATATCAACTTTAGCTGTAAAATTAATGGATCTATAACACAGTTCTTGCAATACTAGATTTTTTTTTCCAAATTATGTCTAAGCCTAGTGTAGTTTATAGATTCTTACTTAAGGGGCAATGTCTGGCACAATTCATCAGATAAATTAATATTAATATGAAAGATGACATCATGATATTGCTTATCTGAACCTTTTAGCTAAGAAGTGGGAAAGGAAAGAAGACAGACCTCACACACAATAAATGTAGTTGGGCATTGGAGGCTCTCTTAAAATGTAATCAGTTATGTCTCAAAGAAGCAGTGGAGTGTAGTGGTTGTACTCAATTGTATTTTTGTTCAAATGAGTCGCTTCCTCTCTATGGGGAAGGATTTTACTTTCTGACTCGAAAACTTCAGGTTTGGCCACCTGAACTGCTGTGCTGAATGAGATGATATGGGAAGTTATGGAAGCCACTCCTGAGAAGAGCCTCTAGGAGACAGTGAGGTGTTCAGCCATGTCTTTTATTTCCTCTTTTGAGACCAGCAGTGTCCTGAATCAGTTAGGTCCTAAATGGAATGACACAAGGAGAGCTGCTGCTGAGCACAGTAAATGGCCGTGCAACAGAACGTTCACTGTGGAAGTGAACACTGGAAACAATCTTAGCACTCCTAGAATATGGAAGTAAATTATGATATGTTACCCCTTAAAATGATTTTAAGAAAGACATGAAAACACATTTGTGAAGTATTACATAACGAAAGTGCAATAAAAATTTAATAATATAAAACTACTATTAAACTACTATTATGTAGTATGTGAGTAATCGTTATAATTATGTAAAATAATTACACAGATATGGCTTGGAAAGAAATCTAATAATAGAGGAACTATGGCACATTTTATTTTTTTTACAATTTTTAAGTGAATAAAGAAAATATCACTGACTGAAACATAGGCAATAAAATATCTTCTCATGACAGATGATTGATTTCAGCTATCAACATGCACACACACACCACATTTAAAGGTATTTTTTATATTTCTCACTTTTAGCTAGTAAAGAAAAAGAAATCCATTGTCTTCCACACCTACTTTGCTAAAAAGGGCACTTGGACAGAGACCATATTAAAATTCATTCAGAAGTGTTAGAGGGGCAGCAGTGAAAAAACTGTCCTACTAGAACTGTGAATCAAAGTGATGCACCATCCATTTTTTCCACAAAATGCACTAGAAGAACAAAACTGCCCTGTGTATTAGAATGAGAGGAAAAAAGATAGCCACAGATTCCTCCTTAGACTGGGGTCTCAGCAGAAGAAAAAGTCCTTCATGATGCTATTTTTTTAACTTTGCATTCAAATAGAGCCCACGTTTCTATGTAACACCTCCACAGGTCAGACCCCTCAAATATTTTCAGAAGATCTGTGTCTTGGAATCATAATATTTTACTTATGTGAAATATTATGTGAAATATTTACTTATGTGAAAGGGATTCTATTATAACCATTTAAAATAAAGCCAGAGTTTGTTATGGAGTGTGTCTAAATGATTTGCATTTCTAAACTACATATGCATTCTAATGCACTTAAATAAGAAAATAATCTCTGCACTACTTTCTAAGTTGACATAATGCCTGACAAATAGTTACTGCATTTAAATCAATCATGCAGCCAAATGACAATATTTTTATGTACTATGAGATCAATTCACTTGAAAACCACTTTTTGTTTAGCATTTAAAAGAACAGAAAGTCAAATATCTCTATATCACACTATATCTCCTTTATGAGGCCGCATACAAAATTCTCATGTCTTCATTTCAGGAAAGTAATGCTTCCAGACATTTAGTTACAGTAACACCCCTGTGCCGCCATATCCATAGTTTCACTTTCTGCAGTGTCAGTTACTCATGGTCAACAACAGTTTGAAAATTCTAAATGGAAAATTCCAGAAATAATCAATTAATACGTTTTAAATGGCACACTGTTCTGTGTCCAATGATGAAATCTTGCTCCATACCACTTGGTCTGTCCTGGGACTTGAACGGCACCTCTGCCCAGAGGATCCATGCTGTTTACGCTCTTGTCTGTTAGTCACCTACCAGTTATCTAGTCATCAAATGGAGTGTCATGGTAATGAGAGCTGCTTGTGTCCGAGTCACCTTTATTGTACTTAATAATGGCCCCAAAATGCAAGAGTAGTGATGCTGGCATATTGTTATAATTGCCGTATTTTATTATTAATTATTGGTAATCTCTTACTGTAACTAATTTATAAATTAAACTTTACCACTGATAAATATTTATAGGAAAAAATAGTATTTATTGACTTTGATACTATCTGTGGTTTCAGGCATCCACTCGGGCCCTTGGCAATATTTCCTACGGATATGGGGGAACTTCTGCAGTTTGCACATGTAGTTACAAGACTCCACTAATTACCAATGATTTCCCACTGATGTTGTCTATTAGGGTCTTAGAAATAGATTCATACCCAATTTCTAGAAATCTTACATGACTCTATGCTAGGCATTTCATATGTCATCATGAGCTTGCTGATAGTTTTTATTTTTATTTTATATCCATCTGGACACTTCCTACTTTTGCCTTGATTCTGTTATTGTCTACTTATTTATTTTAGCTACCTCAAGTTGAAGTGAAGGAACAAATGAACTGAAATATTTTTTAACGTTTCAATAAATAGTAACCTAGATATGATTTCTGTACTCCATGACCCAACCTGGCTTTCTGCACTTGGCCCGGATCAGATCCAAACCCCTCCAGGGTAAGCTCTGGATAGAGCAGCGTGGAAATGGGAGGTGCTTCATGACCTCTTGGAGGAAACAGAAAGCCATGGGGCTTCCTGCCCAACATGTCAGGGGCAAAATTAAACTTTCCTGGTTCCAATCCCAGTATAACCAGTTTGGTTACCTGCTCTTGTTCCCAAATCTATTACTGTTGTGAAGGCTCAAGCAATTAACTGTTTCCTTTCTTAGCCAGTAAAGTCTTCTTTCAGAGAAAGTGATATTATTTGTTGGCATTTTACTAGGGTGATTATTCTAATTAAGATTTTGTTAGTTAACAACGGAGTTTTCTAGAACCAACAAAGTAAACTGTGGAGCCATAGAAACATGAGCCTCAAGTGTTGCCACCCCTCACCTCACCAATCTTTGGCCTATCCCCTTTGACCCTGTGTTGACCTCCCCTGGGCTTGGCTCTGGGCTAACTGTGGGCCAGCTGTCTGCTGCTCACCAGATTTTATGCTTGTCTTTTGTCCAGAAATTTGGCTTCTGATGGCATAAAGCTGGTTCTCCAACATGTAGATATAATTATCTTTTATCATATCCTTAAAGAAGAACAAAAGCTGGAAGCCCTTGCCAAGTTTTACCGGAAAAATAAACAGATTTGGCCTGTGGGAAGTGTATCTTTTGCTTTTCTCTCATTCTTGGCCAGACTCCCAGACAAAAACAACAGGAGTGCATGGTGGGGGTGAAGTATGGCCACACGACACCTGCCACTTCCCACTCTGCCCTGCTTCTCGGGTGAAGGCCTGGGTCACCTAGTGAGGATAAGACCTGACTTCCCCAGACCTCTTGCCCTTGGCTAAAACATAGGGTCATCTGCCTCTTAATACCCAAATTACAGCAATACTAACCCCTTATTTAACAAATTACCATAAATTCTATCTGTTCCCCGGGCCTCCACCTCAAATGTTTCTGAGAATTACTTCCTACATGACATTTCCCCAGTTATGGCTCAGAGCTCACAGTTTGTGAGTTAGTTGTTACAGGTACAGACCCAGACAAATGCAAAACTTCAGACAAATCATTTAATATGTTTCACAGGAATTTTTGAGACTCATTTTACATGTGTGTTTTAGTCCATTTTTACGCTGCTGATAAAGACGTACCCGAGACTGGGCAATTTACAAAAGAAAGAGGCTTATTGGACTTACAGTTCCACGTGGCTGGGGAGGCCTCACAATGATGGTGGAAGGTGAAAGGCATGTCTCACATGGCAGCAGACAAGAGAAGAGAGCTTGTGCAGGGACACTCCCATTTTTAAAACCATCAGATCTTATTCACTATCATGAGAACAGCATGGGAAAGACCTGCCTCCATGATTCAATTACCTCCCACCAGGTCCTTCCCAAAACACTTGGGAATTCAAAATGAGACTTGGGTGGGGGCACAGCCAAACCATATCAGTGGGATAAATCTAATTGTAAATAATTAGGATTTGTCTTACATATTTTTGTTTTTCTAAAATTATGTTTCTTGTGTTTTATTTTTATTCTATCTTTTTAAAGTGTCGATTCACCTACATTAAGGGAAAAAATGAAGGAAAAATATGCTTTACCATAGATGAGAAACCCACGGGCCCTGGGCTGATTATGTATCATCCTTCAGATGGAGCTCTTCCTCCCCTGTTCTTTGCAGGGACTGAACTTTTTTGATGCCTTGAGGCCAGACATCAAACAATGACCCCTACCTGTCCTGTCCACTGGCTTACCAGCCTTTCCTGAAGCTCATCAGGTGACTCTTTACTGTGGTTGCCCCCTTCCCAGGGAAGGTGACCAGTTTCTATACTTCAACACTAGAGGCTTCTTGTCATCTATGTAAGTA
This sequence comes from Homo sapiens, assembly GCF_000001405.40. NCBI lineage: Eukaryota > Metazoa > Chordata > Mammalia > Primates > Hominidae > Homo > Homo sapiens. The sequence goes on along the minus strand of NC_000007.14, from coordinate 48,785,956 downwards.
TTTAAATTTACACTTGTGAAAACAATCAATGAGGAAGACAACCAACAGCATTGTCTCAGGCATTTATTTTCCATCAAATCAAATATTCTTGTGAGCACATAATACATTTATGTGGCATTTTAAATCTTTCTATGCTAAGATACAATGTTTTTGCAATACGTTATCTCAAAAAAACTCTGTGACGTGGATGTTATTTTTATCTCAAATGTAAAAAGGGAATCTGCATCAAAAGGTATAAGTAATCTATTCAGATACTGTAAATTGGCAAAGCTGAAATTTGAACCCATGATAATGAATGTCAAAGTCTATGCTCTTTCTAAAGCCCCGGGATGCCTTTTATACATTAATCCATGCATACCATTGGCCACTAGATATATGCATTTGGATATGGAATGATCAGCATTTTAAACTCAGCATGTGCAGGACAGCATTCTTTAATTCTTCCCTGAAACCGCATTGCACACTCTGGCTCTCCTCTTTCTTCCTCAGCTTGGCAAATGGCACCACTGAATTTCACTTGCTCAGGCCCGAATTTTGGAGCTAAGGTCACTTTCTCTCTTTTTCAGATCCCCCACTGGCAATATGTCAGCAAATATCTGTGTTCCTAATCCCTGAACCTCTTGAAGAATATACCCTTTTCTCTGCATGTCTCTGTAATTAGTTATATTAGTCAGAGTTCTCCAGAGAAGTAGAATCAATAGAAGATATCTATGTATCTAAGATATAGATATAGATACAGATATAGATATAGATATAGATATAGATATAGATACAGATACACATACACACATGCATGCACACACACACACAGAGACACACACACACAAAGACACAGAGAGAACGATTTTAAAAGACTATGGGACTGGCAAGTCCAAAATCTCCAGGATAGGCCAGCAGGCTGGAGACTCAAGGAAGAGTTGCAGTTAGAGCCCGAAGGCAGTCTCCTGACAGAATTCTCTCTCCTTCAGAGAAGGCAGTCTTTTTCTCTTAGGAAATTCAATTGATTGAGTAAGTCCTGCTGACATTATGGAGGGCAATCTGTTTACTCCAAGTCTACTGATTTAAATGCTAACTGCACAGGAGTTTGACACAAGCCTGGGCAGCATAGCAAGACCGTGTCTCTATAAAAAAATAAATAAGTAGCCAGGCATGGTGGCATGCTCTTTTAGTCCTAGCTACTTGGAAGGCTAAGGGAGGAGGATCACTTGATCCCAGGGGTTGGAGGCTACAATGAACTGTGATCACACCAGCACACTCCAGCCTAGGCAACAGAGTGAGATATTGTCTCTTAAAAAATAAAAATAAAAACAAGTTAAGCTCATCTAAAAACATACCTTCACAGACACATCTAGACAGATGTTTGACCAAATACCTGGCTGAATGATCCAGCCAGGTAGACACATAAAAGTAAAATAAACCATCACATCATTCTAGCCCAAATAACCATGACCACTTCCCCAGGCCACTGCTGCACCCCTCTACTTATATCCTCCTATAAAACCTTCTCCTCACACAACAGAGAACTTTTAAAAAGGTAAGCAGCATCCTCGATTTTAAAACTTCATAAGCTTCCCATTGCTCTTAAAATCAAACCTGGACTTCCTAGTTCTACAAGACCACCTGATCTGGGTGCGTTCAGCCCCACTGGCCTCATCTTCCATCCCTTTCTAGCCACATTGCTTTTCTGTCTGTTGCTCTAACTGCTGCATCCAAGCCATTGTCTCCATCACCAGTTTCTTCACATGGTTACCTCTAATTGATCTTCTCAATCCCATCTCAATTGTCACCACCTCGGGGAACCTTTTCGTAGCCTCTTTATCTACTAATTTTTACGCTTTTGTGTTGGGCTTTTTTCTGGGTTCCTGTATTAGATGATAATTTCTATGTGGGCAGGTTTATGTTGATCTTTTTCATGAGCACAGGTAGATATCCTGTGCACCCTTGTTGGATAAATGGAGCATGCATGTGGTCTCATATTTGTCATGATGCTGTTAGGTATGGACCTAGATTCTCACTTGGCAATGATAGTGGTAGGAAACAGTTAAATTCATCTGCCCTCTGCCTGTAACTTTCTGAAGCAGTAGTTTTTCACGTGTGCCTGACAGTGTTACGGGAGGGGAGTCTGATGGCCAGGAGTGAATTAGGTACCAAATGGGTACTTGAAATGTAGAAACCTATCAGTCAAAGTATGCTGGAGGCTCCTCTTGATTCTAGAAAATGAAAAGTTTATGAGCTTCATGTCTTAGAATCTTTAAAGACCTAAGGGTATTTTTTGAAGTATGGTTTTAAAAGAGCAGAGCCATTTTAACTCAGTGATTAAGTCAGAAATGCTGCAAACATAACCATGTTACCTGTACCCTCTCTATTGATTAAATCATGAATTTAAACCTTATTTCAACAACTTAAACTATATACTTTTAACTGCTGTTGCTTACTGAGAAAACTTTCCTTTGCCACAGGGTATAATGAACACTCTTGGGTTTTGAAGGGGAAATGATACCACAAAATAGAAGAGGTAAATCAAAAAAAGAGTTATTATGACATAGAAGTTTAACAGCCACTAAACAAAGAGCAGGAAAATTGTGATATTTTAATGAAAAAATAGATAATTTTTTCTTTCACCTATGAAATACAGTCTATCAAAGGACATCTATTCAATTTTCACACCTGTACCACAAAGTACAATCGTTCAGTTAATTATTTTGACACGCTTCACTCTAAAAGTATTATAAATATATTATTAACATGATCCAAGCATGGAATTATGTGAAAATTAAAGATTTTTCAGGTTTTAAACACCTGACTTCTTTTTACAGAATTAATTATAGATCATAAATAAATCTCAAACCTTGGGCACGTAATTGGCAACTATGTAAGCTGTGAAGATCAGAGATGTTTCTAAAGATAGATACATATGTATAGGTAGTGATAAGCAGTATCTATAAGGCAAGGAAAGATTTGGTTCAGAGGCAGTGTTAGATGGGTAGACCTGGAATTACTCAGGAAAAAGAATCATATTCACTTTGGGTTATTATGGGAAACAATTGCCTGTTAGCCTCCTAGGAAATGATTGATGGCTACTGTCTCTTTTTTTCCTTGCTTCTTTTCATCACTCTTTATTTTAATACATGTGTGACGTGCACGCAGAACTCCAGGAAGTGTGCTAGACTCTGGAAATAAACATGAGCAGGACATGGCGTCTGACAGAGCACGAATTCAGTGGATCAAGTGGATGGGCAAACACAATTTAAACATGCATGGCTTTGAGGTAATGGTATACCAGATGATACGGATCAACTGTCCTAATGAGGATTTACAAAGCTGCTTGAAAAAATATGTCTCAGAAATTTTATTGAAGGTATTTGAGAAATAGCCAACTCAAACACAGGAGAAGGAAGATACAATTCCAAATCCTGCATCTGGAATTGCTTTTCCCTGTGTCATTAGGGTGCCTGAGAAGACAAATGGTTGAATGGTGAATTCACAGCCTTGAAAGTCTAGGGGAAACATTTGAAGCCTTTCAGGATCCCTAGTGGAAAAACCCCTCGTGAACCTTTCACTCTTTGGGTTGGAACCATAAGTGAAAGTCCTTAACTTTTAATCACCTCACTTCCTGAAAGTGGACTGCAGTAATAACATTGCAATTTTGTACAAGTACCTGACAAAAGAAAACCAAATGCTCTTTGAAAAAATACAGCATCATCCTAGTTTTGCAGTTATTTTTTTACAAACAACTTTTCAAATACACAATTTATGGAACACAATTAAATATGACAAGACAACAACATCTGGTTTCTGGTCTGTCAGGTAACAGGCTTGGAAGCTGTCATTTCATTCTAACAAGTAAAAAGCTAAACAAACTGAAAAATCAACAGCTCTTTATAGATACAGCACTGAAGTGAGATCATAAGGCAAACTGCTGCCCGCCCCAGAATTGGAGAGACAGACAAAGGGATACAGTGAATCATAAGTTAACCACAGCAGAAGCCCACAAGCAGAAACACCCTGGGGAACCACTGTTGATGCGGAGAAACCTGAACTGTAATTGATGAATTGCTGAAAGTTCAGTGGGATCAAGACTGAGAGACAAAAACTCCAGGGGAGCCCAGTCCTGGGGGGACCCCCATGCTTTTTTGAGATTTACTCCCTAGACCTCATAGTGAATAGTGGAGAGAAATTGCCTTGTGTTTCCAAAAGCGGGAGGAGAGGAGGACCCTTTTGGAAATATGCCAGAGCATCCTGTTCTTCTTCTTTTTTTTTTTTTTTTTTTTTGAGATGGAGTCTTGCTCTGTCACCCAGGCTGGAGTGCAGTGGCACAATCTCGGCTCACTGCAAGCTCCACCTCCCGGGTTCAAGCTGATACTCCTGCCTCAGCCTCCTGAGTAGCTGGGACTACAGGTGCCCACCACCACGCCAGGCTAATTTTTTGTAGAGATGAGGTTTCACCATGTTAGCCAGGATGATCTCTATCTCCTGATCTCGTGATCTGCCTGCCTCAGCCTCCCAAAGTGCTGGGATTACAGGCATGAACCACCGTGTCCCACTCTTCTTAATAATGTCTACCCTCTGGAGAAACTAGTCAACCAGAGCCTAATCTTCTGGGGTTTTATCAGAGCCTAACTGACCTGGGGAAAGGCGAATACCCAACTTCAGCCAGCATTACCCTTCCACATGGGACGGGGGAAATACCCAAGTCCTGCCTGCAGTAGCCATCCTGTACCACTTAAGGGGAAGGGGAGCCAACACACTGAGAAGCACTGGTGAAGTCCAAGTCCAGAGGCACAGGCTCACCAAAAGACTGAGACCTACCCATAGAACTATAGAATGTTCCCCCACCCCCTAACCTTACCACCACATCAATAAAGGTCTATTTACTGCACTTCCTTTTACTCACTGCATTGTGTCTGCCTTTCAACAAAAAATTACCGGGCATACTAAAAGGCAAAATACACAGTTTGAAGAAAGTGAACAAACATCAGAACTAGAGTCACATATGACTTTCAAAGGCTGTATAGTCATATCCTCAAGCTCAGAGACACAGGCATTCTTCATTTCTGTTGTAGTGCTGCTGATCTCTAGAATGTCCTTTTTATTGGAATTTTCATCACCCTACTTACATTATCCATCTGTTCTTGTATATTGTGTACTTTTTTTCATCAAAGTTCTTGTCAGATTAGCCATTGTGCATGGGTTTTTAAAATTCATACTTTGATAACTCCAACACCCTTATCATGTGCCTGCTCTGATCCCTTCTTAGCCTCTGGTAGAAATGTTACCTGTGTTTCCCAGGGCACAGCTTGTATCGGGAATGTGAAGCCAGGATTAAAGTTTAATTGCCCTGTTTCTCTTAAGAGAGCCTTCTGTTTGGTCTGAGTCTCTTTCTCCTGACTCATTCTCTTACACCTATATCAGTTTCACTGCCACCCTGGTCAGCACTGTCTTGAACCCAGTTTTAATTCTATTGTCTACTATTTGTCCCAACTGGTTGCCAACAATCTGCAAGATCCAATGCCTAAGAATCAGAATGGGGCTCAGGTTAAATCTCTCAAAACTCAGATATTTAATAAACTTGAAAAATATTTAAAATCTCATTGCCTAGAGGTATAAGTTTGTCTATGTAATGCCATCTCTTGAACTTCCTCAGAGTAGATATACTTGTTAAGAACAGAGAGTGAGCAGTTGCGACTGGTTTCTGTAAACCAAAAAATAAAAATCTAAGCCCCCTGACCAACTGAATGAACCCCCATTCTTGGCCACAGGCATTCCAAAGTTAACCTGAAAAACTAGTAGAGGCCTCACTATACCCTCCTTCCTTTGGAATTCAGGCACAACTGACCAGCATTAACATTAAAACAGAGACCGTAGGGCTTACAAAACACACTCTTGACAGATAGCAGGCCCTGAAAGAAATTATTTTACCCCAAAATATATTTCTTTGACATATTTTGAAATGGTCCTGCAAAGCTATCTCTTGTGGGGAAAATCAACATTCTGTGGAGAATCCCCTTCTCTTTCTAGGTCTTTTCCCTGATCCGGGAAAGAATTAAAGAGTCTAGCATATTTTTAGGTCTGATAAGAAACATTTACAATCTATTCTCTCTGAAGCCTGCTAACTGGAGGCTTCATTTTCATGATGAAAACCTCAGTCTCCACAACCCCTTACCTTAACCCAGACACTCCTTTCTATTGATTCCAGGTCCTTAGCCTAACTATTTCAACCAATTGCCAACCAGAAAATCTTTAACTCCACCTATGACCTGGATGCCCCCTTCCCCACCCCCACCACCACTTTGAGTAGCCTTGCCTTTCTAGACGGAACCAATGTATATCTTACATGTGTTGATTGATGTCCTATATCTCCTTAAAATGTGCAAACCAACCTGTAGCCCAATCAGCTTGGCCACATGTTCTCAGGATCTCCTGGGGCTGTGTCACAGGTCATGGTCCTCATATTTGGCTCAGAGTCAATCTCTTGAAATATTTTACAAATTTTGATTCTTTTTGTCAACATTTCTCAATTTGGAATGGAATGTTAAACTTTGATTCTAAGCAGGTCAATTTTCTCTACAAACTTTCTGTGCAGTAACAACAGTGCACTAGTGAGATGATTACTCTCTAAAGATCCAGAAAACCGTACACGGAGCCCTGATTTCTAAACTACTACTTTTAGTTGTTTCCCAACTGGGCTTTGTGACAGTTCTTTTTTAAAATTTAATTTTACTTTAGAGACAGGGTCTTATTCTGTTGCATAGGTTTTAGTGCAGTAGTGTGATCATAGCTCACTGCAGCCTTGAACTCCTATGCTCCAACAATCCTTCTGCCTCATCCTCCCAAGTAGCTAGGACTACAAGTTTGTGTCACCACAGCCAGCTAATTGTTTTTACTTTTTGTAGAGATGGAGTCTTGCTATGTTGTCCAGGCTAGTCTCTAACTCCTTGCCTCAAGCAATCCTCCTACCTTGACTTCCCAAAGTGTTCACATTACAGGCATGAACCACCATATCCTGCCTTTAATAGTCAATTTTATGTATCCACCTGACTGGATCATAGGATGTCCAACCATTTGGTCAACCATTCTTCTAAGTGTGTCTGTGAGGGTGTTTCTGAATGACATTAATATTTGCATCTGAGTAAAGCAGATTGGCTCCCACAATATGGTGTGCCTCATTCAATCAGCTGAAGACCTGAATAGAACTAATCTTATTAAGAGGGGACCTCTTTCTGCCTGACTGGGTGAGCTAAAACTTAAGTCTTTTTTCTGCCTTCAGACTTGTACTAAAACATGAATACTTTTTAGATCTCCAGCCTCCCAGTTTTCAGACTAGAACTTACACCATTGCCACTCCTGGTTCTCAGGTCTTGAGATTCAGAGTAGAAACTTACAGCCTTGGCTCTCTTGGGCTTCCAGCTTGCTGCCTATAAATCTTTGGGTTTTCACACTCCATAATTGTCAGAACAAATCCCTTACAAAAAAAATAAATAAATCACATTTACACACACACACATACACACACAAGCATCCTATTGGTTTTGTTTCTGTGGAGAGCTCTGATCAACATAGGATTAGATTACTAGATGATTTCTAAGGATCTTTTTACCTGTGAAACTATATTTTGCTTTGAAGAACAAGAAGAAAAAAAATCTCCTTAGCACAATATAGTATGCTTTTTATTTTGGATATAAACTTTGGGAAGATGGAATTAATTGTAGACATATATTTCCTCATAGTAAGCACAGCTAGTGTTTCAGATTTAAGAAAGAATAAAGCTGTTGCTGGCATTCAGGAGCCAGCCTGGTACTGCCATCTAGGATTTGGTATTTTCCTGCTGAGCATATACAGTTTCATAGTATACCGACAACAGACCCAGCCAGAGTGTGAATGTAATAGAACATGAAAAATATAGGAAAACTTCACAATCATGTTAGAACATAGATAAAATTATGAACATTTTCCTAATCACAAAAATGGCCAAGTAGCCCCATACTTTGGCTATTATGAGTGATGTGTCTGCTGCTTCTTTACCTATCAGAGCTTTAGGCTAGACTCATTCAATCATATAGATAAGAAATATTAAGTTATTAATCATTGAATTTTACTACTTCCCAACAGCACCCACTCCAGAATAGAGGTCTATTTTTTAACCCTACCAAATGTTATCTAACGGAAGCCCAAATCCTATAAGTCCTTTCCTCTATCCTTTATTGAGATGTCTCATGGTGTGTGTTCTTTCTTGTTGCATCAAGCAAAAAACTCAGCTTGTTCAACTACAAGTGTCTGTGGTGTTCTAAGAGTAAAGAACATTGACACATAGACAGCAACCCCATATGTTGACTAGGCTTTCTATAGCAATTAGTTGTATCTTTAAGACTGATGAAAGAAAGAGAGACTGAGAATCTAATAAGACTTCTCTATTCCAGCTTGACTCTTTATAGCATGAAGCTGTGTCTTCACTGTGTGAATTTTATTGCCATCGATCATCTCCTCAATGAAAGACTCAGTCTGGGAGGCCCTGCCAAATTCTGGGAATCTAAACAGATTGGCCTGTGGGCTGTATATCTTTTGCTTTGCTTTCTTTTCATTTTTGGCCAAATTCTCAGATGAAAGCAACGCATGAACATGATGGCAGAAGTGAAGTGCAGCCACAAAACACCTGCTATTTCCTGCTCTGCTTTGCTTCTAAGGTAAAGGTCTGGGTTACCTAGTGAAGATAATAAGGCTCCATTTAGCCAGATCTCATGCCTCCTGGACAAAAATTAGGCTCATAATACCCAAAATACAACATTAAACACTTATCAGACAATTTACCATAAATTCTATCTGTTCCCTGGTTCTCTTCCGCAAATATTTCTAATAATTACTTTCTAGGTGATGCTGTTCAAATTATGGTCCAGAGCGCATAGCCTGTGAATTCCTTGTTCCAGATTCAGCCTAGACAAATGCAAAAATAAGACAGATTTTATCCATATTAGAATTCTTTCGAAACAACTACCACTTAACTAAGTCACCCATGTCTGTTAACAGAAGATTCTATTTCAAAGCAAGGTGGAGATGACTGTACTTTGGCCTTGAAACATAATCTAGATTTCCTAAAATATATCTAGGGGAAATCAATCTACAATCCAAGATATGAAAATAACTCATGTCCCATTCTTATACCAGTATTGAAAGAAATGTCAAAAGTTCCAGAATCTCTAGATTTTATTTATTCATTAAAAATGCATTACACAAATCAATGTAGAATACTAGAGCTGGGCAAGTTATTATTTTGCCCAGTGAATACCTTTTATATAAGAGAAAAGTGAGATTCAGACAATGAAGTGACTCCACCTGAACCAAGAGTAGTGAAGTCAATTCTGGACTCATTATCTAGGACCATGGTCCTCAAAGTGTGATCTCTGGACTAGCAGCATTGGCACCTCCTGGGAACTTGTAGAGACGTAAATTCTCTAGTATCAGCCATGATCCACCAACTCGGAAACTCTGGAGTTTTTGACAAGCTCTCATGTGGTTCTAAGGCATGACAAAGTTTGAGAACCACTTGTCTAAAGACTGGGATACTATCCAGCACAAAGAGAAAAATTACATTTTTCTTTGAATGTCTAACATTTGTCACATGATCTGTTCTCAATCATGATTTAAAAAATAAATTAATAGGCTGGGCGCTGTGGCTCACGCCTGTAATTTCAGCACTTTGGGAGGCCGAGGCAGGCGGATCACGAAGTCAGGTGATCTAGACCAACCTGGCTAACACGGTGAAACCCCGTCTCTACTAAAAATACAAAAAATTAGTCGGGCGTGGTGGCGGGCGCCTGTAGTTCCCAGCTACTCCGGAGGCTGAGGCAGGAGAATGGCGTGAACCGAGGAGGCGGAGCTTGCAGTGAGCTGAGATCACGCCACTGCACTCCAGCCTGGGCGACAGAGCAAGACTCCGTCTCAAAAATAATTAATTAATTAATTCTATATTCACAACACTAATGTGATATGTTGGTTTGGTTTTGTAATTTCTAAACAGTCAATAATTCAATAAAATAAGTATCCATTGCATTTTTAATATATTCATGCCACTGAGGAAAGATAGAAATTCAAAATGATGTGGTCTCTGACTTGAAGGAATGAATGGCACAGACATACATGCACATTGATAACGAGGGTGAAGCCATTGTAATGGCATGACAAAACCAGGTGTCCAGGGAGCAGATAAAGGGCTACACTATTTTCTTTCTGGACAACTTCTTGGAAGAGCAAGAATTTTTGTAGGACTTGAAGGATCTCTGAGGACAGAGATAGGATGAGGCTGGAGAAAGAGCATTTCAGAGAAAGAGACCTGAATGGGGGGAATATGCATTAGGGCAGAAGAGGTGGAGGTGGGAAACTTTTCAGGACATGGAGACTAGACTGTGGTAGTCAAAGCCCAGGGACAGTGGCAGGGAGAACATTTTTAAATTAGAAGCTGGGAAATTCAATTTATACCAACTAATTGGATATTGGAATCTGGCCCTTATTTGTAGCCTAGGGGAGGTTTCCCCAGTTACCACACAGAGGAGCAAGATGATGAAAACTACAACGTGAAAGGCAGTTCATGTGAAAATGTGAAGGAGAGGCAGAGGCTAAAGCAGGAGAAATACTTTCAACATTATTACTAGAGATAAGGCAAGAAATGATGAGATACTGAGATAGAAAATGATGATGTAGGAAAAAGTAAGGATACGGGGCCGGGCACGGTGGCTCACGCCTGGTAATTCCAGCACTTTGGGAGGCCGAGGCGGGCTGATCACCTGAGGTCAGGAGTTCAAGACCAGCCTGGCCAACACGGTGAAACCCTGTCTCTACAAAAATTAGCTGGGCATGATGGTGGGTTCCTGTAATCCCAACTACTCTGGAGGTTGAGACAAGAGAATCGCTTGAATACAGGAGGCGGAGGTTGAATTGAGCCGAGATCGTGCCATTGCACTTCAGCCTGGGTGACAGAGCAAGACTCAATCTCAAAAAAAAAAGTAAGGATATGGAAAAAGTGTTGAGGTGAGGAAGCCGAGAAGAGACTTAGTGGCTGATTCCCTTGGGAAATGGGGGTGGCGGGGTGTGAAGCTGCTGCTGGGTGTGTTCTGGGCTTCTGGGGGGATGATGCTGGGAGCGCAGAGCAGTTTAGAAAGTGAGAGGTGAGGTAAGATTTTCTTGTGATGAATCTGAACAGTCCTACAGACATTTCAATGTGACGGTAAGTGAAGAATTGGATGCAGGAGGCTCATTCTTAAAATAGAGATGAGGATTTGGGAGTTAAGAGTATAGATGCATTGACAGTGGCAATGGGAATAATTATGTCATCAAAGGAAAACATGTGGACACAGAGAAAAGTGAGCTGAAGAAGTAACTTTTATAGAATATTTACTTAGAAGCCCCCAGGGAGAGGAGAACTAATGCGATGGAGTTATTCTGAGCAAACTATCACAAGGACAGAAAACCAAACACCACATGTTCTCACTCATAGGTGGGAATTGAACAATGAGAACACTTGGACACAGGGTGGGGAACATGACACACCCAGGCCTGTCGTGGGGTGGGGTCAGGGAGAGGGATAGCATTAGGAGATATACCTAATGTAAATGACGAGTTAACGGGTACAGCACAGCAACATGGCACAGGTATACATATGTAACAAACCTGCACGTTGCGCACATGTACCCTAGAACTTAAAGTATAATAAAAAAAAATAGAGTGGTAGACGAAGAACCTAAAGACAGCAATCAAAGGGAAACAAAAGGAAGCTGGCTGCAAAAGCTAACATTCATGGAATGTTTACTCTGAGCCAGGATCTCACTAAATGCTTTACATGCCTTACCTTCTGTAATCTTCTCACGAACATTTTGAAGTAGGAATTAGTAACGCTTTGTATACAGAAGGGAAACTGAGGTTTACAAATTCATAATAACCTACCTAAGCTCACAGTTTTAGAAAGCAGTGGAGCCAAATTTCCCAACCCAGACTCAAAATAAAAAGCTTTAACCACTCCCTAGAAAATATGTTTCAGGAAAAGCATCTTTCCTGCCAGAGGTACAGAGAGAGAAAGTTGAGAAGCAGCCCATTAAATGAAAAACCAGAGTGATCCCGGTGACTCTTGTGTATAGTTTCAGTAGACAGCAGGCTGATCACTAAGAAATGAAGGTGAATGTGTGATGAGGATAGGAAACCAGAAATATGGACGACTTTTTAACTAATTTTGGTAAGTGAGAGCATAAGAAACAGTAAGGTAGCTGGAAAATGTATAGCATTTCTTGAATGGAGAAGCCCTGGATGTTTTATAGGCTGAGGAAAAGAACCTAAATTCTGTCACAGGAGAAAGAGGATGGATGTCTATTTTGTTTTTAATTGGTGTGACCATTTTCTTTTTAAGATTGATGAGACATGTATTAGAACCTCTTATAATATGGCTCATTTTTACATGGTTTCTGACTTACCATGTGTTAAATATCCCTTAAAATATATTCAATAACATTCTAGTAAGGTTAGACTTTAACATAAGTATTTTTTTTAATTTCTGTCAAGATCCCTTCATTACAGAAGTAAAGCAATGATGGCTCATATGAACAAAACTATGAGTGTGGACAGGATACTGAAATATGTTGCATTGGCTGAAGCATGCACCTACTTATCTACTCAGGTAAGCCAAATGTCCCCAACAGCACCAAGCAAGAATGTCCCAGTCCAAGTTATCCGGTGAGCAGAAACAAGCAAGGGACAAGCCACAGGGTTTGGAGTTTGGGATGGTGGTAGGAAGTGATCATTCTGCACAATAGCATCCAGGGGACTGTTTGACCCACTTCAAGTTATGGTACCTGACTGATTAGTGCTGGATTTAAATTGTTGCACCATTTTTTTGTTGGCAAGGAATAAAACTGAAGAAGGATAAGCCACAAGATTTCAGTCTTCTCTGCAAAGTGGGAGATGGGGAGGGTGGGAGTTCAGTTTCTAGTTAAGCAGAAAGGCCCTGAAACAGGCACTGAATTAACTGTGGAGTTCTCTATACCTCTCCCTCCTAAATAGCCATTCTGCTAGTAACTTACCAATTTTTTGGACCTTTAGTGAAACTGGACAAGCCCTCTGCAACATTGGCTGTAACTACCTACCCACCTAATAGTTTTTCTATTATAACATTTAAGAAAGTTCAATCTGATACCAAAGACTTGAAGGCTCTCATTTTGTCAAATTGCCTGACGTTCTGGCTCACCGACGGGGAAATCAGTCAGGAGAATGCATACATAAGAGACCAGGTGGCAGAGACCTTTGAAGCAAGTGCATTCCAGGCAACTTTATTTCATGTCCCCCACAGCTTTACTATCCTCACCCTCAACATTTTCAGCTGTTGTTCCAATTTCCTTCTTCACCATGATCTCCTCCGGTGACACAAGAGAAACAGCATGTGTTTCTGTCTAGAGATCCACTTAAATGCTTCCTTTACGCTTTAGAATATTTTCTTTTGTTTTTTTTAGAATCTCCCCAGTCACTTTTAATCTCAGTTTATAAATCTTCTGAGTTAACTCTGTTTTGTTTAAGAAAAGCCAACAGACTTATCAACAAAAACGTTCTTTAGCTTTTTATATTTTATATTTATTATAAAATATATACTGATATATTTACTTCAAATGAATACAAACTTGGGCAAGGTACTAAACCTCTCTGAGTACCAATTATCAAGTCAACCAAGCAGTAGAATAATGTCCACTCACACAAATATTGTGAGGATTATATGGCAACATATAAATGACTGTCTAGCACATAGAGCTAGAAAATAAAGGTTGAATATCTTCTCCTTCCATTCTCCTTCTTGCAATGTGCTTCTAATGCAAGACAAAATACTTTTGCCTTGTCATCTTCTATCATATGTAGCAAACTTGGGATGGGGGTGGATACTGAGAATCTAAGGAACAAAAAAAGACTAGTAACAATTGGACCTAAATTCCAGACACCCTTGAAACAGCACCTCAGCAAAACACATACTTTTTTCTCATGTATGTCTTCTGTTCTGAGTTGTGTAGTTTGTATCTGAACACACCCAGTACAGTACCTAGCATAGTTGTGTTCATTTAATGCTTATTGGATGAGTGAACAAATGAATGAATGAACAAGTAAATGGACAGATCAAAAGTCAGGTAAATTACATGAACAAAGTGCTGTGAGGCTTCTTCATCAAATGATCCATTAAGAAACAGAGAACTCAGTTCAGTTCCACCTACTCCACCCCAAAGCATCTTCTTATCCAACTGAAGTCTTGTGGATGTAGAATTTTAAAATTTTAGTCTGAGGCTTTGGACTCAATAAATGATATCATGTCTAAAAGGTCTTGGACTCTTGTTAGCAGTGTGATGTGGAACAAAGCACACAGCCATTCAGAGCATCAGTTTCTTTATGGATATAATGTGTAGAGCTTAGCAGGATTGGAAAGAACAAATGAGATAATCGTTATGAAAGCATTTTTTTCTGAACTTCGAAATGCTTTCATAGATGCACATGAGTGCCTCTTGGATTTCTTCAACAGGACACCACAAACACAGCTTGCTTGAACCTAAACTCATGACAAGCACTCTGACATTTGCCGTAACTACCTAACTACCTAATAGTGTTTCTAAACTCGTGGTGCCGCTCGTGAATACTTTTTTCAAGTTAATGTCCTCCATAGTTGCAAGAAACACTACCTACAGGGTCTCCTGTCAGACTCAGAGTGGCAGTACACTCCCCTCACCTCTGCGTTCTGTATCAAGCCCGTAAGAAAAGCCTCTTGATTTTTTTATCTCCTTGAGCCCTAATCTTTTTGTTCTTTTTATTTTTTTACATCTATAGCTTTAATACCAAATGTAGGGCTTATCACATGAGTATATGGACTGTTTTAATATCTATTTTTTGTTGTTTGATTATGCATCCACTTTACATTAAAATAAATGATTGGGACATTCACATAGGATAGAATAGAATGACTAGTTGAGAGCATTGCATCAAAGAAAGACATAAGGGTACAAAAATCCATATAAAACACAGGTAAGCATAATACAAATTTGATACGTACTTATCAGCAATTCAACCTTCTTTGCTAGCTGGACTCTAAGTTTCATTTGCTTCCTCCACTGTCATGTGTGAAGGGAGCAGACCTCCAGTTCCAGAGTGGGGAATACTGGTAAATCTAGAGCAATGTTGCTAATCTCATTCCTC
Organism: Homo sapiens; assembly: GCF_000001405.40. NCBI lineage: Eukaryota > Metazoa > Chordata > Mammalia > Primates > Hominidae > Homo > Homo sapiens. The sequence goes on along the minus strand of NC_000007.14, from coordinate 48,770,758 downwards.
TTTGCTGGTTATTGGATAATGAAAAAGCATGTGATGCAGTTTGGCCAGAGACATGAGGACAAATCTCTAGGTAGGTTCCTCTCCTTCCCTTCAATGTGAGCACATCTCCTTGTGATGGAACCATCCTGCACCCATGAGATGAACTCCAATAACAAAAGCCAACATTCAGAGGAGGAAACACACAGATGCAAAGAGTGGATCCTTGTTGAGCCACTGAATTAATCAGCATCAGAGCCATCTTCTTTCTCTGCACTTCTTGTGTAAGGTAACACCTTCCCCTTAGTCTTTACTATAAGTGAAACAGTTTATCAGCACACACATTCCAAATGTTACATAAAGTTAATACACAAAAATGCATGTGATAATATCTTGAAATATTATTTAAAATTAACAACCAATTTGGCTAAAGCAAAGATGGAAATATAATTGGAATTCAATGTCTATAAAATCAAAACTATTTGTACAGAAAAAGAGCAGCTTCCTTGTGCTAAAACACAAAGGAATGAACAAAAAAGTTCTTTCTGTGAAGTCTTATGAAGGGGAGAGCAAGTTTTCTATGCTTATCTTTCTTAATGTCCTTAAATGTGTATCAGAGATGCTACTGGGGAAAACCCCTTCCATAAGGGACCAGATGATGTTATGCGTGGTACCTTAGCTAACTGGTGATTTTGGATGGTTCCAAAGATAATATTTAGCTACTTAAATTCTAGCAGATGGAATGGGTGTGTATCTTATATGCAGTCCATGAATAAGAGCTTTTAGCATTTAATTGTGAATGGATACTGCAATTTAAACTTAAACATTCTGGTCAGAATGTATATACCATTCAGTTTTTCTGTGCTGACTTTGGATCTTAGCACATAGTAGGTGTTCAACATATAAGTTGAAATTTTAGAGAGGAGTCCATAAATGTACTAGACATGCCTCTTTCTCATCCTTCAGAGCTCAATAAAAAATGTCACTCTTTGGCTCTAATCTTTTCAGTAGGTCAGATCCATAGTCGAAAGCCTCTAGGGGACATTTCTAGAATCTATAGTTATTAGACTATCTCAATTTGCTATTATTAATTGATTTATCTTTGTTTATCCTGCCAGACTGCTTACCTCCCAAAGGTTGGACATATCAACCAGAGTCCTTCCAGAGCCTCCAGATTCCAGCCCATTGCCTGGCTCTGATGATCAACAAATATGTGTTGAGAGAGTTAGTAGTAAAGCACATGAGGAAACTTGTGAGGTTTTATTTGTTTTGTTTCATTTTAAAAATAATAGGTGCCATGGACTGAATTTTGTTACCCAAATATCCATAGGTTGAAGCCCTAATCCCCAGTGTGATGGTATTTGGAGGTGGGGCCTTCAGAAAGTGATTACGTTCAGATGAAGCCAGGACAGTGGAGACTGCATGATAATATTAGTGCCCTTACAAAAGGAAACGCCAGCGAGCTTTCTTCCTCCTTTCCTCTTTACCCACATACACCAAAGAAGGGCCAAGTGAGGACACAACAAGAAGGAGGTCATCTGCAAGCCAAGGAGAGAGACCTCAGCAGACACCAGATTGGCCAGCACCTTGATCTTAGGCTTCCAATCTCCAGAACTGTGAGAATTAAATTCCTATTGTTTAAGCCACCCAGTCAATGTGCAGTATTCTGTTACAGCAGCCAGAGGTGCCTAAGACAATAGGGATAGATGATAAGAATGATGAGTAAGAGTGGAGGTAAGGGTAGGGCCACAGAGACTGTAAAGAGCCCAACACAAAATTTAACTATTTCCCAGCTTTGCCTGGAACTAAGCATGGCTTACCACAAAGATCTGCAGAGACTGTAGTTAGGCAGGCTCTGGGCTCTAAGTAGATGTATTCTCCTTGCATAAAATAGAAAATAATCTCAATATGCCCCAAGTCAATACTCGGGATATTAGTTTTATTTCCAGTTTGAAGATCTAATTAGAGACAATGGCTCATTATAACTTCCACTTTGGCCACCCATATTTCATGTTAACATCAGTTATAGTAGTAATAGCTATCAGAGTTTACATGTGTGCCCCACGCAGATCCTTTACACTCCTGTATCTCATTACTACACTTTAAAGCAAATGGCATGACAATCATTTTCAGATGAAGAAACACAGGTCAAGAATCGACGATACCAAGGTGCATCCAAAATACCAATCTAGATGAATTTGACTCTAAAACATATATTCATCTACTATCACTCATTCTTGAAGACATCTCTATCCAATTTTCAAGTAAACAGTTTTAAATGCCCATTGTTTTAAAATAAAGCATTTCTATTTTTATTGCTATTATAGTTCCTGCTATTACCATGCTAAGACTGTTTCATTAGCAGAATAATTTTAGGTTTTACCAATTTTAGCTGCCTCCACAGTATCTGTGCCTCTCCTTTTGATGCATTGTTGACTCTAGTGCCAACATATCCTCACACAAGCCAGTCTGACCTGCAAGCAACTTGCTCATCTTGGTCCACATTCACATCCAGGCTGCAGCATTTGCTCAAACGGAGCTAAAAACACAAAGGGAATACCTTTCAATTTTCTCCTAGGAGAAAATTGTCAGTTGCTTAAGGACTTCAGTCATCAGGTCAAAAAGTTTGTGCTTTCTTTCTATTTATTAAAAAGGGAAAGAAGAAAAAAACAAAAACCAGAAAACAAATTCTGCTGAGATGTACAATGAATGCTCCAAGCATCACCATTTATAAGGTGATTGCAGCCATGTGGTGTTCTGCAATATGAAGTTGAGAAAGGGATAATAGCTGCAATTAGGTGGACGCTCTCATACTGATTTTAACAAAAACATCTCAGAGATAGCTATAAATTTTCTGTTTAATAACTGTAACTATTCCAGTGAAATCGTATGTTCATTGGGGAACAATTGAATGCACAGACAATGCTCGTTAGATGAATTTAACACTCACCTTAATTGGGCAATCTAGTATTTCATTAATTCCAAAATGGTACTAATTTCCCAATATGCATAATTGGGATACACAAATATTGCTCTTTTTATGATTGCTATGTAACATTTGTGAAGCTTAGCCTCTTGGAAATTCTGTGAAAATATGGGATTAAAATAATACTAATAATTCCTTAAATTGCAACGAAAATAAAATACATATGTAAAGTGTTTTATAAAATTAAGCATTTCTAAATACTTTTCCCCAATTTTATGTCATAGCATCCCTTTGTGACATAAATAGGGCAGTTATATTGTCACTACTTTATAATGAGATAACAAAATTAGAGTCTTAGGTTAAAAAAAAAATGCAGGAAAAGCAAATGTTCAAGGTTCTTTCCAGTACCGCTCTTTAAACTCTGAGATACAGAGAGCCAGGGAGAAGTTGCCAGGACTCCTGCTTCTGAAGCACTAGATATATTCCTGACTCTCTGAACCTTAGGTTTCTTTTATTTAAACTTAGAGGCCGGGCACGGTGCCTCATGCCTGTAATCCCAGCACTTTGGGAGGCCAAGGTGGGTGGATCGCTTGAGCTCAGGAGTTCGAGACCAGCCTGACCAACATGGTGAAATCCTGTCTCTACTAAAAATGCAAAAAAAATTAGCCAGGTGTGCTGGCACACACCTTTAATCCCAGCTACTTGGGAGGCTGAGGCAGGAGAATCACTTGAACCCCGGAGGTGGAGGTTGCAATGACCCAAGATTGTGCCACTGCACTCCAGCCTGGGCAGCAGAGCAAGACACCATCTCGAAAAAAATAAAACAAATAAATAAACTTAGAAAAATGACTTTGGCTTATAGATTTCTTGTGAAAATTAAATGACATAATCTGTTTAAAGTCTCTGCCAGAGAACTGTTGCATAATACAGTCTGCAGATGGCAGCTAGCACTAGCAACAACAGTGGAGGAATCTGTCTCAACAGATCAGATCGTGGTGAAATGAAAATTTTCTGAATATAAGGTATTTGTTTCCTTTTGCTGCTGTAACAAATTATCAAAAACTCCATGGCTTAACACAATACAAATTTACTCTCTATTTCACAGGACTAAAATGAAGTTGCCGTAGGGCTGTGTTCCTTTTGGAAACTCTGGGAGATAATCCCTATCCTGTCTTTTCCCACTTCTAGAGGCTACCTGCATTCCTTAGCTCATGGCACTTTCTTCCATCTTCAAAGAAAGCAGCACAGCATCTTAGAATTTCTCTCTGACTCTCTGCTGTTCTCTTTTATTTATAAAGACCCTTTGCCCACCCAGATATCCCAGGATAATCTCCCCATCTCAGTATCCTTAAAATAACCATCTGCAAAGTTCCTTTTACTCTGTAAGTGAACATATTCATAGGTTCCAGAGATTAGGACATGGACATTTTTAATGGGGCCATTATTCCATATAACAAGTAAAAACTAGCACTAAATCTACTGGTACACAACCCTTGCCTATTATTAGAAAGAGATATCTCTGTGAAGACTTCATATTGTTTGGATTCGGATTGCTACTTGTGTAAACAGGAGAATACAAAGTAATGAGAGCACACTTTGAGCTGGGGTCAACAGGATTTAGTTAAAAGACACCCAGGGCCCAACTATATCTTTTGTTCAACATGTGCATAAACCTTTTGGACATAGCAATAGAAAACTATCATCTAAGTGTTTATTATGTGAGGCTTAAGAAGAGAGAAAATCCCTGCTCATATGTGGATTGGAAAGTCCTTCAAAGGCTTAAGTAATAGGCTTAGTGGAGTAGAACAGAATTCAGCATGAATGAATATAAAATCCTACACCTGGGTCCAAAAATAGCAATGGTATAATTAAAGAATGAGGGAGATAATACTTCTGCAACAATGATGTCTAAATACAGCATTCTGGCACACACACACAAAAATCATACACTTTAGGATTTTCTTTTTGTTTTAAGGAGCTCAGTGTGATTAAAAATAGGAAAGAAGCAATCAGGTATGTAACTTTCCTAATTGTTTTTACACACTTATTTTATTTAATTCTCACAGTAACTTTATGTGTGAAGCTTTGTTCTCTCTATTTTACAGATAATAAATTTGAAATTCATTAAAATAGAGTAAATTGACATATCCCGTATTTTTCTATCCCTAAACATAATTTGAACCCAGGTCATTCTGACTTGAGAGCCTTTGATCTTCCAAATGCATTTACTCTGAGCAGGGACTGCTATATCTAGTTAAAATTCATACTACTAAAATAGAAGTATTAAAGTTTGAAAGAGATGTATTCAATTACAGGTAAGACAGCTACTGCCTGGCAACTCAGTAAAGAAGGTTCTAGATCATAGCTTTCCAGTAGAGTTTCCATGTGGATGAAAATATTGTTCAATAAAATACCCACTGGCCCCATGTAGCTATTAGGTAATTGAAATGTATCTACAGTGTTGGAAAATACAGTTCCAGAGAGAAACATTAGGTTGAAGTAAATATAAAGTTGATTGTGAAGATTGCATTCATCTCTAATATTCTACAGTTCTATAAATTCAGGCAGCTTGAGGGTGCTAATTATTGGCAAAGGTACTGGCTATGGTCCCTTTAACCACAAGGAGAGAAAAAGCAAAACTGGAGTACATTTTATATTACGGCAATGGATCTATTCCTCTATCTCTAAGTCAAAAAAAAGCAGCAGAAATAGATGACAGGTCTGGAAAGTGTAGCTTGTGAACGAACAGGTATCTCTCAAGTTTTTTCTGGTTAATCTATCACATCTATCATTCAGGTGGAAGAATTCATCTACAGTTTAATTGTGAAACTGAATTGGCTCCAGACCATTCTAAATCCAAGACAACTGGAACTATCTATCCAATGATAGTTTGGTTGGATACAAGTATACCTGACACATACATAATTTCTATTTCTGTCATTGAAATATAATGTAAAACTAGGTATTTCTAGATTTGGCTAAGATGCAACAAGCACACTCTCTCCTACATCTCCCACTAATTACAACTAGAAACTCTGGACAAAATCAATGTAGCAACTATGGGAAAATGCTGAACTACAAAGAAAGGAAGTAAGACCTCAGGATTCCAGGAGCAAATGCAGTAATTCCCCATGGATTTTTTTTGTTTACTCATGTGTTTTTTGCTTGCTTGTTTGTTTGGTTGTTTTGTGCCCATTTGCTATATGTATATCCCAACCTGGATGCTAGAAGAATTTACAACTCAGAACTTCCAAAAAATACACAGAACAAAAACTCCCCACAAAACCTTCATTTTTGCCAGAAGCTCTAGTAGAGTGTGGACCTACAGGATGGAACCCTGTAGATTATACCTACTATATACCAGTTGAATGCCATGCAAGAAGTGCTGTTTCTCCCCACTGACTCAGTAGCTAAGAACAATCAGAGACCTCTCAACTATTGTCACCTTGCATTTAGCAAAGATAAGCAGAGGGTGACCTACCTTCTCCACTTATACTGTAGCCAGAGACATGTGGGGCCAAATACTTACTATTACCCCTGCCCTATATTAGACAAAATCCAGCAGAGTGCCACTTTCTCAGCCAAGTAGAGTAAAAGGAGAAAAGAAGAGAAAGCCAGAGAAAGTGGTTCTTTAAGTGTGTATCTGAAGTCCTTCCTGAACACTCTATATTTCTCACACTGAAAGCTTAAGACACTGAGCTGCAGCATGGAATAGTCCAGGTTTCAGACTTGTCACTGGGCTGCATATCAATAGGAACAGCAGAATAACACTGCAAGGCTTTGAAAACTAATTTCTCATTTAAGCCATAGACTACAAAATGTCCTTAGCCTATATGGATTGAGTGCTTGATAAAACAAACTATTTTAACAGAAACTAGTTCTGTAACATAATGTAACGTCCCCCCCCAAAAAAATCCTAAATTGCACAGCATATCAAGAATGTGTTAAATGTCAACTTCAGTAAGACACATGCTCACATCAGGATGACACTAATGTGAGAATTATCTGATAAGAACTTGAAAGCACCTTTCACACAAATGCTCCAACAAGTAATCATGAACACCCTTAAAACAAATCAAAACATAAAAAGTCATAGTAAATACAAGAGATAACTAAAAATGTTAAAACTAAAAATTACAGTAAGAGAATGCAATAAATCAATGAATTGGCTAACTAGGTGATTAGAGATGACAGAGGAGAGCATAAGGCACAGCAGATCAATAGAAATAATCTAATCTAAACAAAAGAGATGAAAAATAAATTAGCAGAGTCTCAGGGATCTGCCAGGCAATAACATAAAGGTCTAACAATCATACCATCAAAGTTTTAGAAGAAAAGGATAATTAGTGCTGTGCTGAAAATAAATCAAAGGAATAATAGTTGAAACTCCCAAATTTGGCAAAAGACATAAACCTACAAATTCAAAAAGTTGAGTCATTCTCAAACAAAATGAACCAAAAGAAATTCACGTAATAATCAAATCTCTTAAAACTAAATACGAAGAAAATATATCAAATATCCACCTGGAGATGTTGGGCTCTCATGAAGGAAGAACCTGAATTTAAAATGAAGCCATTTGAAAAGTAAGCAAAAATTTAGAGTAAAGGCCTTCCGAAGCATCTTGATCCATGTGTACCTGAAGCCATTACTGCTGGACTTTACAGTATTGTGGGTCAACAAGTTTGTGATCTCTTTCTCTATCTCTCTCTCCCTCTCAAGTTTGAGTTAGCTTTCTCTAACTTTCCTCCAAATGTACTGACTCTAAACTTGTGATCGCCAAGACACTTTGCCCATTTTAGTCCCAAACACTGATAATATCATTCTTTATCTTTATGGTTGAAACCATGCACATTGGCTTGGGCCAATGAAAGTTTGATTGAAGGTAAAGGTTTTCTTGTAAGCATTCTAACATCTCTTCATTCATAATTTCATTTAATCCTCTCAGCAGCCCTTTGAGTTGCTTTCTGCATATTGCAAGTGACCTACTCAAAGCTCATATAATTTTTCAGTGTTATACAATTATTATGTGAATCCCATTTTTTTCATCCCAATGTGTGTCTTTTACTTGCTTCTTACTTGTTCAGGATGACCTCATACACTCATCATAGTAAAAACTCATGATATATCACTCATTCTTGAACTCTCTGCTTGATTTTTCTGCTAAGGTTGTGTTTTTCTAGAACCACATGAAGAGATAAGAATGTGCATAGAAGCTGTCCCAGGAAACAAACGTCACGAAATGTGGAGGTGAAAAATAAATAGAAGGAAGCCCATGAAAGATGCGAATTTGATCTATGGACAACTGGGTTTTAACATACTGGTAGACTCTGAGAGGCATTGCAAAGTATACCTCAGAGTCACTCTAACCCATGGGTCATCCTCTCAAGTCAAAATTCACCCTTCAATACTCACACTGCAATAATAGATGAAATTCCTGTATGCCTTCCTCCTTTATATTGAGCATGACAGATCCTGAGATTTCTCAGTAGAGGGTTCTGCAAGGGACACTGCAGGATCAGGGAGCTCCCTTCTTGTTGGCAGTGCTGCATGGCCACTCAGAAGCATAGGTGTGAGGACATTGGTGGGGCTCTGCTCTGGCCACATGTGCAGAATGCATGGTGCATTTGTGACCTTATAGCTCCAGTCCAGCCAGCTGATCACCTTCCTGTGGCTCCCTCAACATGAACACACAACCTCAGGCCTCCTGCCCACCAGGGCACCCCATGCCCTCTGCACACCACCACATACCTGGCCTGTGCCCTAGGATGCTGCTTCCTGCTTGCTCACTGACTGTGGATCAACTCTGGCTGAGGAAACCTGAGAGGTTTGCTTATCACTGGGGTGCAACTGTACCTTCTCTAGTGAGGTTAGAATCCTTGCTTTGGGGAAGGGGCTATCTCCAAATTTGTTCATCCTCCTTACTCTTCTGCTTTCCCAGTATGTTATAGAGTGTCCTTATCTCTTGCAATTTCTCTTTGGTCAGATTTGAATGAGTGAATTTCCATTGTTCCACAGTGTGCTTTTGTGACTTGATTGGAACCAGACCAATCTAACAGAGAGATATGTGGTCAGCCCTTTGGCTGAGGGCTGTTTCTGAGGTGTGGAGCTGGGTAGTCCCCAGAACTTCTGGCCTGGCCTGCATTCAAGCTGAGTGTTTAGAGGTTTCCCATTGGGAGTCATTGCATGGAGTCATGATTTCTGGGGTATACGGGAGGCACTATGACAGAGGTCTTCCCAGTTCAGCCCTTAGCACTGGGTCCTTATCCATGGCTAAAGGTGGTTCACTGTGTGCTTGGTAAAGACAGTGGTGGAGGTCAGAATGACAAGGAAGGCGAAGCGTCAGGAAAACCATTCTAAGTAGTCTCTTAATCACCATCTTCCTCACCTGCCTTCAGGGTCCAGATAAGGAGCAGACACACCAGAGCTTCTGGTGCTCATATATCTGGAGGAGAGTTGAAAAGGGGAAAGCATGTCCTCTAGACATGGATCTGGGTTTTAATTTTGGCAGAACCATTTATGAATTTTATAATGTGAGCCATTCTTAGATTATTTTCCTCATCTGCACAATGTGGATAAGTTACCCTATCTCACAAGATTAAATTAAATCACACAAAGAACTGTGCATGTTCACACATTGAAGAGTTGGTTCTCCACACCCAGCATGTTTTCAAATGCTCCTGTGCTATTCATGGCTAATGCAGAAAGATGTATATGAATCAGAGACTGCTGCAAACATAGAGTGCTAAAATTAGACAGAGAGTAATGAGACCAAATCCACTTCCAGAGTGAACTGGTAGAAGCCCCGACATGCTCAGAATGGCTTCTGTGGAAGATGATTGGAATGGCAGAAGCTACAGTGGAGGGGACTATTTAGCCTCCAGAAATAACAATTACCAATTGTATGCTGCTTAAAATGGTCAAGCACACTCTGCAAACTTTCTGCAAATCGTTGTAAGGATTGTTAACCAGAAGTAGACATCCCAGAGCCATGAATTAAGTTCTAGTTGAGGGTGAATGAGCAGATTCCAGAAAAAAAAAGGACCAGATGAGGATAAGTTTCATCTTTTTTGTCACTGTGGTTATTACTAATCCCATAAGAAGTCGGGGCTAGAACAAGAATGTCACGGTGGAGCATGTGTAGTGGTCTGGAGCTCTGCCTAAGTTAACTGGTAAGCAAAGCACATAGAGTTCTATTTGATTTCAGTCAAGAGTGAAAATCCTTTTACCCTTTTTATAAAGATGTACTTTAGAGAACCTTCCAGTCTAGTGCTGTTATTCATAGATATATTCTGAATGGCTGGATCATTCCAGACACTTAGAGTCACGATCTTAATACCAGAAAGCAAAAGCAAAGAAAATAGCCTTTTCTTTCACAATGTTCTATTAAAGAGGCTTACTTCTATTTATTATTATTATACCTTAATATTGAAATGAGTGTGATTTATCAAGACTGTGTTGGTTTGCATTCAGCAAGTACTTACTGCGTACTTGTTCTGTGCTATGCACAGTATGAGGTCCCAGAGATGGGAAAGTGAATGAGACTCATTACCTGACCTGAAGTTAATCTACCTGAAGGAAAGGATAAAGTAATAACAGTAACAATGTGGTACACGTCAGGCATTAAGATAGTTCACAAAATATCAATAAGAGAACATAAAGACATAGAAGACTCATCAGAGAAGCTGTCACAAATGTGATCTACATTTATAGAGCAGAAATAATTTCAGGTAGACATTTCAAAACTCTGAATTTCTGGTCTTCAGCATTGTGATGGTTAATTTTATGCATCAATTTGGAGGGTGTTTGGGATAAAATTCACAATTAAATTGGTAGACATTGAGTAAGTAGGTTGCCCTCCATAATGTGAGTGGGTCTCCTCCAATCAGTTGAAGGCATGAATAGAACTAAAGACTGATCCCTTGAACCAGAGGGAATCTTCAGCAGATGGCCTTGGGACTTCATCTGCACAAGCAGCTCCCCTGGGTCTCCAGCCTGCCAACCACACTGCGGATTTGGACTTGCCAGCCTCTGTAATCACATAAGCCAATTCTTTATAATAAATCTCTCTGACTCCTGACTCTGTGTGTGTGTGTGTGTGTGTGTGTGTGTGTGTGTACACATACACATCTTATTGATTCTGTTTGTCTGGCACAAGTGTCTACCTTTCATTTAGGTAGTGTGGAGAGGAATAACTGTCATGTACAGCATAGACAGGTGGAGTGGGACTTCAAAAGGCTGAAGCCATTACACAGAGGATTTCAACTCACAAAAGTGAAGGTTGAAGCCAAGATTGCCCATAACCTCAGTGCTCTGTCAAAGGCTTTTGTTCAACTAGGGATAATTGGAGCTTTTATCTCCTTAGGTAATTTTCCAAGCAATATTGATTGCCCATTTAGTTGGAAGTGGATGATTCCCCTACTAATCAATTTTTAAAATGTTCATTTCTAGGGCAAATTGTGTATATGACACATGTGGAGAAGAATCTTCAAAACAGGTTGGATAAAAAACGAAGTTACAAAATAGTGCACACAGTATGGTTTCTTTAGACAAAGCCCCAAACCTCCTAAAACCAAACTATAGACTGCTTAGAGATGCATATATTTCCTGTGGGGGAAAGAGAGCAAAGAAAATGGGGATAATTAAGATAAAATGTATGATAGTGTTTCTCTCTGTAGGGGAGAGAGGGAGAGCAGGCAGGAGGCTGCAGCAGTAAAGTAATTTTCTCTTGGTTTCTGAGTCTTATTTTAGCATAGTTCCCTGAAGGGTGTGTGTGTGTGTGTGTGTGTGTGTGTGTGTGTGTTCCCATCTAAATTTTATGCATGTAAACAAAAAGGAAAAAGGATACATAAGTAATGTACTTCGTGATTTCTTGCTCTGAAACAATTTAAACTCTGATACAGGAATCTAGAAAGAAAATAATAATAAATAGGTATTCTTGTTCTCCCAATTCATTCAAACAGTGGCTGCCTGCATGCATTAGTATAATGTTTAATTTGTTAAAGGCAATCTCCAGCCTCTGTCTGAAAATATAAATTACTAAGATTCAGTACTTTGCCAACATATCATGAATAAATGGTGAGCAATAAGTAGAAAGCAGTTGAATAAAAAGGCACATTTTAAAATGCAGTCCATTCTAAAGCAACACAACTGAAAAGACTGTTCTTTAATAGCACATTTCAAATTATTAAATTTGGAATGGTCTTTTAAAACCAGAAACATCGCAGAATTTGATAGAGAAAAGATCGAGGGCTTAAGCTTCAATGCCATCTTGCTGAGCACATTTGCCTTCACTGTCAAATGCAGAGGGCCCTGCTCTAAAGAGGCAGCTCCAGAGTGGGTAAGCACAGGCTGAGCCCTGCTCAGCCACACGCCACCTGTAACCTTATCTAGATGTGACCTATGGCACCTTACCCCATTTCATTTCTTTTCTTTCTTTCTTTTTTTTTTAATTTTATTTTTATTTCTTATTTTTTATTTGAGACGGAAGCTGGCTCTGTTGCCCAGGCTTGAGTGCAGTGGCGCGATCTCGGCTCACTGCAACCTCTGCCTTCCAGGTTCAAGAAATTCTCCTTCCTCAGCCTCCCGAGTAGAATAACTGGGACTACAGGCACATGGCCACCATGCCCAGCTAATTTTTGTATTTGTGGTAGAGACATGGTTTTACAATGTTGGCCATGCTGGTCTTGAACACCTGACCTCAACTGATCCACCCGCTTCTGCCTCCCAAAGTGCCAGGATTACAGGCATGAGCCACTGCACCCAGCCCTTACTTCATTTCTTTTAGCCTGGAGTTCCTCATCAGTAAATTGAGATGGTAATAAATGCCTTGTTATGCAGGCTTTTAAAAGGATTAGATGTGAAAATACACATAATAGAAGATTAAAAATCCATACAAATATTAATTGTTACTGTTATAAAGTATGCTTTAAGGCCAAACAACTATTGTGTTGAAACTACAAAAGGATTATAGTAGAAAGTACCATAGTAAATGTGTTAGTCTGGGTTAATACATAGTAAATGTGTTAGTCTGGGTTCTCCAAAGAAACAGAACCAAGGGTGTATGTATCTGTGAATTCTCTGTATCTGTGAGCTGTGCATCTGTGGATTCTGCCAACTGCAAATAGAAAATATTTGGAAGGAAAAAAACAGATAGTTGTGTCTGCACTGGACATGTATAGCCTTTTTGTCTTGTCATTATTTATTAAAACTATAGTATAACAATTATTTATATAGCATTTGCATTGTATTAGGTATTATAAGTAATCTAGAAATGATTTAAAGCATATGGGAGGATACGCACAGGTTATATGCAAATATGACACCATTTTATATAACGGACTTGAGCATGTGTGGATTTTAATATCCATGGGGGTTTTGGAATCAACACCCTGCAGATACCAAAGGACATGTGTGTGTGTTTGTGTGTGTGTCGGGGGGTGGGGGGGTGGGTGTGTGTGTGTGAAGAGAAAGAGAGAAGGAAAGAGAGAGAGAGAGAGAGAGACATGTAGAAACAGACAGAGAAATTGATTTACTATAAGAAATCAGCTGGTATAGTTATAGAGGTGGAGAAGTCCAACATCTGTAGTCAGCAAACTGGAGACCCAGGAAAACCAGTGGTGTAGTTTTCATCTGAGTCCAAAGACCTGAGGACCAAGAGAGCTGATGGAGTTCTATCCAGTCCAAGTCTGCAGGCAGGAGACCAGTGACCTAGCTTGAAGACAGTTAGGTGGACAGAAGGAATTCTCTCTTAGTGTTTTATTCTACTCAGACCTTCAATGGACAGAATGAGACCTATCCACATTAGGGAAGGCTATCTGCTTTACTCAGTCTACTGATTCAAATATTAATCTCATCCAGAAACACCCTAACAGAAGCACTCAGAAAGAATATTTCCAAATATCTGGGATCCCGTGGCCCCATCAAGCTGACATCTTAAATGAACCATCATAGTAGATTAGTGCTCTGAGACATAGAGACTAGCTGGGGTGTCTTGAAGGTGACATATCTGGAGCCATAGCAAAGCTTTGCTCTATGTTGACCTTCAGTGGACGTCCTGAGTGTCTCCTTTCCTCAGGCCACTTGCTCTCCTTTCCCTGTGTGTGTGGCTAATACTCAACCCTTTTAACTACCAGGTTCCAGCCTGGACTTTGCCATGTGTTGGCCACAAAACCTTACATAAGTCCCTGAGTTTCAGTTTTCTCTTCTGACAGAGATTTTTTCTGCAAAACATCATTCTGAGAGCCAGGGATACTTGTATAATAGAAAGTATTTTGAAAACGATAAAAAACAAAAGTAATAATAATATGGTGGCTGATAAAAGTAACTACAATCATATCATGTTAAATAAATCAAAGCTCAATTAGAAATAGCATGTAAGTTTAATACATACTTTAAGATTTTGCAATTAACTGGCATTCTCATGATTGGTGACCCTATAATTAAACACATAAGTTTACCATGGGAAATTACAGCTATACACACAGCACAACAGACTTGACATTGAGTTAACCAACCTTTCAATGGAGTAAATAACCATTTTATTTCATGCTACTAATTGTCTTGTTGTACCTTGAATTATTCCAAATAGCAAGGAGATAATTTTGCTTAAGAACTTTATTAGGTCTAGAAGAATTCATTTCAGCCTCCTGAATAAGATTCCAGATCCTAAATCGATTAATTAAATATTTACAGCAGGGATGGCAAGGACAACAGCACGTCAGTCCACACAGTGACTATTGCACCATCCCAGCATGCACAGACTGAACACAGCTCCAAGGACGCTTGGGGATAATGTAGTCCTAAGGTTTCAAAGAATTCTTTCCTTCTTCAAATCAGAAGCTTCTCTGATTTAAGATGAGCTGTCATGGCTAGCGTTCCTTCCTTACTCTTTATAGATAGCCAGCCTTTCCAGTGTCCCCTAAGTCACCTTGAAGACACGTGTGCCTCCAGAATCTTAGTGTGAAGCCTCTGTGTGAATCTAGTCAAAAATCCTGAGGAGGTCGGCATGCAAGAGTAGAAGGATGGAAGCATGAATGAATAAACAGATGAAAGGTTGGAAGGATGGAAGATGGAGGGAAGGATATGTGGAAAGGGAATGTGAAGAAGGGAGGATTGAAGGATAAATGGATGAACAGATAGAAGAATGAAAGGATGGTAGATTGGGAAGACTGGACGAAGGAAGGATAGAAGGATGAAATGAGTGAAGAAATGAAGGATGAGAGAATGGGAAAATGGAAGGACAGAAAGATGACTGAGAGATAAATCTGGGATTTACTAGGCCATGGCTATGCCACCTGTGATAGCTGCTGCAGGCATGGTATTGACTTGTCAGTAAGGACCAACTATTTATTGGGCAATTGAGCTAAGCACCTTATTTTTACTATCCAAAGGAATCTTCTGAAATAGTTATGCTTATTTTCCCTAATCCTAAAGAAGCAAAGCTTTGGGTTACTAAGCCAGAGATCTGGAATGCGTATCTTTGTCTATCTAACCACAAAGCATGTGCTCTTGACACACTCATAGAGCCCATCAGTTACAAAACAGTCATAATTTCTATTTAAAGACAGAACATTTGCCTCTCATTTCTGAGAACTATTATTCCTGTCTTGCAAAGGAAGGTTTAGTTTGCTTCGCACATTTGCCTCGCAGAACCTTTGTTCAAACAACATCTACACTAAAGCTCTTACTAGGGCTACTGCCAAAGGCTTTTTCACTTGAGGTCCAGTAGTTTATAATTACTGCTTATTTATTACAAGCCAGACACTGTACTTTACATGCATAGCACTAATTTGACTTTCACACCACACCAATTAGGTAGGTGTAATTGTCATCTCCATTTTTCAGACGAGCAAACTGAGGCTCATGGGGTTTGTGTCCAAGGCTCATACAGCTAGTAAATAACACATCTAGGATTCAAACACAGATCTTGTCTTTCCCTAGAGCCCATACCCTTAGCCCCTGTGTCTAGAGAGATAATAAAGTAGTAGGAGAAAAGTCACTGGTGTGGACTTTAGATAAAGGCCTCCCCCTACCACACCACCAAGATCCTTTCAGTTTGTCTCCAGTGCTGGAGACTCCATGTGCTGTCACATGGCGATACTTTATCCCAATGGTGATTCTGTGGTGGATTGCCAACTTTACTAATGTGGGCCAACAGGATCATCCAGTGCACTGTCTTTCCCCTCAGTCAAGGCCATCTTTGTTTCCAGTAAGAATGCCATTTAGATATCCCTACAAGAGATAAACGTGGGTCCCAGAGAGTGGGATACTTGAACATTTTTCCTCTCACTGCCTGATGATATATTCACACTGCTAAGCTGTAGTGCCTTATGATTTGTTTGTTGAATGCCATTTCCAAGGTCCTGATGAGCTCTAGTTTCCCTGGCAAACCAAGTTTCTAGACTGTGGTGACCTCTTGCAAGGCTTGCCCTCCTTCTGCTGTGTTCTGCTTTTTCTAAGCTAATGTCAGCAAGACAATGGGTCACTACACTTGAAATACTTTATCTCTCTTTATGTTCAGAATCAAAGACAGAAACCACAGTCAGACAGGAATAAAAATGCCAGTGCTGTCAATGATAATTACGATCTGGAAAATGAGATTTAGTATCAGGCCAAAGCAAATGCTTCCTTTTTCTTCCCTAAAGTGGGTCATGGGACCAGTATTTAAGGCTAGTGAGACACTACTAGGATATGAACAGCAGATAATCATCCAACCAGCTTCCCTGAGGACCATGACTGACTTAGTTTTTATCCAACAGACTAGAGGAAACCAGAGAAGTGTTTTCCGGAGGCATGCTTCCTGTAGTGAGGCATATTGGAGAGAAAGTAAGTGGGAGAGGAGATCACACATATGAAGGGACTTTTACTCCAGCCCCCTCCAATGTATAACCACCCCTTCTCCCTTGTGGAGGAAAAGTGAGGGGCTAGAAGAAATGACAGACCCTTCCTTCTAAACACTTTCCTGAGAAGGTAAAAATGGTGGCGAAAGTCCACCAGAACTTCCCAATAATGTAGAAATGTTTGATAAAAATCCTAAACTAAGGACCAACACAGAAACATGAAGAGAGGGAAAGATGTTACCTCCATGGGCACTGACATTCCACTGGACACCTTCTTGTAAATATTGTCTCTTAAATAGCCAGTTGTGGTCTTTCCTTTAAGCCCAGTGCCAGAGAACTCTGAGCTACAAGACTGGCTGTGGACAATAAGATATGTCATGCCTTTAGCCTCATTTTGTCCTGCTAATTTGATAAAGATATTGCTCCAAACATAGGCATATCTTCCCCATGTCTCTCTGCATAGGGTGCATATTAAATAAAGTTTACCAGAATTTCCAAATCTAACATTTTCTATTCTGCCTGTTCCTGCAGTTTCTGTCAGACTGTTGTAGTGACATTGGGTGATGAAACACCAGAGCTGAAGGATGAAGCAAATACCATTTTAATTTGCATTTTTGGAAGATCATATACAACACATCTAGATTTTGTGCATCACCCATAATCTGAATGTGCCAATAGTTTATTACCTGCACAGCTGCACTGAAAAATCTATATGGGAAATAGAAAATGTGTTTTTCTGCTCTGGTAGTAAGAAAATCAATCTGTGGCCGCCTGACAGATTCTGATCTTGCAATGTAGGTGTCTTTAATCAGAGAAGTCTCATGAAGGTAGATCGGAGTGCAATGGATTAATAAAGAAGAAACTTGGGAAACAGAACAGTTGCAAGAAAATAGCTGCCTTCTAGCACCCCTGACAGCTATAATAGACTCAACCTCGAGAGTCCTGGGCTAAAACCCTCACTCAGCCACTTACTCAGAGTATTAACTATGAGTATGTTAACCACACAAAACTTCAGTTTTCTCATCTGTAAATACTTAGGATTGTTTTCTACCTCATATGGCTTTCTGATGATGACATGACACTTTATAAATTATTCAACAAGATCACAAATGAAAGGTTGTGAATACATAGTAATTGGTACAAAATAGCTAGTAAGTCCCTTCTGCACATCAAGGCTTCTTAAGAAATGATTTCTTCCAAAGCAAGCTCCTTCTCTTTGCTTAAGAACTCATTTTCTCATTTATGGTAACCTAAGAACCTTGGAGCCAGTCACCTGCTTTAAAGATATTTAACCTTTTTCTCCTCTCTACAGGATCTAGCTCTCCCTAAGCTGCATAGTGGTTAAACCATAAACCTGGGGAGACAGTGAAAATATCAATTTTTACATTTCCTTTCAAGGACTAGAGAAGCACTTCATGGTGGTGATAGAAACATGAAGTCATGGTGTAGTGGAGAAAACCAGGAATCAGCATCAGAGAAGCTGGCTGGAAGTGCATCCCTGTCCACCCAAAACATATGCCTAGACATATTCACCTGTCTGTTTGACTCTTCTGATACCCTTTGAGCTTGACAGCATAGTACATAGTTCAAGTTATTTCCAAAAATAAGAAAGATGTACTATAATTGATCATCTTTTATATATTGCATAATGCTATTCAAATACTTATAATCATAATCTTTCTGAATCAAATTTAACCCAGAAGATAATGTTTATTCTTTGACAAGGGACGTATCTAACTGTTCCCTTCCCGATAACGTGTAGGAAACATACATATATAAAGACGAAATTAACATATCCATGATTCCTGAAACTTCCTTATTACTTGGATCTTTGCTAAGAGGAAAGGAAAACAGAAGATAGAAAAGAATTTGTTTCACATTAAAGACAAAACTTTCTCAGGCAGCTGTAGAACTGACAGGGAAGGACTCTATTTAATCTTTATGTTACCTCTGATGAAATACAGCAATAGTCTATAAAAATGAATTACAGAAATGCAAATGAGAGTTCTATCTGCCTTCAGGAACCAGACATGAAGCTAAAATTAGTGGAGGAGGCAGATATAAATGTGACCAAAACATTGTTTGACAATTCATGGCAAATGCCAGGGGCACATGCTCATCTAAAGGGGGCCCCTGTGGATGTGAATTCCAGTCATGGGCAGAGCAGCCTTTCTGTTTCTAAGAAAAACTAAAAATGTTGATTACTAATATTTAAATGGTGGTATAAACTTAGACACATAAACAATATACTTTAATGTCAATGTAAATGTTAAAAAATGAAACATGAAGGCAAAAACCAATGTATCTGAGGGCTAAATTTATCCTCTGTCCTAGATCGTAATGAATGTATAGCATAATCAAGGACTACCTACTTGAAGTCCCACTATTACGCTAATAAGAGAAGTAGAATTAATATATACCAAACAAGAGTTGGCTAATGCAACTCCATGTGCTTCCATGTATATATCTATGCTTTAGATAATCATTTAACTAATAGCAATCTCACAGCTTGTTTGGGTTTTCCCAGATAGGTACTTTTTTTGACTTTGAAAAAATATATATGAATGCTCAACCTCTTTGGGTTGCAAGAAAAGAAGACCTTATTATCCTCCCTTGGAATTAGGAATTATATGCCCTGTTTGAGCAGCCCAAGTACACAGGATAAACCAATGTCTAAATTGTGTGAATCAGTTACTTCCCCTCCATAGATTTTTAAAGATATAAAATGAAAAGGTATGTTTCCCACCGTGCTCTAAATTAGGTCTGGATTGTCCTCCTTCCACTGGAGGTCCACAGATGAAAGCACCATGAATCCTCCCTTTCTGCACAAAGATACTTTCATGGTATTTTCCACCTCATGTAGGTGTGGCAGGTACAATAATTTAGACCTGTGCTCTCCCATTTGGCAGCAATATAAATTAGGGAAAAACATAAAATTATATTTGCAAAAGTTTAAAAATAATACTTTCTGTAAATAGATGGTACAGCAAAAGACTACAACAAAAACTTTCCAGTTCCTCAACAACCATGCTTAATTGACCTCTGCCACCCAGATGTTTCAAGAGTAAAATCTAATAGTATCCATTATAGAGTCCAAAATTAACCAGTTTCTCACTTTGTTGCCCTTCTAAAGGTGAGATTCACTTCAGGCATTCCCACAAGATTTTAGTTTCTGACAGATATTTCAGAGTCTTCTAGTCTGCTGAGACTCAATTCTATATCAATACAGACATACCCATGGTATTGAACAAGGAGGCACTAAAGGCTCCAATCAATGCCAAATATTATTAGAAAAGTCCAATAAATAGTGCACATATTATAAATATATAAAAATTAATACCCCCATGATGAGCCCCTTCTGGCTGCATAGAATATATAAGATCTCCTTCACTATAGCAACTAACATTTAAAATTCTTCAGGATATACTGTGAGAAGGATGCATAACCTACAAAACAAGACTATAAAAGTTTGCAAGTGGAGATAAAAGTGACTTGGATATCTGAAGAAACGGCATTTTCTTGAATGAGGTGATCAAACACCAATGTTTCAAAGCCAACCTATATATCTTCATGAAATATTAGTAAAAAATCCAAAGGAAAATACTTTTATAACCTAGCAAATTGTTTCTGGAAGTCATGTGGAGGAGTGAAAGTGATCTAATGAAAGATTATTATTAACATTTAAAACAAACAGCATAACTAATTCAATTATATATTGAGGCATATATACAGTCAGTAAACTATGTTATAATATTGTGACATTATTAAAATGGCAAAATTTTAATAATCCAATGGCAAAATTTTGAGAAATCAACAAATATTTGGCTGTGATTATTTACAGGCAGTGATTTAAAGTCAAAATTCACAGATGAAAGCAGTCCTGGCCCTTGAATATGTTCTAAGCAATTATTGCTTCATGTGGATTCCCCTGTAATTAGCTATGGTGATAGTGATGTCCCAAACACTGAACTGAGTTAAATCGTTCCATTGTGACAGCATTTAGAATATTAGTGCAATATGTTTAACTCCTGTCTCTGGTATTGCGTGCTGAAGTGTTTACAATTTTACTCCATCTGTTCTGTCTTAGGCTCTTTCCCACGATGCTAGTTGCTGAGTGTTACCTTCCTTCATACATAGTAAGTCTTACTAGGGACATACTAAGTGCTCAGTGTCATGGATTCTATGGCATCTTCCCCTTCTCATTTCTGATTCTCTCCCATTCCTGTGTGATGCATTCTTGCTACACTGTCTCTTCAGTGTCTGGGCATCTTGATCCTCTCCTAGTGATTCACTAACAAGTCTAGGATCACTCTAACAGTGTAGACTTGTTAATTCTGTAAGCATTTATTAAGATAAAACTTATAATTTGAAACACAGGCAATTAATTCCTACATTAAATTAATATGTTGAAAAATACAGATTGTAGAAACTCTGTTTATTTAAAAACTGGATAAATAATTGCCTAATAATACATTATATAATTAATAAGTGTTTCTTTTCAAAAACGTTTACAAATTAATAGAGTGTGATGTTTATGTGTTCACAATATGCATATATGATCACTGGTTGAATTAATCTTATGGGTATAGCACATCCAGCTGATTGTTAGGAAAACTTGCCTAAGCCTAACCAATTGCCTAAAAGATATAAAGAAATAATTAAAAGTCTGATAATTGCCTACTATGAAAATACTTGCAAGATGGCCAACTAGACGTAGCCAGGAAGAACATCTCACACTAAGGGACCGGGACATCTGAAAGACTGGCGCACTCCTAGCAGATATTCAGAAGGAAGGAATTGACAACAGATAGAGGGAAGACACAGAACACAGGCTGAAGGTGAAGGAAGTTGGGAACCCTGAATGGGACAACTGCGCACCAGGACTCATTCCTGGCCCCCCAGGACTCCTGCAGTGGAGGTGAGTTGAACAGGCAAGGAGCAACTCGCTCTCACCATAGGCCTCGGTAATTCTGGCAGGAGGAAACTCCCAACCACCACAGACACTTGAAAGCTGATTAGAGAAGTGGTAGGGGCATACCTCCAGCAGGTGCAGAGCCCAGAGGGTTTGGTGTAGGCCAGTTACCTCCTGGGGGCCCACATCATAGCTCCTATGCTAGAGGACCACCTGATGGCAGAGTGCTCCAGCAGAGCAGCCCTTATGGACATTCAACAGCCCACTCACACCCTCCCTAGCACTACAGCCTCCCCCATGCTGCTTCGCCTGCAGGCAGTTGACCACAGCCACCCCCAACGTTGCTCTGCAGGAGCATGTGTACACCGGCAGACCTAACCTTTCCTTCCACAGCAGTACACGTGTGCATGTGCACCCTGCAGTGCCACTGCTGCAGGTGTGAGTGCACCCTAAACCCTCACCCCCAAGCGGCACCGCCAGTGATGTGGTAGTGTTGATGGGCATGGAGCCTGCCAGACCTGCCCCCACCAGCACCACATCCCTGCACTGACACTGCTGCCAGCCACAAACTAGACAGCGGAAAAAGGCAGACCACCCCAGCCCTTAGCAGCCACGACCACCAGCCTGAACACTCAAAGACATACAGTCCTGAGTCCACCAGTCCCCCTGCCCCCATGCTAATACCACCACCAGCATGAACACACAGTCACCGGTGAGGGCTGCCATCCACCCAAGTCATACCACCACCACTGCTGCTGTGAACGCCTGCACAGAAACTGGCACCCCAGCACCCACTAGCACCCTGCCCAGCTGACAAGTGTGCACCCTGTCTCATTGCCACTGCTGCTGCTGGCACATGCCAACAAGGACAGGTTCCACTGCCACCACCCTATGAAGTACTTTGGCTGGCCCCGCCCTTCGAAGTGTTATGACCAGTAGTCCAAGAGCAACTGCCCCTCCAGTGCAGCAGGCTTCTAATCTCTAGAGGCCAGAGATAAAAGCCAGGGCAATAACAGTACCCCAGAGTTAGAGCATGCAGTTCAGGAGTTCTGGGCTGATCCAAGGCCCCCTAAAATCTTCCATTCACAATGCCAGTCAACTGAACCCACCTTATACCACAACCAAACCCCCAAAGTCATCAAATAAAATAAAAGGGAAAAATACCCATCCAAAGGAGAGTAACTTCAAAGACTGAAGGAACATGAGACCACAAAGATGAGAAAGGACAAGTACAAGAACTCTGAAAATTCAAAAGGCCAGAGCATGTTCTTTCTTCCAAATGACTGCACTAGTTCTTCAACAATGGTTCTCAACAGTGTTGAGATGGCTGAAATGACAGAAATAGAATTCAGAACATGAATAGGCACAAAGATCATCCAGAGTCAGGAGAACAGAGAAACCAAATTGGAGGAAGCTAAGAATCACAGTAAAATGATACAGTAGCTGACAGACAAAATAGCCAGTATAGAACAGAATATAGCTGACCTGATAGAGCAGAGAAACACTCTGCAAGAATTTCATAATGCAGTTTCAACTATTAAGAGTAGAATAGACCAAGCTGAGAAAAGAATCTCAGAGCCTGAAGACTGGCTTTCTGAAATAAGACAGTCAGACAAGAATAAAAAAAAAAAAATGAAACAAAATGAACAAAACCTACAAGAAATATGGGATTATGTAAAGAGACTGAATCTGTGATTCACTGGTGTCCCTGAAAGAGATGGGGAGAATGGAAGCAACCTGGAAAACATATTTTAGGATATCATCCATGATAGCTTCCCCAACCTAGTTAGGGAAGCTAACGTTCAAATTCAGGAAATGCAGAGAACTTCTGCAAAATAAAGGGATGGAGAAAAATCTACCAAGAAAATGGAAAACATAAAAAAGCAGAGGGTACAATCCTAATTGCAGACAAAAGAAATTTTAAACCAACAAAGATCAAAAAAGACAAAGAAGGGCATTTAATAATGGTAAAGGGTGCAGTTTAACAATAAGACCTAACTATCCAAAATACATATGCACCCAACAAGTTCTTAGAGACTTTCAAAGACAATGGCATATTGGATAAAGAAAATCTGGATATACACCATGAAATACTATGTATGGAATGAAACAGAACAAGATCATGTTCTTTGCGAGAACATGGATGGAGCTGGAGGCCATTATCCTTAGCAAATTAATGCGGGAACAGAAAACCAAATTCCATGTCTTCTCACATATAAATGGGAGCTAAATGATGAGAACACAAGGACACAAAAGGAAACAACAGATACTGGGGCTTACCAGAGGGTGAGAGGAGGGAGAGAAGCAGTAAAAATGACTATTGGGTGTTACGCTTAGTACCTGGGTGACAAAATAATCTACACATCAAACCCCGTGACATGATTTTAACTATATAACAAATGTGCACATGCACCCCTGAACTTAAAACAAAAGTTTCTTTTTTTGTTTTTTAATCTGACATTAGGAAAACTGGTTTAAAGAGCACATAATAAATATGACTATATAAAGAAACAAAGACAATGTAATGGCATTCAAAGGATAAAAATTGATACTTTATACATCAAACACTACATGTTTCAAAATATTAATGCAGAAAGTTTACACAATTTAAAGTCAGCCAAATAGTTTGTGACCCAAAATTATATGTACAATATGATTTCCCAAACAGAGAAGAAAATACAAACACATGAAGCAAAAGATTCTACCATTTAAATATTTAAAAACTTTGGTTAAATAAAAAATCAAACTTAATTTTAAAAAATAAACACAATATTTAAATATAACAGTTATTTTCCACATTATATAAAGAGATCATATAAATTAATAAAGTCAATCATAATTTTCAGTAATAAGCAGACAAGCTAAATTGATAAAAGACCAAAGACTAAGATACTTACAAATTATTCTTGCAATTTTTAATTTTAAAAGGTATTTGAATGCATTCAGACCTCTTGATCTCCACTATTACTGCTTAATTCCAGGATATTTTTTTCTTTTAAGCTCCTTGGGGGTTGGAATTTTGCTGATTTTAATCAGTGCTGTATCACGTATGTTTGGAAGGATGCTATTCACAGAACTCTTTTTCCATGTTTGTTGGATTAAAATAAACAAATGAACTTTAGAAACATATCATCAAGTGGGATGTACTTTACACATTAAACACTATTAATGCAAAAAGTTTACACAATTTAAAGTCAACAAAATATGACTCAAAATAGTATGTCTCACTGAATGCACGTTCTTACTCATATGATCCATTTCCATCTTCTAAAAAGCAATCTTTCTGAAAAATTACAACAAGAAAATCTATGAGAAAAAAAAATGCTGTGACACCAGAAGACAATCAGCTAGGCAGACTACTGTCATTGCACAAGGGTAATGATACAGTAGTCTTGGAATAGTCTCAGTTTCTGCAAGAACTCAGAAACTATACTAGCTGTGCACTGTTCTTAGGAGAAGGTTTTCAAGGAAACACTCTATCTTCCTGCTATACAAAGTGATCGGCAAATGAGACAATCTGCTCATCTGTACCATCTTGGAGCTTGTTAAAAATGTGTAATCTCAGGCCCACCCAGACCTAATGAGTCATCATCTGCCTTTTTACAAAATCCCAGTGAGTTGTGTGCATACTAAGTTTGGGAAGTTTTTCATTATGTGACCAGGATACTATTCAAAGACAGGAGAAACGTATTATTTCAAAGATAGTAAGTAATGAATTGTGAAATAAATTAAAAACATTCTATTTCCCTGATTGGTGAATAAAGTAACTATTACAATATAAAAATGTAATAGTAAACACCTTATTCAAAAATTCCGTATTAGTAAAAATTTAATACAACTAAATAATACTTTTAGAGAGAAAGAGGACAGTGAGAACAAAAGTAATAAATTTTCGCATTCCTTTGGAAAATATTGTGCTGTCTATTTTCATTTCTAATGTAGTTAAAGACAAAGTATCAAGTATGTTTTGAAACCATCAGAGTGTAAATATTAAAATTATAATTTTCAAACCAATGGGAGAAGACATGAGAATTTAAGATAGCATAAAAAGGAAATAAAAACAGCAAGGAAGAACACAATGCAATTTGCAAGAATAAGAAAGAGTGCATCACCACCTGTTTTGTCCTGTTTTCAAGAGATATGTTTTCTAAAGCCAAATGGCACAAAATGATTAAAAATTAAAGGATGGCCAAATATATTAAAATATAAAGCAAAATTGAAAATAAAGGAACTTTTTATTAGATAATATAAAATTAAAGGCAGCAAGTATTAACAAAACAAAAGAATATGAGCATTATTTATTTATTAGTAATTGGTCCAATCCAGCAAACTCTGACTTCTTCACCCTTACAGGCCAGAATCTCAATTGGAGTTACATCCAGCTCTCTATCTATTCCACACATGGAGGAACACACAGCCACAGGGTCTGATGTCATTTGGATTTTATGACCATAAGCCTTCAACAACTACTTCAAGCTGCCTGGAAATCATACAACATATTCCTGGTCACTTCCTCCTTTTACTCTCTGAGACAACTCTTCCATAACTCATTCTTCTCTTCCAGTCCTTGATACTCCCTGGTACCTACTCACTCTCAGCCCATGACCTTGCTTTTCATTTCACCAAGAAAATAGAAGCAATCAAAAGAAAACCTTCACAACCTCCACCCCACACTTGTCCATTCAGTCTTCCTTCACTCCTGCTATGGGGGAGAGAGCTCAAATTTAACAGTTAGTGATTTTATCTCAGGACCAAAAATGCAGATTGTCTCTCTTGGGGGTTGATTGTGCAGATATTAAATAGACATTTAAAATATATTATGAATAACCTTATGCTAATACTTTGTAATTTTAGATAATGGACAAAACTTAAAAATCATTCAAGAAAAATCAACAACTTGAAAAATCATCTAACCATTATTTTAAAAGAATTCACTATCCAAATTCTTCCCACAAAGAAACTCCAGCACTACATAATATTATTGGAAAATAGTCCCAGACATTCAATATAGAAATATTTCCCTCGTATACCAAGATTTCCAGAAAACTTAAAGAGTGTACATTCTTCAAAAAAAGTGAGATTGCACACCCATCTCTTTAATAAATAAAGATGCACATATTCTAAACAAAATATTAGCAAACTAAATAAACACAAAAAGAAACCATATAAGAGCCAAATTGTACAGGGAAAAATATGGTAGAATTCAGTTTTCAATTCATAATAAAAATTTTAAACAACTAGAAATAGAGGAGTTTCTCCTGAAGTTGTTTTTTTTTTAAAGGAAAAGCTGAAAAAGGAATTTAGTAACTTGCCAGGCAAGGGATACAGACAAGTGAAGGACTTCATTGAGCAGCCAGAGGAGGGGACTTCGGAAGATTTCATTGGTAGATATTGCAGAGTGGAGGAGTACATGTTTTGATGGGATACCAATCAAACACTGAAAACTAATGCCCTGGAGAGGATAGAATCAGTGCCATCATTTGTATACCATTGATTTAAGGAATTTCCATCATTCATTACTCAGTAGGCTCAGTAAGTGTTTGACATACTAAAACCATTCAAAGTTCATGGTCTTTAAAGAGCTGCAGGTGGTGGTAAAAAGAAGAACTGTGATAAAAGACAACATTCAAGTTTGGTATCCTCTAAACGAGTGGAACTGTAAATAGATTTTTCTTTTACATTTCTCAGCACTTAATGGTGAAATATTGAAAGCTTTTCAGGAAATAGGAAAAATCATGGTGACTTCAACAGGGTGGCACTAATCAAAAACCTTAAGACAATGAAAAAAGGAAACCAAAAAGGAATGAGTATGCTTTTTAGTACAATGTGCAAATCTAAGCCCATGTTTTAAGAACTGGTAGATCTTCTGAGGGCTTGGTGCTTCCAGGTATTTCTCAGATGGTTTTGTGTGATTTTAGTTTCAGTCCATTTCTTCTTGTTTACCTGCTCTACCAATTGGTCTCACCTCCAGAACTGGCTCTTAAACTGGGGAACAGGGTTCATCCCTCTTATTTCTGCATTTTAGTTCAGCTGGATTTGTAGTGATCTTGGCAGCATACTGTAATCTTACTGTGGCAGAGAAGCAGGTGGTGCCTGGCCAAAGTGGGGACTGGGAGTGTGCAATGAGGCATTGAGGAGATATTAGCAATTGGTACTATTATGGTACTTACTGTGGCCATCAATTATTGTGGTTATCACTTATTATGATGATTAAATGTGGTTAAGAAGGACCCTAGGTCCAGGTAAGTGTCATTGTTCTGAAAAAGAAGCCTGTTTCAGTGTTTACTTTTCTTAGAGACAACTCCATTATGGCAGGTGTTATTTCACCTCAACTTCAAGATGGCTCCATGAGGCAAATAATTATTTTCAATAGCAAGAAAAGTAAGTGGAAGCCTGGATTTTCCGTGTCACTTGTCAGAGGCCACACCATCATTAGGTTGCAAAGAGATTATTCATGTGCTCTGATTCCAAGTCCCTGCCATCCGATGCATACATACATATATGTCCCTGAATACAGAGAACTGCCAGACTTTCACACATGCATGCACACACACACACAACACACACACACACACACACAGCCCTCAAGGCTGTGTATACCAAACATCAGTTCTCATATATTTGTTGGCATAAAGATTCTGCTGAGTTTTTGAAAACAGACCTTCATTTATGCTAATGTTGGAAACCCTGGGAAACAGGACTTGGGTGTTTGTCTTCACATCATTTTTATTAGTTTTTTCTCACAGCAGTCTTGTCAATAGGATTACAATTCTCCTCTGCACTCTGTCAACACCCTCAAGTACAAGTGCTGAATTGAGAAAATACGCCCAGTTAATCCAGCCCCCAGGCACTTTTGCCTCAATTATTTGTAGGCTTTACTAGAAACAGTGATTTGGATGCAAATGTGTGCACTGATGCCTGGAATTCTCCAATTTATAAGCAGTCCATGGCCCCTCTTATGAAACTCTTCTTATCTTACCTCTCACTGTAGTAATTTTAGTCTTTGTCTTTGATTATTTTAAGAGCTAGAAAGTATTTTCTGGACTCATAAAAACTTCCTAGTCTCTGGCACAGAGTAGATGCTCAATCAGTGTTATTTGACAGAATGAATAAGCAACAAAGACCAAATGAATTAAAATTTCAGAGAGGGATGTCTTTCTAAGAGAAACTGACATTCTCTAGCCAGGTCTTCCCTAGGGCATCTGCTGATTCTGGCACAGGTAAGGGCCACACTTGGCCAACACAGAGAGTCTCTGCTGGAGAAATGTTACCCAACAAAAATCCACTCACACAGTGATGGAGTGGGGCACTGGGAATCCAAGAGGCCACAAACACATGTCTGTAAAGAAAACTTGCTGAGTTGTGGGGCCGTACTGGAGGTGGGGAGCTGATCAGAGGCCCTAAAATGGGAAGTAAAATCTTTGTGTTTAGGAAAGAGGAAGAGACAATTTCCCCAAAACACCCAGACAATTTCTCCTTCAAGATTTTTGTCAAAATTCTCTAAGGAAATTTAAATAAAAGCATACAGAAGTGAATATAAATTTGTTTATTATAGTGCTTTTTCTGATACAAAAAACTTGAACAGTATATCGATGTGTAGCAATAAGAGATCAGTTATATATGGTATATCTATAAAATTCTCCAGCTATTCCAAATAAAGCAAAATATAGTTGAATGAAATGTTGAAGGGCAGCATGAAACTAATAATCTCATTTTCAAAAACTAAAACAAGTTATCATTTAATAGAAAATATATGCTAAATATTCAATTCTAGCAAAGGAAAAATGAGCAAACCTAAATATATTACATTCAAAACATTTGCAAGAGAAAATGTGTAAATAACAGAATTTATAAATTTAAGAGCTAGGACATTTAAAGGCATAGTAACAAATAAGATTCCATGCACTTTACAATCAAGAAGGAAAGAAAGACAGCATTATATTAGAAAATAGGAGCATGCAGTATATTTTGAAAGAAAATAGATGACATCCTATAAAATGCTATGCAAATGACTTTGAACTGGCACAGAAGAAATAAAAACTTTCATGGGGAAAAAATACTGAAAATAATTGGAAAACTTGTGTTGTGGGGTTTTTTTTTTTTTTAATCTTAAGAACAGCTTTCAAGCATTGTACACTCATTTTGATTTTATAAATACATGTTTTTTCACATTGATCATTGTTTGCAATGTAAAAAGTTTCAGACCAAAGAAAAAAGTAATTTTCTCAGTAAATGATGTTATACTAACAACAATATTATACAAAACTCTGACCCACAAAAATACCTCTGATAGGTCAATTTCACTTATGAGTATAAGTAACAGAAGACTGTAACAAACAGGAGATTAATAAAATTTCAGAGAAGGTCATCTTTCTGAGTTGCTATGGTAAAGAGAATAGTCCACCCCATCAAATTTCTACATTTTAATCCCCAGAACCTATGAACATGTTATCTTATGTAGCAAAAGGGACTTGCAGATTTGCTTTAATTAAAGGCTTCAGGATGAGGAGATCAGCCTGAATTATCAGGGTGGACACAACGTAACCACAAAGATCCTTGCAAGGCAGAGGCAGGAGAGATTTGCTGATGGAAGCAGAGGTTGGGAGATACTTGGAATGTACTTGGAAACCCCAAGGAACTAATTCTCCCCAGAGCCTCCAGAAGAAACATATAGACCCCTTTAGAAAATTGATACAGAGGCTAAAATCAGAATTTAACATTTGCAAATCATGTAGTATACATTTTAGGCCAATTCTTTAGAAGCAAACAGTAAAACAAAGATTCTTGGGCAAGTGAGTTATTCAGGAAGTGCTCCCAGGAAAAAAATGAGCAAGAGAGGAAGGAAAAAAGAAATGGAAAGATTAAAACATTCAAGAGTAAGGAAAATTTTAGGCTGAGTCCCAGGCAGGAAAGGTTAGGCTAGATCCTACAGGCAGATGCTGGAGTATAAGTGATATCTGAGAGTTTGTCCCAAGACTGGGCAAGGAGCTGGGTTTTCACACTCTTTGACAAGTTAGTCACTGGCTCTGGGTTGCTCATGTGAATATAAAATTGCAGGTACTTCTGCTTCCTTTGTGTCCACAAAGTAGCTCCAGGAGGTTCTAGTAGTCCAAGAGCAGGTCTCCAAAACAAGTCCCAGGCAAAGGATCTTTGGAAGCAAAAGCAAATAGTAATGAAGGGAGGTGTGAACAGAACTTTCAGGTGGGAGCCAGAGACCTGTGCAGAGTAAGAGCAGTGTCCACAATGCACATAGGCTTGTGTATTGGTCTGTTCTCATGCTGCTATAAAGAACTGTCCATGACTGGTTAATTTATAAAGGAGAGGGATTTAATTGACTCACAGTTCTGCATGGCTGGGGAGGCCTCAGGAAACTTACAATAATGGTGGAAGAGAAAGCAAATATATTCTTCTTCACAAGGTGGCAGGAGAGAGAAATGCCAAGCAAAGCCAGAAAAGCCCCTTATAAAACCATCAGATCTTGTGAGAATCCATTCACTATCACAAGAACAGCATGGGGGTAACTGCCTCCATGATTTAATTACCTCCCACCAGGTCCCTCCCAGGACATCTGGGGATTATGGGAACTATAATTCAAGATGAGATTTGGTGGGGGACACAGCCAAACCACATCATTCCACTCCTAGCCCCTTCTAAATCTCATGACCTCACATTTCAAAACATAATGATGCCTTTCCAACAGTCCCCCAAAGTCTTAGCTCCTTCCAGCATTAACCCAAATATCCAAGTCCAAAGTCTCATCCAAGACAAGGCAAGTCCCTTATGTCTATGATCCTGAAAAATTAAAAGCAAGTTAGTCATTATACTTGCTAGATACAACGGGGATACAGGCATTAGGTAAATACACCTTTTCCAAGAGAAGAAATTGGCCAAAAAAAAGGGACTTCAGGCCCAATGCAAGTCTGAAATCCAATAGGGCAATCATTAAATCTTAAATTTCCAAAATGACCTCCTTTGACTCCATGTCTCACATCCAGGTCATGCTGATGCAAGAGGTGGGCTCCCACAGCCTTAGGCAGCTCTGCCCCTGTGGCTTTGCAGGATACAGCCCCCATCACAGCTGCTTTCTTGGGCTGGTGTTGAGTGCCTGCAGCTTTTCCAGGTGCACAGTGCAAGCTGTCAGTGGATGTACCATTCTGGGGTCTGGAGGACGGTGGCCCTCTTCTCACAGCTCCACTGGGCAGTTCCCCAGGGGGGATGCTGTGTGGGGGCTCCAACCTCACATTTCCCTCCTGCACTGCCCTAGCAGAGGTTCTCCATGAGGGCTCCACCCCTGTAGTAAACTTCTGCCTGGACATCCAGGCTTTTCCAAACATCCTCTGAAATCTAGGTGGAGGCTCCCAAACCTCAATTCTTAACTTCTGTGCACCTGCAGACCCGAAACCATGTAAACACCCCTGAGGCTTGGGGCTTTTACCCTCTGAAGCAATGGTCTGAGGTGTATCTTGGCCCCTTTTAGCCATGGCTGGCGCTGAAACAGCTGGGACACAGGGCACCATGTCCCAAGACTGCACAGAGCAGGGGGCCCTGAGCTGAGCCCAGGAAACCATTTTTCCCTCCTTGGCCTCTGAATCAATGATGGGAGGAGCTGCCATGAAGGTCTCTGATGTACCCTGGAGACATTTTCCCCATTGTCTTGGTGATTAACATTTGGCTGCTCATTACTTATGCAAATTTATGCAGCCTGCTTCAATTTCTCCCCAGAACATGGGTTTTTCTTTCCAATAGCATTGTTAGGCTGCAAATTTTTCAAACTTTTATGTTCTGCTTCCTCTTGAATGCTTTACCACTTAGAAATTCCTTATGCCAGATATTCTAAAGCATCTCTCTCAAGTTCAGAGTTCCATAGATCTCTAGGGAAGGGGAAAAATGACACCAGTCTCTTTGCTAATGCATAGCAAGAGTCATCTTCACTCCAGTTTCCAAAAAGTTCCTTATCTCCACCTGAGACTACCTCAGCCTGGACTTCTTTGTCCATATCACTATCAGCATTTTGGTCAAAATCATTCAATAAGTCTCTACAAAGGTCCAGACTTTCCCATATTTTCCCATCTTCTTCAGCACCCTCCAAACCATTACACCTCTGCATATTACCGAGTTCCAAAGTGTATCCTTAAAGAAGCACCCCACTCTCTGTGGTACCAATTTAGTGTATTAGTCTGCTCTCACACTGCTATGAAGAAATACCTGAAACTGGGTAATTTATAAAGAAAAGAAGTTTAATTGGCTCACAGTTTTGCATGGCTTGGGAGGCCTCAGGAAACTTACAATCATGGCAGAAGGGTAAGCAAACACATCTTTCTTTACATGGCAGCAGGAGAGAAAGTGTTGAGCAAAGGAGGAAAAGATCCTTATACAACCATCAGATCTCATGAGAACTCACTATCACAAGAACAGCATGGGGATAACCGCCCCCATGATTCAATTACCTCCCATGGGGTCCCTCCCATGACATGTGGGGATCATGAGAACTAAAATTTAAGATGAGATCTGGGTGGAGACACAGCCAAACCATATCAGCATGTATTATGCTTTGATCATTTAGGGTATAATTGGAGAACTCCCCAATACTTTTAAATTAAGATATCTATTAATATGAACTAATGAATCAATAATTGGCAAAGGAAAATAAATACCATAATCATTTTATTGGTTCTGTAAAGGCATACATTCTCTCCTCTTGAAATTTCTTGGTAAAGCACATCAATTTCAAAATCCATATTCAGGTTCAATCTTTACATTTTTTTCTCCCACAGACCTTTCTGTCCACCCTGGACTGCCTGCACAAGTATTCTTGCAGACGTGCACTTTTGAGGGAGAAGCAAATAGGTACACCAAAAGAATTCTAACAAAATAATAACAGAAATTTATTTGCTATTTAGGAACATTTTTGTACTAAAATAAATGTCAGAAATTCTTTTAGGCAAACATGTAATAGCCAAATTGATTTATACTCCATAAATAGTGGCATTATATATTATTTTAAAAAACAAAATAAATATCTGCACTGTGTAAAAATAATAGCCAAGGAGTATGGGAAAGAATGTGGTATATGAAGACAGAATGCCTAGATTCAGTGTTTCTCTCTGCTGTCTCATATTTGCATGATATTAAGTTGTTTAATTTCCCTGGGCCTTAGTTTTTTTTGTTTGTTTGTTTTTTGTCTTGTTTTGTTTTATTTATTTATTTATTTTTTTGAGATGGAGTCTCACTCTGTCTCCCAGGCTGGAGTGCAGTGGCGCAATCTTGGCTCACTGCAAGCTCTGCCTGCCGGGTTCACACCATTCTCCTGCCTCAGCCTCCCAAGTAGCTGGGACTACAGGCACCCGCCACCACGCCCAGCTAATTATTTTGTATTTTTAGTAGAGACAGGGTTTCACCATGTTAGCCAGGATGGTCTCGATCTCCTGACCTCGTAATCCACCCGTCTCTGCCTCCCAAAGTGCTGGGATTACAGGCATGAGCCACCGCACCCGGCCAGGCCTTAGTTTTTTATTGGCACACTCACAAATTTATTTGTTGAATAAATGTATTATTGCATGTCCCCCATAAGCCTAGCCCCCAGATAGGCAAGAGGGCCCATAGAGATGTAAACCTCAGATGATCTCAAATCCTTCTGCTGTTCTAACACCAGTCATTTTCATAAGACATTGTTATTGAACACCTGTTTACATTTTGTCACATGGTTTACCTCCTTGACTTTTCTGTATTGACAATTGTCTAGTTCTTGGTCATAAAAGAAGTATTGAGAAGCTGAGTATAGACAGCATCATTATGATGACCATTAAAGCAACTGGATTTCAAAATAGACGTGTGTGTGTGTGTGTGTGTGTGTGTGCACGTGCGTGTGTGTCTGTGTGTGTGGTATGGTGTGTGTTTGATCAAAGGCACAAATTTGCTAAAGCAATCTTGGAAAAGGTCTCTAAAGCTTTGCCACACTATTAAATGCAAATAAAAGAAAACTAGAAAAGTGCGATTTCTTTCCTCTATCATGGATTGTTATTATTGTGATTTAAGTTATATTTAAGTTAGCAATATTTTCTTCAAAGCAGCATTGAGGAAACATGTCCCATTTTATTAGAAATATTGGAGAAAAAGTCCTCTAAAAGTAATTGCCCATTCTGTGTCATGCTGTCTCAACCTTTTCGTTTTGCTCTATTAGTAACTGGTTTTTAATTTAAGAGTTATCTTTCTGTGTGAAAACTAGAGAGAGCCAACATTATGGGGCTAGTCCCAAGGGTTTCCTTTAGTGCTCCCTTCTTGTCAACAATAGGGCTCAACTTCAAAACTAGAATCTCCTAATTGATTTAAAAACAACTACTTTTCAGTTGGACATTCTAGAGGAAAAAACAATGATTGTGTTTCTCTTTTTAAAAATTGTTTTACTACACAGACCACTTTAAACGCTGGGGAAAAAAGAAAACACTGGTTTTCATTATGAGACAAACAAGATCACTGGGGAAGTTACTTCTCTGTGCCTCAGCTCTTGTCCATAAAACAGAGACAATAACAGCAATGACCTCATAGAGTTGTTATAAGAATTAAATTAGTGTGTGTAGTGCGTAGAACAATGCCAGCTACACAATAAGTGTTACATATTTGTTAAATTAAAAAGTGATGCATATATTTGTTTTTAATTCATGTTGTGCTGCTGTAACAGAAGACCTGACACTGGGTAATTTATAATAAAACAGATTTATTTCTTATAGTTCTGAAGGTCAGGAAGTCCAATGTCAGGGAGCCCACATCTTGTGAGGGACTTCTGGCTGTGTCATCCGATGATAAAAGGGCAAAAAGAGAGCAAAACAACCAACTGGCAGTCTCAAGCTCTTTTACAATGGGCATAAATTCATTCATGAGGGTGAAGCCCTTATGATCCAAACACTTTCCACTTAGCTCCACCTCCCAACACTGTTTCACCGGGGATTCAATTTCTAACACATGATTGTTAGAAGACATACTCAAACTATGGCAATGCTATTCTTTAAAATTCTATTATTGAAAGCCTATGGCTTACTAGAGAGAAGGGAGACCCCTTTATCTTACCCCTGGAATACTTAAATGTAGGGTAAAGTCTAATATATACATTCACTTAATCATTTAAGCCAATAGCAACAATTAAGGTCCCTGCCTCAAAGAAACAGGATGATGTCACTACAGAACTTGCAATGACACAGGCAACGCCTGCACAATAAATGCTGGGAAGATCTCTACAGCCTAGGGGAAGGAGGAGTGGAGGATATGTCACAGACATTCTGGCTTCCACCTTAAAGGGGAAATAGCGTGTCAGATTAAGAAACTGAGAATGTATCTTTCAGTCAAAATCAAGAGAGGATGTGACATATGAAATACATAAAGTAAGGCAAGGGCTCTTGTTGCTTCAGCAGGAGGGAACAAAAACAGGAAAGGTTTCAAAGCCATACTGAGGAGGTTTTTCTTTATGACATGAAAACAATAAGGGCTATGTGTATTACCATCTAGTTAATGAGGGTCTTACGTTTTGTGTTCTCTGTGTTTTCTTTTTCCCAGCTGACAACACACCATGCACTTGAAATCCTTCTCCTTTTAAAAAACGAAAAGCAAGGATTCCAAATTCTAAGGCACCTAAATAGCATCTCTACTATAATTTTAAGACATATAGAATGTTGGAGCCTTCAACTTTAGAATCCACCAATTCATTTATAGATGAAAGAAGCTGTCCTAAAGAGGTTAAGAAAATTGTTCAAATTCACCCAGCAATGAGTCTCAGAGCCATGACCACAAACTTGGCCCTTAAAAATACCTGTTATAATGTATAGCTTCCCAAAATAGGGATCCCCACACCACTTTCTAGAGTCTTGCATATGGATTATTCAAATAATGAGCATCTATCTACCATCAGTTCTGTAAAGACGCTGATCTTCACTCTGTGGACTGCAGTGCTTTCTATTCTAAGGTGACAGCTCTTTGGAGAGCCCATAAATGTAGATTTATAATCCAAGGGACCACTGTTCATAAAATAAAAGCTCCTTAAGGTAATAAATTAAATGTTTTGTTCTACGCTTCCAGTTTACCACATACTCACCTCTAGTTTTGCTGACTTCATTCATCAATCATTAGAAATACTATTATCTCCTCCCAGTAACTGAATAACTCAGCAGTACATTATATTTGTTTCTTCAATTCTGATGATATAATCTGTTACCAGTAAACTTAGAATAAAATTAGAAAGTGCAATCACCATGTACTGGGCTTCTTATCATTATCTCTGAGACTATGGAATGGAAGTTGCCTTTTCTAAAAAAAGGCAATTATGTCAACTGACAGAACTAGAAAAAAATTCAACAGTGGAACTTCTGAAATATGACTTCTATATGTGGGAAAAATATGAAGATTATACAAAGCACTGGAGGTAGGCATAATTCTCAGAAGACCCCATGATTCTTGCCCCCCCAACCCCTCAATGTATATACACCCTACATAATCCTCCCCACCTTGAATGTGGGCAAGATCTTTGAATAAAAGATCATTCCTTCTATTTGGGAATGATTAGAATAAAAGTTCATTCCTTGTATTTAGGTTATGTACCATGGCAAAGGTGGAGAAATTTTTCAGATGTAGTGTAAGGTCCCAAATAAATTGATTTTTAGTTAATCAAGTGGGAAATTATCCTGAATGAATCTGACAATCAGTTGAAAAGCCCTACAAGAGACTAGGTCCGTGTTGAAGAGAAGCACTTTTGCTGGCCTTGAAGAAGACATCGTGAGTTCCATAGCTGCGAGAAAAATTAATTCTGCAAACAACCTGAGGAAGCTTAGAAGGGGCTCTTTCCTCAGTCAAACTGATGATGAGACTGCAGCCCAAACAACACTTTGACTGCAGTCTTGTTTGATGCTGAGCAGAAGATCCAGCTAAGCCATGCACAGATTCTGCTACACTAAAACTGTGAGATGAGTGTATGTTGTTTCAACCCATTAATTTTTTACGCAGCTACAGAAAAAAATGAATACAGTAGTCAAGGAGATGCATGCTTACTGAGAAAAGACATTGACCTGGTATAGAAAATGTCACTTCCAATTTGGTTTATCCTTTACACTGCAAGTTTTAAGGAAAAAAAATCAACATGCTGGTCATTTGTTTTTTTTGTTTGTTTGTTTGTTTTTTTAATTATACTTCAAGTTTTAGGGTACAAGTGCACAACGTGCAGGTTTGTTACATATGTACACATGTGCCATGTTGGTGTGCTGCACCCATTAACTCGTCATTTAACATTAGGTATATCTCCTAATGCTATCCCCCCCTCTCCCCTCACCCCACAACAGGCCCCGGTGTGTGATGTTCCCCTTCCTGTGTCCATGTGTTCTCATTGTTCAATCCCCTCCTATGAGTGAGAACATGCGGTGTTTGTTTTTTTGTCCTTGCGATAGTTTGCTGAGAATGATGGTTTCCAGCTTCATCCATGTCCCTACAAACGACGTGAACTCATCATTTTTTACGGCTGCATAGTATTCCATGGTGTATATGTGCCACATTTTCTTAATCCAGTCTATCATTGTTGGACATTTGGGTTGGTTCCAAGTCTTTGCTGTTGTGAATAGTGCCACAGTAAACATATGTGTGCATGTGCCTCTATAGCAGCATGATTTATAATACTTTGGGTATATACCCAGTAATGGGATTGCTGAGTCAAATGGTATTTCTAGTTCTAGATCCCTGAGGAATTGCCACACTGACTTCCACAATAGTTGAACTAGTTTACAGTCCCACCAACAGTGTAAAAGTGTTCCTATTTCTCCACATCCTCTCCAGCACCTGTTGTTTCCTGACTTTTTAATGATCGCCATTCTAACTGGTGTGAGATGGTATCTCATTGTGGTTTTGATTTGCATTTCTCTGATGACCAGTGATGATGAGCATTTTTTCATGTGTCTTTTGGCTGCATAAATGTCTTCCTTTGAGAAGTGTCTGTTCATATCCTTCACCCACTTGTTGATGGGGTTGTTTGTCTTTTTCTTGTAAATCTGTTTGAGTTCATTGTAGAATCTGGATATTAGCCCTTTGTCAGATGAGTAGATTGCAAAACTTTTCTCCCATTCTGTAGGTTGCCTGTTCACTCTGATGGTAGTTTCTTTTGCTGTGCAGAAGCTCTTTAGTTTAATTAGATCGATTTTGTCAATTTTCGCTTTTGTCGCCATTGCTTTTGGTGTTTTAGACATGAAGTCCTTGCCCATGCCTATGTCCTGAATGGTATTGCCTAGGTTTTCTTCTAGGCTTTTTATGGTTTTAGGTCTAACATTTAAGTCTTTAATCCATTTTGAATTAATTTTTGTATAAGATATAAGGAAGGGATTCAGTTTCAGCTTTCTACATATGGCTAGCCAGTTTTCCCAGCACCATTATTAAATAGGGAATTCTTTCCCCATTTCTTGTTTTTGTCAGGTTTGTCAAAGATCAGATGGTTGTAGATATGCGGCATTATTTCTGAGGGCTCTGTTCTGTTCCATTGATCTATATCTCTGTTTTGGTACCAGTACCATGCTGTGGTGGTTGCTGTAGCCTTGTAGTATAGTTTGAAGTCAGGTAGCGTGATGCCTCCAGCTTTGTTCTTTTGGCTTAGGATTGACTTGGCGATGTGGGCTCTTTTTTGGTTCCATATTGAACTTTAAAGTAGTTTTTTCCAGTTCTGTGAAGAAAGTCATGGGTACCTTGATGGGGATGGCATTGAATCTATAAATTACCTTGGGCAGTATGGCCATTTTCACAATATTGATTCTTCCTACCCATGAGCATGGAATATTCTTCCATTTGTTTATATCCTCTTTTATTTCATCGTGCAGTGGTTTGTAGTTCTCCTTGAAGAGATCTTTATGTCGCTTGTAAGTTGGATTTCTAGGTATTTTATTCTCTTTGAGGCAATTGTGAATGGGAGTTCACTCATGATTTGGCTCTGTGTTTGTCTGTTATTGGCGTATAAGAATGCTTGTGATTTTTGCACATTGATTTTGTATCCTGAGACTTTGCTGAAGTTGCTTATCAGCTTAAGGAGATTTTGGGCTGAGATGATGGAGTTTTCTAGATATGCAATCATGTCATCTACAAACAGGGACAATTTGACTTCCTCTTTTCCTAATTGAATACCCTTTATTTCCTTCTCCTGCCTGATTGCCCTAGCCAGAACTTCCAACACAAGGTTGGAAGGAGTGGTGAGAGAGGTCATCCCTGTCTCCTGCCAGTTTTCAAAGGGAATGCTTCCAGTTTTTGCCCACCCAGTATGATATTGGCTGTGGGTTTGTCATAGATAGCTTGTTATTTTGAGATACATCCCATCAATACCTAATTTATTGAGAGTTTTTAGCATGAAGTGCTGTTGAATTTTGTCAAAGGCCTTTTCTGCATCTATTGAGATAATCATATGGTTTTTGTCGTTGGTTCTGTTTATATGCTGGATTACATTTATTGATTTGCGTATGTTGAACAAGCCTTGCATCCCAGGGATGAAGCCCACTTGATCATGGTGGATAAGCTTTCTGATGTGCTGCTGGATTCGGTTTGCCAGTATTTTATTGAAGATTTTTGCATCGATGTTCATCAGGCCTATTGGTCTAAAATTCTCTTTTTTTGTTGTGTCTCTGCCAGGCTTCGGTATCAGGATGATGCTGGCCTCATAAAATGAGTTAGGGAGGATTCCCTCTTTTTCTATTGATTGGAATAGTTTCAGAAGGAATGGTACCAGCTCCTACTTGTACCTCTGGTAGAATTCGGCTGTGAATCCATCTGGTCCTGGACTTTTTTTGGGTGGTAGGCTATTAATTATTGCCTCAATTTCAGAGCCTGTTATTGGTCTATTCAGAGATTCAACTTCTTCCTGGTTTAGTCTTGGGAGAGTGTATGTGTCGAGGAATTTATCCATTTCTTCTAGATTTTCTAGTTTATTTGCACAGAGGTGTTTATAGTACTCTCTGATGGTAGTTTGTATTTCTGTGGGATCGGTGTATTTCTGTGATATGCCCTTTATCATTTTTTATTGCATCTATTTGATTCTTCTCTCTTTTCTTCTTTATTAGTCTTGCTAGTGGTCTATCAATTTTGTTGATCTTTTTCAAAAAACCAGCTCCTGGATTCATTAATTTTTTGAAGGGTTTTTTGTGTCTCTATTTCCTTTAGTTCTGCTCTGATCTTAGTTATTTCTTGCCTTCTGCTAGCTTTTGAATGTGTTTGCTCTTGCTTCTCTAGTTCTTTTAATTGTGATGTTAGGGTGTCAGTTTTAGATCATTCTTGCTTTCTCTTGTGGGCATTTAATGCTATAAATTTCCCTCTACACACTGCTTTGAATGTGTCCCAGAGATTCTGGTATGTTGTGTCTTTGTTCTCATTGGTTTCAAAGAACATCTTTATTTCTGCCTTCATTTCGTTATGTACCCAGTAGTCATTCAGGAGCAGGTTGTTCAGTTTCCATGTAGTTGAGTGGTTTTGAGTGAGTTTCTTAATCCTGAGTTCTAATTTGATTGCACTGTGGTCTGAGAGACAGTTTGTTATAATTTCTGTTCTTTTACATTTGCTGAGGAGTGCTTTACTTCCAACTATGTGGTCAATTTTGGAATAGGTGTGGTGTGGTGCTGAAAAGAATGTATATTCTGTTGATTTGGGGTGGAGAGTTCTGTAGATGTCTATTAGGTCCGCATTTGTTTACTTTCAGATTCACTTTGTACATTTCTATTGCTGTGCTCTGCAATTTAAGGGGTAGATGCATAAGAATTACGTTCCCCAGGTTTGTTGTCTACTGGTTTTAGGCAGGTTTGGTCAGTGGAGAGTAGGATGGTAGACTAGAAGCAGGAGGAAGAGAGAATCTCAGCTGTTCCTACTCTCTCCCTCCTCTTTGTATGGCACTCCTAGGTACATCTACTCAGTGAGTGCAAAAGTAATTGTGGTTTTTGCATTGTTGGAATTTGTCATTTGATATTGGAATACATTATTAAATAAATCTCTTTATGTTATACAACATTTTATTGGGCATTTCTCGCTGTATTATTTATTTATTTATTTATTTTTGCCAATTTCTTGTTTATTTTATGTTTATTTTAGACTATGGAAATAACGTCACACAAAAAGCGATTTCAAGTGATTTTCTTATTCTAATTCAAAATGGGTCCTAAAGCAGTGGAGACAACTCATAACATTAACAATGCTTTTGACACAGGAACTGCTAATGAACATACAGTGCCATGGTGGTTCAAGTTTTGCAAAGGAGATGAGAACCTTGAAGATGAGGAGTGTGGTGGACAGCCACCAGAACTTGACAATGACCAATTGAGAGCAATCATCGAAGCTGATCCTCTTACGACTATGCTAGAAGTTCCTGACAAACTCAACATCAACCATTCTAAGGTCATTCAGCATTTGAAGCAAATTGGAAAGGTAAAAATGTTCAATAAGTAGGTACCTCATGGGCTGAGCAAAAATCAAAAAAATTGTCGTTTTCAAGTGTCTTCTTCTCTTATGCTACACAACAACAACGAATCATTTCTCTATCAGATTGTGACAAGTGACAGAAAGTAGATTTTATATGACAACTGGTGATGACAAGCTCAGTGGTTGGACCAAGAAGAAGCTCCAAAGCACTTCCCAAATCAAAATTTACACCAAAAAAAAAAGGTCATGGCAACTGTTTGGTGGTCTGCTGCTGGTCTGATCCACTACAGCTTTCTGAATCCCAGCAAAACCATTACATCTGAGAAGTATGCTCAGGAAATTGATGAGGTGCACTGAAAACTGTAACACCTGTAGCCAGCATTGGTCAACAGAAAGGGCCCAATTCTCCACAACAACACCGACCGCATGTCGCACAACCAAGACTTCAAAAGTTGAATGAACTGGCTACAAAGTTTTGCCTCACTTGCCATATTCACCTGACCTCTCGCCAACTGACTACCACTTCTTCAAGCATCTCAACAACTTTTTGCAGGGAAAATGCTTCCACAGCCAATAGAATGCAGAAAATGCTTTCCTAGAGTTCATTGAATCCCAAAGCATGGATTTTTACACTACAGGAATAAACCAACTTACTTCTCATTGTCAAAAATGTGTTGATTGTAATGGTTCCTATTTTGATTAATAATGATGTGTTTGAGCTTAGTTATAATTATTGAAAATTCATAGTCCAAAACCACAATTGCTTTTGCACCAGCCTAATAGTTGTCCTCTGTGATTTAATCTCCTACTGGGATGTCTCTTTACTTCATCTCATCTTCCTCCAGGCAGCTTCTTCACAGCTCCAGCCCTCATCACCTATCCTTTCCACCATGCTTCTCTGTCCTACCAGGCAGTTCCAGCTCCTGTCATATAGTAACCCCATTTTTTCCCAGATGACCCTCTAGCCCTAACACAAAAATTTGTGTTATTATTTTGTAAGTTGTTAATCAGTCATTATTAATCTCTGAGATGCCTTACTTTCTCATTTTTATCTCTTTTGACAACTTCATAAGCAGTTCCTCACATTACATTTCCTCTCTTGGACTCCAGGAATAGATTTTTTGTTCTCTTAGCTTTACCTTGGCTGACAGCAGCTGGGTACCAAGAGTGAGCTCATGAAACAGACCTTTGAGATAAGATTTAAAAATTTGAAGGCTCACCAGTTTGACCTGAATTAATGATGACTTCATTGTTGTTGGAAAATGGGATGCTAAAAGTCAATACCCATGGACAACCTAACTAATGGAAGCGGTCTCTCTCTCAGTCTGGAGACAGGCTGTCTTGTGCTTAAAAACTTTGAGTAATAACGTCACCCAAGAAGGTGCCTCATAAAGAGGTTTCTATTATCCTCCAGTTAATGGAGAAAAACAAACTCTATACAATACCTTAAAGAGGTTTATTCTGAGCCATTATGAGTGACCATCACCTGGAGAAAGCACAAACCCAAGAAGCCTTGAATAAGTGATTCTGAGGCAGCTGGATTACTGGATAAGTTCAGGAAGGCAGGAGTTATAGGCAAAGACATAAATCAATACATGAAAGGTATACATTGATTTTGCCCGAAAAGGTGGAATATCTTGAAGTGGGGTCTTGCAAGTCATAGATGGATTGAGATTTGTTAATCTGAAATTGGTTAAAGGAACAAAGATTTGTCTAAAAACTTGGAGTTAACAGAAAGGAATGTTTAAGTTCAAATAAGGATGGTGTGTTAGAGTCAGCCGTAATATGACCTATTTAATAAGACTGATTGCCTGCAGGCAAGACTTAATGCTTGCCTTGCCTTGCCTTAGGTTTTGTTTATAATTTGATATTTTGTTGCCACAAAAGTCTTTTTTGTCAGTCTTGTAATATCTATTTTGACATTCATGCTGGTCAGTTGTGCCTAAACTCCAAAAGGGATGAGATAAAGGCATGTCTGACCTCTCTTCCCATCATGGCCAGTTATATGGTTTGACTGTGACCCCACCCAAATGTCATCTTGAACTGTAGCTCCCACATGTCATGGGAGGGACTCAGTGGAAGACAATTGAATCACAGGGGCAGGTTCCCCCATATTATACTCTTGGTAATGAATAAGTCTCATGAGATCTGATGGTTTTATAAGAGGAAACCCCTTTTGCTTGGCTCTCATTTTGTCTTTGCCAGCCACCATTAAGAAGTCCCTTTGCTCTTCCGTCACCTTCTTCCATGATTGTCAGGCCGCCCCAGCTGTGTGGAACTGTCAGTCAGTTAAACTTCTTTTCTTTATAAATTACCCAGTCTGGGTATGTCGTATTAGCAGCATGAAAACTGACTAATAAAGTAAATAGGTACTGATAGAGCAGGGCACTGCTATAAAGATACCTGAAA
Organism: Homo sapiens; assembly: GCF_000001405.40. NCBI lineage: Eukaryota > Metazoa > Chordata > Mammalia > Primates > Hominidae > Homo > Homo sapiens. Next base: position 48,726,291 of record NC_000007.14, on the reverse strand, counting down.
ATATGGAAGTGACTTTGGAACTGGGTAACAGGCAGAGGTTGGAACAATCTGGAGGGCTCAGAAGACAGGAAAGTATGGGAAAGTTTGGAACTTCCTACAGATTTTTTGAATGGCTGTGACCAATATGCTGATAATGATATGGGCAATGAACTCCAGGCTGAGGTGGTCTCAGTTGGAGATGAGAAACTTGTTGAGAACTAGAGTAAAAGAGACTCTTGTTATGTTTTAGCAAAGAGACTGGTAGCATTTGGCCTCTGCCCTAGAGATTTGTGGAACTTTGAACTTGAGGGAGATGATTTAGGGTATCTGATGAAATAAATTTCTAAGCAGCAAAGCATTCAAGAGGTGACTTGGGTATTGTTAAAAGTATCCAGTTTTAAAAGGGAAACAAAGCATAAAATTTCAGCAAATTTGCAGCCTGCTGATGCAATAGAAAAGAGAAACCCATTTTCTGAGGAGAATTTCAAGCCAGCTACAGAAATTTGCATAAGTAACGAGAAGCCAAATGTTAATTGCCAAGACCATTGGGAAAATGTCTCCAGGGCATGTCAGAGGTCTACATGGCAGCCCCTCCTATTATAGGCCTGGAGGCCTAGGAGAAAAAAATGGGTTTGTGGGCTGGGCCGAGGGTCCCCCTGCTCTGTGCAGCCTAGGGACTTGGTGCCCTGCATCCCAGCCACTCCAGCCATGGCTAAATGGGGTCAAAGTACAGCTCGGGCTGTTGCTTCAGAGGGTGCAAGCTCAAGCATTTGCAGCTTCCACGTGGTATTGAGCATGCAGGTACATAGAAGTCAAAGATTGAGGTTTGGGAACCTCTGCCTCAATTTCAGAGGATGTATGGAAATGCCTGGATGCCCAGGCAGAAGTTTGCTGCAGGGGCAGGGCCCTTATAGAGAATCTCTGCCAGAGCAGTGTGGAAGGGAAATGTGGGGTCAGAGCCTCCACACAGAGTTCCTTCTGGGGCACTGCCTAGTGGAGTGGTGAGAAGAGGGCCACTATTCTCCAGACCCCAGAATGGTAGGTCCACCAACAGCTTGCACCATGTGCCTGGAAAATCAACAGACATTCAATGAGCACCCATGACACCAGCCAGGACGGAGGCTGCACCCTGCAAATCCACAGGGGCAGAGCTGGGCAAGACCATGGGAACCCACCTATTGCATCAGCGTGATGTGAGATGTGGAGTCAAAGGAGATCATTT